>NC_000008.11:139339156-139641234 GCF_000001405.40 Homo sapiens | reverse complement strand
GCTGTTCCTGCAGGGTCCGGGCCCAGGGTTCTCACCACAGCACACACCGCTACCCCCAAAAGTACAGGTCCCTGGGCGTCTGGACCCACTGGAAGGCACCCTGGTCAGAGCCTCAGGGATGGAGAGGATAGTGAACCTGCCTCACCTCCTCGTGCCAGACCGCTTCTTGCTGCCAGGCCCTGGGCAGGGCGATTCCCTGGTCATCTCATTTGGTCCTAAGAAACCAATAAAACTGAAACACACATATGAAAATAATTCTTAAAAACCTGTGATTCAGCGATAAATATGCTTCCTGACTGATGCATTCAATAATGAGAGCTACCGGTGGGCCTGGCACCTCCAGTGAGCTCCGAGTGACGGTGCACGTCTGCAATGCTCAAGACGTCTGCAACCGCAGAACGTGGCATGAAAATACAGCTTGTTTCTGTGGATGACGCAGCAACAAGAAATGCTAAATTTCAGCCAGAGGGCGGTAGAAATGAAGATGGTGGGATTTTCCCCATCCAGGTTCTTGGACCCTCCTGAATTTCACTCAGAGCTGCCAAGGTTTCAGGAGTCCCGTCCAGGGTTGTCCTTGGCCAGCCCCACAGGGCAAGAGGGGTTGTGGTTATAGGTTGCACAGGCCCTGGTGGCTTGGGGCGCGGGTATGTGACTGGGACACATCAAAGAAAGTACAGTGCTCCATGCTAGGTGTTCTGATGCTAATGAGCAGGGGGGCTGTGGAGCCCAGCGAGGACCCCAACCCAATCTAGGGTGGCTAGGGGAGGACCCCAGGGCTGTTCTCTTGAAGAAAGTAGTGTGGGGTGTCGCAGGCTGTGGGACCAGCACATCCACATCCCAGCAGCCTTACTCAACTTGGTTCATCCTTGGAATGGGAGATGTACAGTGCGTCAGGGGCTCAGGAGGTATTTTGGGGTAGGATGAGAGGCAGGTAAGTCTGGTGGCAGACCAGGATTCTAGTCACAAGCCCTGCCGCTGATGTGCCAGAGCTGGGATGCTTTACAGATGGGAAGGTCGCATGCATCACGGCCTCAGAACCTCACAGAGCTTAGCATGGTGCCTGGGGTAGAGACAGGGCATTTTGGCTGGGGATGGAGAGGGCCCTGAGCCACGGAGGCCCAAGATCTATCCGAGCCTGGCCTGGGAGGTCAGGGATGAGCCAGGGTTGGGTGTGGTATGAAGCAGGTATTGGCTCGCCAGGGCTGCTTGGCAGGAAGTGGATGGAGGCTAGTATGGGAACCAGGCAGGCCCCCACTGTCACTGGGCCCTGGCCTTCACAGTGGATGACATGGATGACATCTCCATGATGGGGCAGAGCTAGGGTCCTTAGCGCATCTTGCAGAGGCAGGCCCTGAGCCCAGAGAGGTTAAGGGCCAGCTGTGTAGTGGTGCTGGTCTTCCTAGGGCTGGCGCATGCCCCTGCAGTTAGCACGTGGGCAGGCTGGGGAGGTTGTTCTGGGGGCCTCAGCCTGGTCCCTGCCATGAAGTCTGACACTTTAGGGAAGCTGGGGTCTTGTCACCCAGAGACTGGGCTTCAGAAGCAGCAGGAGGCTGCAAGTCCTGACACGAATGTGCTTTTTGAGCCTTTTCTTGTGTCACATGTGGGTCTGCCCCTTCGTCACATGCCAAGCCCAGACTCCAGACCCCCAGCGCTGGGCTGGGGAGCCATGGCTACTGCAGGGCAAATGGCTTTGCACCCCAGTCCTTGTCCTTCATCAGTTCCTTGGCTCAGGGGACTTTCTCCAGCTGTGGGCCTGAGTCTCCACGGGTGCTTTGGGACAGAGAAGGGAGAGAGCTACCCTGTGTTGGTCACTACTCCCCGCCAGACAGCGTGCCAGGCACACTTGCAAAATGAGCAGATGCAGGCAGAGCACCCGGGGCCACATCTTGGCGTCACTACTTGCTAGTGGTCTCCACCTTCCATGCCTCCATTTCCACTTCTGCAAAATGGGGATGATGCTGGAACTGTCCCAGGGGATTCTGGTGAGCATCAATGGGCTGTTTCACAGAGCGAGTGCTCGGTGAGTGGTAACAGCTGATGCTTTATGGATGAGGAAGGTGGCACAGCTGGCTCCTAGGCTCCAAAGCTCAGGTTTTGTCCAGAATCTGTCAGAGGTGGCAGAGACTGCAGGAAGGGGCGGCGCAGGAGTGACTGTGGCAGGTAGCAGTGAGGGGCACAGGGGTTGGCTACGGCCTGGCGGTGTGGGCCTGGGGGAGGGTGGGATGAGGGACATGGGTAGGAAAAAGGCACGAGAATGGGGATCAGTTGGAGGCTGATGCTGGAGGCCCAGCAGGAGTTGGACTGGTGAATGGGAGAAAGGGGCAACTCACCAGAGAGAGCTGGTGGACTCGCTCCAGGCCTCCTGCGTTCTCAGCTAATTAAACAGGCAGAGCGGATGATGCCTCTATGTATCATGTGTTTGGGCCGGGGAACCTGGGGACTCCCAGGGAAGCCATCCCACAGCGGGTGCTGAGCCAGCTGATTTGTAAGGAAAACTGCTCTCCCAGCTGGGACTTTGCCCGGCCCCAGAGCCTGAGGTGGGTGCAGGTGCCCTAGATTAGAGGCACCCAGGGAGGCTGGTAGGGACTATCCCCAGACAAAGCAGCTGGCACTTGGCTCAGGGAAAGTCAAAGGGACCCAGCGAAGCTCCCTGCTTCTGGTCCTGCAGTAGCCCGTGTGCCCCTCTCCTCACCAGCCCTGTTTCCTGCTCTGGTTTGAGTTGAATGCAACCATGGAAGGTGTTGAACAGTGAAGGCATGGCCTAATCATGGCCAGACAAATATTCTGGAAGAATGGCTCCCCCACCAAGTCTTCCGTAGCTCCTGTTCATTCATATAGTCACCTGTATTTGGCACCTGCTGGGTGCCAGATCCTTTGCTGGTCATTGGGAATTCTGATTGACATAGGCTTGGTAATTCATGACCTGTGTGGTCTCATCATCTGCAGCTGTTTGTTTTCATGTCTGTAAATATGAAATAAACGGGGACGTACAGGTGAGGAGCAACTTATCCATGTCATGTCTTCCCACGTTCCTGGAGATGGGGACATTTGGGTTGAGTTTTGAAGGATGAATAAGGAGCTTGATGTCTTCCCTCGTTCTGCCTTGTCTGCTTGTTAGAGAGATTCCAGCTAACGGTATGGGGATGTGGTCTAACATACTTCCTGTTCTCTTATTCCACAGATGAGGACACAAACCCATGGAGGTCACAGCAGTGAGTGCTCAGTGAGCTCAGGGAATATGTTTGACCTGCACATGTGTTGGTACTAGCACAGCTTCCTCACATTCTCCCTCTGTCTGGCCAAGGCTGGGATGGGAAGAGGGGCATGGAGGAGGCATCAGTGGCCCAGGGAAGTGTGGGGAGTGCCCAGGGGTGAGGTCTGCTGCTGGGTTCAGGCCTTAGACATATTCATCACCTCCTGAAGTTTCCTCCCACTCCCCTTACTATTATTGTGTGTGTGTGTGTGTGTGTGTGTAGAGTAGGAATACTTAAGATCTATCCTTTTAGCAAACTTTAAGTATTCAATACAGTATTGCTAGCTGTAAGCACTGTGCTATATAACAGATCTCCAGAAGGTTTTTTGCATAACAAACTTTGTATCTTTAGACTGTGACCTCCCTGTTTCCCTGCCCTTTATTAACCACTATTCTCTGCTTCCATGAGTTTGACTGTTTTAGATGACGTCATTTAGTATTTGTCTGTCTCTGGCTGATTGCACTTAGCATAATTTCTTCCAGGTTTATCTATTTAGTCACAAAGAGCAAGATTCTCTTCTTCCTCTTTTTATTTTTTAAATTTCTATCTGTTTACACTTACTCTTTGGTGAGCCATTGGTCTCACACTTTCCTTTAATTCATCAGACATGGTTCTTTTAGTGCTTTGAACATCCTTATGGCACTTGGTCACCTTAGTAGTTGGCTGATGACTGGACAGATGTCCTTAAATGCCTTGCGGTCTCTGCCAAGGAAGCCTATGTGTGTTGGGGTATGCGGTCAGCACTCCGACATGCAGGTCATGATTCTGTCTTCACCTTCCCTTCCTGCTTGGGCACAGTCTCAAGGTCAGCTGGAGGTGAGATGTTGGGGCCATGTCAAGTGCACATGCCTTGTACATGCACACAGCCTTTTAGGCTCCCGGGAGTATGTTGTAGCTTTCCAAAGCCTCCTTTGAATCTCCTATTCCCATTTTTCCTTTTTGTCTTTTGGTCAGCCTCTTGTTAGACCTAAGTGGTCATGTACTTTGGACAGCTGCTGTGTTAAAACATTGCCTTTGATTGTTTTCAACAAATACTGCCCTCTCACTGAATGAGCTCTGGGGACAGAGCTTCCAGACAGGAGTGACCCTTCCATGGCCACCAGGATGCTGTTTTCACAGCTATTGTGATTGCTGTGCTATGGGTGTTCCAGGTCACCTTGGAGCTGAGGCAGGGAGATAGGACAAGGGCAGGTTCAAATGCCATAAACCTTTCTTTTCTTCCTGAAATTTAGTCATTTTTCTTACGTAAACACTTTTCCAGTTGTTACAAGACTTCAGCTAACTTCCAGAATTCAAAAAAGTTGATTTGATGGTTTTGCCAGTGTTCTCATTGCTTTTCTGGAAGAGTTGAGTTCCTGGGGGTCCTCGCTCTGCCCTTCTGGAAGTTGGCTAAAGTTTTCTTCTGGAAGTTGGCTAAAGTTTTGTGACCTCAGAAAGCACTTTTAGCATTGGGTCAGCAGCAGGAGCTGAGTCTACCTCTGCTGAAAGGAAAGGGCCATAGGGAAGGGAAAAGAGGTTCTGCATCTGGACAGGCAAATGGCTTAAGGAGTGACTCTATCCTTGGCAGGGGGCCGGGGTATGGGGACTGGCAGGTCCCATTCATCCCAGCCTGGCCATGACCATCAACACACCAGCGTGAGAACAGCTGAGGTGCTGGGGGTCAGAGAAGAGGGCGGGCATCTCAGTGTCACCACTTGAGAACTGCGTGAACTGTGACAGGGTACTTAGCCTCTCTGAGCATTCCTTCATCCAGGAGAATGACAGCCATCATCTCTAGCAGTTGGGCATGACATGAGAAGAAGAATATCATTGGTGCTGGGCCAATAAAGGCTGGTCTTCATTTTTGAAACTCCTGCAATGCCCAGCCCAAATCCTGGCCACCATATTGGTTTCTGGTCTTTGTACATGGAATGAACAGAATTCCAGGGGCCAGAAACAGTGTGCTTTTGGCTAAAACATAAACGGGGGTCTAACGGATTCCCTATTTAGCCTGTTAAGGTGAAGACATGCCACATCTACTTGAAGCTTATGAGGAATTAAAAATGTTTATGAAGAATTTTTATTGGCAATATGATAGCACACACATTTTCTGATAAGTAGAAAAAAAGCAGGCTCTGTTATTACTTCTATACCACCTCCTCTCAGCCATAGAGGAGAGGTATTCAGGAAAAGGACTAGCAGGGAATGTAAGATGCTTCCAGGCTGCCTCCTGAGTGGGGGGGTTGTGGGTGATTTTTTTTCCCCTGCTTCTTTAGCTTTCTTTTGTGATTCTCTTCAGTGAGCAAGTATTATTCCTATGATCAGCAAATTACAAAATAGAAAAATCTAAAAAGTAGAAAATAAAGACAGGTGGCTGGGAGTCCAGGAGATAAATTAATCAGGCTTATAGCAGCAGGCTTTTTCCATTTCTTTTCTGGTTTTGTGTTTAGGTCTCTCACTCTCTGCAAGGTTAGGTGACTTGCCCAAGGTCAAATAGCTGATACATGAGGTGGGCTCACCAGGACCCGGGTCTTCCCTGTTATTTCAGAGTAATTATGACCATAAAAGTGTCCCTGTCCTCCTTCCGGCCCTGGTCCCCTCCGCTGGCCCTTTGGGGCAGGGCTAGGCTCTCCTCAGGGGACAGTGAGCAACGCTGCTATGTCACATGTAGAAAATCTGACTCTGCCCTAGCAACGCAGACACTCGGGCCTCCGTTTTCTTGTTGATGATACGGGATAGTACCTGAACCTCCTACAGTTACTCTGCTGTTTAGAACAGTGCCTGGCACCCTAACATTGGTTGTGCTCTTCTGTTTGCTCATTTATTTGTTTAAACAATTTTTGATGTGGAGCTACTATGTACCAGGCAGCGGAGCTATGCATGGCAGTAAAACAGGCTCTAGAATGTTCTCTGACAGGACTGCCTGCTCCTGCTCCCGGCTGGCTGCTCACCTTACCCTTCAGGGGTCCTCATGCAGCAGGGGAACGACCCAGATGGTGATCTGTGAGAATCCACTGATGCTGGCCCTAGACGCCTCGCACCACAGCTGTGGAGGTGGCTGCCCCCGCCCGCTCATCACCCAGGCAACACCCTTCAGATGAAGTCCCAGAAGCTCTTTGTAAAACACCCAAGGAGGGGCCTTGTCCCCTCACGGAGGCTCTCAGGGCAGGCCTCGGCTGATGGCTGTTGTCTTCCTCCTGCTCCCCTCAAGCCAAGGATTCCCCTTCCCCTCAGTTTCAATCAAGGGTAAATGACCTCGGGAGGAGGCACCCGTGCGAGCCTCCCATGTCTAGCTGTTTGGGGAACGGTTACCTACTAAGTGCCAGGCCTGGCCCTGGGGACCTGGAGACAAATTGGGGTCTGAGCCATCCTCAAGGCTCTCCTGCTGCTCTGGGCAGGACAGTCCATCCCAGCAGGGCAGAGCTGGCCCTGCCCTCATGGAGAATCCAGGCAGCTTCCATAAAAGGGGCTCCTGAAAAGAGGTGAGCGCTTGGGGGCATCTCAGGATGGTGCCATCCTGCAGGGCCAGCACCAGTGGACCTGCGGATTGAGGGCAGTGGGGGCTCCAGGAAAGGTGGATTGGGAGGGCAGACAAGAGGCTAGGGAGGCTGTGGGGCACCATGGCCCACCCACAGGTGCATCTGGATGCCTGCCTTTCCCATGAGGGGTAGGTTAGGCCTCCCTGAGCCATATTCCCTCAAGCCAGTAACTGGAGCTGCTTGTTGGCTGCCCCCTTAGGTGGGCACAGGATCTCCTCTTCATCAGGGAATCACCTTCCCCATGAGTGGCACTTACCTGGTCCCTGAAGCCATTTAAACTTGAGACCCAACAGCCTAAGGAAACCAAGTAGTAGGGGCTCCTTGACTCAGGCCCATGAGTCCACCGTGCTAAGCTGTCCCAGCCCTGGGTTGAGGGACATGGGAGTGAACCAGCAGGCGAGGTGTGGTATGCCAGGAGGACTGCTGGTATATATAAGGCCTGTATGCGGCAGGCACAAATGCCCTGGGGCGGAGAGCAGAAGAAACAATAAGTGGATGCTTGGGACAGGCTCGATGCGAATAGTTACAGGGCTTCTGGGGAACCAAAGGGCAGATTGAAAGGCTGCAGGCTCCAGGGAGAGGCCCCCGCCTTTAGGGAGGCCATTCCCCTTGCTTTGTGTGTCGTCGTCTTCACGCTCGCAGCAGGCCTCGGGGGAAGGCCCTGTGTGGTGTTGGTTGTCTAGGATGGGAGACCAGGACACAAGGTACTGAGGCTGCACAGACCGAGAGCAGCTGGGCTGAGCTGGTGAGCCTCGCGCAGCCTGGGTTTTTCCACTCTGCTCTGCAGACTTGGAGACACCTCAGGTTGCTGTTATGTAAGGGAGGGCCTGGGAGAGCCGGGCCTCTGGGCTGCGTATGTACATGTCTGAGTGTGCCTGTTGAGCGTATACGTGTGTCTGAGTGTGTGTGCATGCGTGCCTGCAGCATTTTCGGAAGGAGGTCAGCACCGTAGTTGTGCAGCAATCCAAGACTGCCACCTATTAGTCGTGTGTCCTTGGGCAAGGGACTTGGCTGAAATCATTTGTTCCTCACAGCTCCAGGAGGTCCTCATGATTGCCATCGTTTGGCCAACAAGGATACTGAGTGACTATGTGCCAGGCAGCATTCTAGGCCTTTTACAAGCATTCACATTTATTGCATGTTTACTATAGTTAGATAAGGAGTGAGGAGGGCTTTCAATCTTCAGGTTAATCTTGCTTCTCTTATACCTTAGCTACATGCCTCAGGCCAGATGTGTGTGTGAGCATATCTGTATGTATGTAAGCATGTCATGTGTATATTCGTGTATGTGAGCGTGTCCATGTTTCTGTATACATGTGTGTGTTTGAGTGCCTGTGTGTATGTACCTGTGTCTATGTGCACATGGCCTGTCAGCGTCACACGGCAGGCTGCACCCTGCCAGATCGCCCCACTGCTACTCGTGTCCCTGAGCCCTCGTTTTCTCACCTGTTCCATGGACGTGACTGCACCAAACCGAGGGGTTCTTCTCGCATGTTGTTGAACAATAAGCGGGGTGGGCCTGTCTGTACGTCTTTGCTCTCCAGGTTCAACTTCTGTGCTTGTACAGAATCATCTTAAGTACATGTTATGAGCTAGGTGCATAGCAGCTGTACCCCCAAATGCCATTGGCTTCATGCATCACGGGTTACTTTTTCTCTTGCATCACAGCCACTGTTTCTCGGCAGGGGCTCTGCTCTAGCTGGTCACTCAGAACCCAGGCTCCTAACAGCTGGAGGCACCATCCCACCTTAGGTTCTGAGGCTTCTATCTTTAGGGAGGGAGCGGGGGGAATGGGAGCAGGGAGAGAGAAACAGAGGCAGAGACAGAAACAGAAGGTCAGAGAGAGAAAATCATACGGCAGGTTTTAGTGGGCCAGGCCTGGAACCCTGCTGGCCAGCACTGAGTCACATGGCCATGTCTACTTGCGAGGGACTCTGTGGCCCAGCTGTGTGCCCAGGAGCAGGAGGAGGTCACATATGTGGGTAGACACTGTCTGTCTCTGCTAGAACCCACCTGCTTCTGTTGCTTCCTGAGAAAATGAGCATCCTTCCACGCGGGAGGCCCTGGTGGAAGCCAGTTTGCTGCCATCAGACTCCAGCGTGGGCTGACTCCGTCATCAGTGTGCACTGAGTTCAGTGTTAACAGTGAAAACATGCTGTGAACAAGGCCTGGGGCACCCCACAGATCTTGCCTGCTCCTGCTTTTTTGAGGCCCTTTTTTTGCATGATGTGGGGTCTGTGGTGACTCGTGTCAATGAGGCACTTGCTAGAAATGCAGAGGCCCCAGCCCCCTACCTCCCATGCAGAATGGGCGTTGCGGCAAATCCCAGGTGATCCCATTATTAGGAAGCAATGCTTTAGAAGTCACACATGCAACATGTCTTACCTTCATTTCCACTGTCAAACCTCCCAAGAGGCATCGGGTTTTATGGTTCTCATCTGGTCTGGTTTGACCGGAACTTACAGCTCCCAGTAACTCGGCATTCAAGGCTCTTGCTCTTCTGACCCATAGATCCTTCCAGGGTGAACTCTGCCTGTTCCCTCTCAGACCCTGCAAGGTGAATTAGCCCTACATGAGAATCCAGCAGAAACAAAACAGGAATTAAAGTTTGATTTGATTTCACTTTTTTTTAAACAAAATATATCAATTATTACTTACAGAGGGTATTAGGACCTAGCTTGATTTTCAGTTCTTCTACCATAGACTTTTCAAAAGTCAGCCACATTTTATATATATTTTTCCCTCTGTACTTTGTTTTTTAAATTTAGGCTTGTTTCCCCACATTTTCTTGTAGTATTTCTAAAAATTTTTTTGGAGTGGGAGAGGAATTATTTAGTGGTGGGAAGAAAGAGTAGAACGGAAGGGAGTGAGGAGAATTTTGCTGGAAAGGGGTGGAGGCGGCCAGCAGGAAAATGCAGGTTTCTCTCCAGTGCCTGACCAGGTGTGGGCGCCCAGCCTGCAGCCAGGGCCAGGCTCTGAGTGCAGAGGCTGAAGACCACATCAGGCTGGCTTGGGGGCTTACAAAGGCAACGTGCTTTGCGCAGGGCTAGGGGGCGTTTTCTCACCCGTGCCACAGAGAGAATACCACTGACCCCGCAAAGGGTATCCCCTTCCCCAGAACCAGTGGGTTGAGGAAGGGAAAATATCTTAGCGCAGTCCCCGGCCCAGCGCCAGCCCACAGTATCTGGTAGTCGTTATTGTTACCATTATTTATCTTTTGTCAATGCTGAAAGGCCACTGATGGATGGCAGCTTCTGAGAAAACATTCATCGCATGACATCTCATCTATGAGAAAGAAAGATTAGCGACTTTTCCCAGATGATTCCTGCGTTCTGGACGCAGTCACCGGAAAACGTGGGCGGCCGACCCCGCACCCGGGGCCGTGTCCCTGCAGTCGCCCGAGTGCCCGCCAGAGGGCGCCGTTGCCTCTCCGGTGGCCGGCGCTGCGCAGAGCCCCTCTTGCAGGGAGCGGAGCCCCTGAGGCACAGGCTCTCCGTCCTAGCGGACCATTCGGCTCCTTCCTGGCAACACTTTCTAGGAGCCTCTTTCAAAAGCAGACTTACTTGGGGGATGGATGACCTCCAGCGTCTCGCAAGAGTGTGATTGCAGGCTTCTGTGTTTCCCAGCCTTTGATATTCTGGGGGACTGAGAAGGGGGTGTGCCTTGACCGCAGCCTTCTCCACCCACCCTGCTGTCGGCCTCCTGCTCAGGACACACGATGTGCAGTGCGCTTGTGTGGCCCTTTCATAGGAGAAGGCCTTCTACGCACCTGTCTTCCCCTCTGTGTCTCTGGGCAGGCCCAAGTCCCCGGACCTGAGAGGTTCACCTACACCCTCTCCGAGCTGCCACCCCAAAGCCACTCCGCGGGCCTTCCATTGGCAGATATGGTGCAGGCTCAGGCCTGTGTCTGCAGCCTGTGCCTGGAGGCTGGAGTGGGTGGAAGGGTGTGGGTGGCTAAGTGGGACCAGCGAGCGTCGGATGTTGCTGCTGTGTGGCTCTAGGATTAGGGGCTGGCCCAGGCCTGCATCCTCCGGGAGAGAGGCCCCGGGGAGGTGGGGGCGGCGGCGGCGGCAGAGCCCAGGACTCTGCAGAGCATTTCCAGGCCAGTAGCAAGCCCCTGCGAGCAGACCCGTTCCTTCCAGCGCCCACAAAGCCTCGCCTCCACCACTTCCTTATCCTCTGAGGCTCAGCTTAAGAGTTTTAAAGCTTAGAAGCATTAAAAATAATGCTTTTTCAAAATTGGGGTAAAATGCGCGTTGCAAAATTCCCTCTTTCAAAGAGTATAGTTCAGTGTACAATTTAGTGCAATGTTGTACAACCACTGGGACTGAGTTCCGAGCCGTTTTCTTTATCCCCAAAAGAAACCCCTTACCCTTTCGCGCCGCCCCCCACGCCCGCTCCCCCCGCAACCCCTAGGCAACCACTAACCTGCTTTCTGTCCCCATAGGTGTCCCTGTTCTGGTGTTCGTGGACTCCTACAATACTTGTTCTTTCATGACTGGCTTCTGTCACTCAGGGTTATGGACTGAACTGTGCCCCCCGAAATTCACACATTGAAGCCCTAACTTCCAATGTGACCGTATTTGGAGATGGGGCCTTTAGGAGAGGTAATTGAGGTTAAATGGGGTCACATGAGTGAAGCCCTCATCCATCAGGTTTAGGATTCCTGAGAAGAGTAAGGGATATGGGGACACTGTCTCTCTCTGCACCATCTGGGGACACAGCAGGAAGGTGGCCCCCTCAAAGCCCCGGAGAGCCCCCACCAGAAACTGCATCTTCCCCCCCTTTCATTGTGGAGTTCTAGGCTCCAGAACTGTGGAGAAATCAGTGTCTTTTGCTGACGCTTCCCAGGGCTGTGGTATAATATTTTGTTATGGCAGCCCAGCTTGAGCTGACTAAGGTTTATCTGCACTGTAATGCCCGTCAGGACTGCATCTCTCTTTAAGGCTGAACACATTCCGTTGTACACATGGACCACGTTTGTTTAGGCGTCTATCCACTGATGGACGTTTGGACTGTTAAGCTAGGCTGTGAATACATGGGTACAAATACTTGTTTAGGTTTCAGTGACACGCCTAGATGTGAAGTTGCTAAAAATGCTTTAAGAACAGATTTCTTTGGTGTTTGGGTATGAGCCAGGAGTGGAGAACATCTTGGGGCACGCTGTGTAGGCCTTTCTGCCCTCCCCAGGGGCGCCCCCGCATGCATCTCGGCCCCAGCCAGCAGAGGGTGTTTCCTGATGCCACCTGGTGAGGTCGCTGTGGGGACTAAAGGAGAAGCACATGTAACTATGACAGCTGATGTGTATCGAGGCTCAGCCTTCCAATCCATAGAAAGGGGATGAAGACGCTTCATTTAATCTCGGCTGGGTCCTCATAATGAGAAGGGACTGGGGCCCATGGGAGGTGAAGCCACAGAGCTGGAAAGTGGCCGACTGCAGTCGGAGCCAGGCTGGCCAAGGCCACTGCAAGCGGTGCTGGGTCAGTGATAACCATGGGTCAACCAGGGACGAGATGTCCACCCAGTGCAACCCTGGGCCAGGCAACGGGGCTCCCTGAGGCTGGCCTTCCTCAGGAAGGGGCCCTAGGGCTCTCCTGAGGGGGCCTCACTCAAGGCCCTACATGGAGCAGAAGAGGAGAAAGGCCTTCGTGAATGTTGTTGGAAATTTGTGCTTTGCAAGTTCATATGTTTTAGAAATATATTTTATATATTTAGTCCATTTCCCCCCTTAAGGCATCAAATGAAGGGTAATCAAAAGGCAACTGAAGTTCTTTTTGGAAATTAATAATAAATCATATGAGGAAATTGCTTTCATTAAATAAAACACCAAATCTGCCAAGATTTGGTGCCAAGCCTGAGAATAAGCCAGTTGCCAGGGCTCTGAGGGCAGCTCAGGGCTGGGGCCTTGGAATCCTGGAGCGTGGGTCAATGTGGAAGACGAGGGGGCCATGCCCTGCCTGGTCGGCATGAACAAGGGCCTCAGTGTTCCCATCTGTGGAAGGGGCCAGGGCCTGGGGCTCAAGTTCTCCATGGCGATTGTGGGAAGGGGCCTTAGATTACCCAGAACGACCGTGTTTGCCAGGGTATGGGGTTCCTCGGCACGCTGTGCAGGGCAGGGCTGAACTCAGCCCAGTGCTGGAGGTGCTTCTATGTTGCCTTTGTTTGTGCATCTGTGAAATGGATGGAGCCAACTGATGATTCTTGTCCCTGGTGGCCTCACCATGAGGGAGGAAAGGCAAAGGAGATGGAGAGCCGTGTATGTTGTGGGTCTCACTGACCCCCACTCGCCTCACTCTCCTGCCGCCCTCCTCCCCTACAACCCCAGCTCTCTTCTGTTCTCGCTCTTCCTTCTTCACCATTTCTGGAGCATGTGTGGCCTCCGTTTGAGACAGATGGTCTGTTTCATCTTATTTTGTTTGGCCTGTGCCATGTTTTCAAATGTTTAATTGGACACTAATTAGATACCACATTTTAAAAATCCATATTTTCGGCTTCTCTTTAAAACTCAGAATTGAGTCACCCTGGCCCACCGTCCTGGGGCCAGGATGGGAGCAGCTGCTCTTTGAGAGGCCCTGGCCTGCCAGCTGGCCATTCCCTGCTCACAGCCCTGTTACCTTCCAGCCCCTCTCCCCAGGACATACATATCAGAGGTAGCTTCTAAGAGAAACCACAAGAGACACAGGGGAGTGTGAATTGCAAAGTGCTTTGTTGACAAAACTGTTGTGGGTTATTTGTAGTCTGGCTAGGGTATTAGGATGTATACTCCAGGTTGGGTGTTAATCACTTACAGTGAAACGCTGGCTAAAGCCAACATATTTACAGGGGAACAGAATGAACTGTCTGTGAGCTGGGCTCACTCCGGGTAGGACAGGCTTAGAGGCAGGGTGAAACATCTCTGTACAGCTTCCCATCTCTGAGATCGGGGTCGGGATGTTATCTTCTGTGGCTGAGTTCATCCTCCTGATAGTGAAATGACTGCAGGAGCTCCAGACCTCACCCCCTGGCACCCTCCAGTCTGGCAGGAAAAAGCCGAAGCCTTTGAGTCACCAGTCAAGCCCCAAACCCTGAGGCTTTTGCTGAAACCATCAGAGTGCCTACAAAGTACTGTTCCCTTCTTGGATTGAACAGGAGACCAAGCCTGTGTGTGGTGCCCAGTAGAAATAGGGGTTGTGTTATATTGCAAGAGGAGGACTTGACACACCACCACTGATACCCCTTATCCATGAGAGAATGAGTTGGGAAAAGCATTGTCAAGTGTAAAGTGCTGTGCCACTGGAGGAGGCTGCTTCATTCCATATTGCCCTTGCCAGAAGGGAAGGTTAACGCTTAGAGGATCTAAGGTGTCTTGCCCAAGGTCATAGTAAGCAGGAGATGGAACCAGACCCAGACTTTGGGACCCACTGATTCCTGCCCACCCTACGCGCGACCCATGCATCACTTTGCTTTTGGTGTTTGCAGACGCCTGGGTTTAAATCATGCCGAGTTCATTCCGGGGCCTGAGCGGGGCCGAAGCTCATGGGAGGATGAGTGGGATGCTTGCCGCAGGCTTCCGTGGGAGCCAGGTGGGAAGCCTGAGGCCCAAGGGCAGCTCTCTTCTCCAGCCTGCTCCTCCTCCAAGCCACCCTGAGTCATTCTTTAATGGAATTTGTGGCTGTTTTAATTCTTACCGGCACAAACTTTGCATGTCCTTTATAAATATTTCATTCTCTTCCAGCAGGAAATTTCTCAGTGCCTAAATACTTGTATGGCCATCTCCTTCCGGTGCTGGGCAGCCTGTCCCAGGGAACTGTGGGCTGGGGGAGACAGCCATGGGTACCCCTCACCTGCATGACAGCCGCTCCAGCTCCTGGAATAGCCAGGCTCCCTGGGAGACTGGGGTTGCAGTGACAGAAGAGAAAGAGGCCCAGGGAGGGAGGTGACCATCCACAGTCCCTCCGAGGGCACGGTCAGGGCTCAAACCTGGACTGGCCTGACACCAGGGGCTGAGCTCCTCCACTCCACCCCACTGCAGTGGGAATTCAAAGCTCAGCTTGATGGCTTCTGGTCAAGGGCTCAGGTAAGCGGGGTAATGGCCTGGGCATTCCCAAGTGGAAGGAATGGGGGTAGTAATGCTGCAGAGGCAGGAGGTAAAGGCCCTGCTCTGTCTACCTCTCCCCTGAATAAGCTCCACAGTGGAGGGCAGAGGTTTTACCCTTTAAGTCTGTGAAGGTCACTCATGGTCAGGTGTGGATGTACCTAGATTGCCAGGGGGGACATGGGGAGCCACAGACAGCTCTTGAGCGCTGGAGTGCAGGAGCGAGGCTGGTCTGCAGTCCACCTGGCCCAGGCTGCCCTATTTGCCTTTTTCCAGTGGGGACAGCCCACTGGATACTTTGAGTGTCTTTAATTAAAATATGGAGCTCAGAACAGGTGCCTCTTATGGTCTAACCTACGTGTATATAGTATGCATCTTGCACTACTATGTCCCATGTGCTTAGAGTATCTTTAAGTGA
The DNA here is from genome assembly GCF_000001405.40 of Homo sapiens. Lineage (NCBI taxonomy): Eukaryota > Metazoa > Chordata > Mammalia > Primates > Hominidae > Homo > Homo sapiens. Next base: position 139,625,970 of record NC_000008.11, on the reverse strand, counting down.
AATAATGCTGTTCAGAACAGGAGAAGCTGGGAAGCTTCTGGTACCTGGTGGCTGCCATGACTTCTGGGAAATCTTGCAGGAGCCACTGGGGAGTGGCAGGTGTCTTGAAGTGAGTGCTGCCTTCTAGCCACAGCTGGTTTTTCGGGGAGCTCCAGACCCAATAGAAATGATTAGTTTTATTTTCCTTGTCCTCTGCCTCTCTCCCCTCTGGGAAGATGGAGCCTATTCATTTTTTTTTTTTTTTTCCTGTTTTGTTAGCCAGCTGCAGCAGAGAGATGAAGGCTGCTTCTCTGCAAAGCCTCTCCCAGGACAGATCAAAGAGACCCACTAAGTATATTAAAGAGGCCATGAAAATCAGGCTGGGTGATGCTGTGTCTTGGGCAAAGCTGCCCCCAGCCACCTTGGGCCCTGGGCTTAGGGATTGGCTGGGATTTCCAGGCAGGCCTGGGAAGATGGAAGTCACTTGCACAGCAAGGAGATACCATGTGCTGCCTTCTCCTCCATGCTGGGCTCTGGGATCTGCACAGCTGAGTCAGGAGTGGGCTCTGCTCTCCTCGGGAGCTCACGGTCTGGCCCAAGGTGACCCAGGCTGTGACTACCCAGCAGGGCCAGTCAGGGTCTGGATAGGTGAGGAGTACAGCCTGTGGGTGCTGTCCTGGGAGCCCCCAGCCTTCCACCAGGGTCCGGGGCTGGGAGAGGCACCTAGTAACCGGCTAAGAAGGCCCTGTGGAAGCAGGCAGGCTGTCAGTTCCCTTGGGCCCAGACGTCCTTGGCTACAGATCCACATGGGCACTTGGGGGCTGGAAGGTCTGACCCCCAAGGGCTGCACGCCAGCCTGAGGTGGGGCTCGGCTCAGAGGCTGCATGGCCCAGCTCTCGGTGAGGGGACCCATGAATTTGGCCAGTTCTGGGAGGGGCCAGGTGAGGGGGCTGATTCTCATTGTGCTCTGATGCACATCATCTGCCCCATTTCACAGATGAGGAAGTAGAGGGGTCCTCCCAGGGTGCTCAGGAGTCATAGTGCACAGCGCAGAGTCTGCTCAGGAGTCACAGTGCCCAGGACAGAGTCAGCTTTTCCAAGTGGGCTTTGACATTTTTACAATGACTGTCCCCTTTCCAGATCTGTAGGGCAGGAACCCCGTCACCGGCCTGCCCTGTCGAGTTGGGCATCACCGGCCCCCGGGTGTCAGTTGCCTCTGACTGTGGAGGTGGGCCGGGTGAACTGGAGGTTCTCTTCTAGGGCTGGCTTCACTTAGCAGGTGACCTAGGATGCTCCAGACCCCTGGGTGGGGCTGCCACTCGAGGGGTTGGTTCCATGTGCTGGGACATGGGGCTGGGCTGAGCTGGGGGTTTTCCTGGATCTCCTTCACCACTCACATCTACCCACCCTGCCTGGTCCTGGGCACTACCACCTGTTGGCAAAGCTGAGCAGGCCAGGGGAGGGCAGGTGGGTGGGCAGAGCAGGACCCTGGAGCCTAAAGCACTGAGTGATGCAGGGGCCAGCCGGGCTGAGAAAGCTGGGACAGCCACTCAACTGGAACCGACTGTAAGCTCCCTCCAGGGTCCCTGAACATGCCGGCATCCTGGAATCTTGGGAAGGATGGTGTTGGGGATGCTGCTGCTGTGTGAGCAGTGCTGGAAACCAAATTTCAGGCTGTCAGTGCTGTCTGTCACCAGCACCACTATGGTTAACCTCACACCCAGAGGCCTGACTCCGTGTGACCATCTGGACCGGTACCAGGTCCCAAAGGCAGGCGTGTCTAACTCAGCATCCCCCTAGATGTCAGCAAAACAGGCGGTGAAGCTCTGGAGATGAGCAGCGTGGGCTGGCTGCGTCCCTTGTGTGCAGGGGCTTTGTACCCTGTGTGTGGTCTTTGCATTCCTCAGTTGGTGGGGCTCTGGCTTAGGGCCCTGCTGTTGGCTGGGTGCCTGTAGGGGGTGCCAGGCATCGGGTTAGGTAAGGATGATGTGGCCTCTTGCGGGGCGGTTGTGGGTTGGCAACCCTCCTGCAGCCTCATCTTACACGTCTGTGAAGTGGTTCGAGTGACTGAGGCTGCTTGGCTAGATCTCACCCGCAGTCGGAGGCGCCCCTCTGGGAGTCCTGGTTTCATTATCTCTACCTTTAGTGCCCTGTGTGTCCCTCCTGAATTTTGTGCAGATCCATTTCAGAAGTCTCATTGCCAAAGGGATAAGTGACCCCTTTATGATGAGGGAAGCGTGGCCAGTGGTGGGTGGGACTTCTGAGATTCTGCCACCTCTGTGGTCCTCAGAGATGGAGAAGGTCACCACCCTGTAGTGCCTGGAGGGTAGGGGGAGGGGGCGGTAGGGTATTGTAGGAGCCTGGAGTCCTAGAGGGAAAATCCACCTGGGCATGTGTGGTTCCTGAGCTCACAGGTGGGGTAGGAGGTAACCAGGAACAGACAGCCTAGGGGTCACCTGTGGCCTTTCCACATCCATGCCCCAGCCTCTATCCGCACCTGCTCGTGTTGGGCACTGGGCAGGGCTCCTGGTACAGGCTGGCTGGAGCCCCTTGGGAGATTTCCAGGAAAGAAGTGTTTGTGGAATCCCCTGTGCCAAGAGCAGGTCCCAGGGCACAGTCAATGGAGATATCTGAATGGGTAATGTATGAGTAGATGAATGAATATATCTTCTGACCCCTGGGCGGGTGATGCTGGGATATGTTCATTTGCAGATGGGAAAAAAATGGTTTCTCAGGACTTGAGCTGTCACACAGGTGCTGGGGGAATGTATTAGATTTGTACCTCATTCTCCTCTTGGGAAGAGCTTAGAGGCCATCTTGTGTCACGTGTCCAGCATACATGCATTTTCTATGTTCTTTATTGTATCTTCTACATACAATCTGTAGACATGGTGTGTACTACTAAAACGTGCAGTCTGCAGCATATACATAGGTGTGGCACATACACAGCCTGTGTCATGTGTGTTCTACAGGCGCACACACTGCATAGACAATATTTGCTGGTGAATATGGGTGCGCTGTAGTTATATGTGCCTCTTGGTCTAATCTATCTGTATATAGTGTGCTACTATGTCACATGTGCCGTTATTCTACACATTAGGTTCCAAGTGTACACTGTGTGTACTCTGAAGTCTTCATAGATGCCATGTATGTGTGTTCTGTACAGGTATTTGGGAACATCTGACATGTGGACTTAATATTCGCAGGCCTGTTTGTACACAGTACCTGCAGTGTTCTATCATAAGCACATTTGTTAAGCAGACCAGGGGAAAACAGATAGTGTAACAGGGTCTCTGCAGGAAATAGCACTCTCACACTGAATGATTAATAAATGGGCTATTTATAAATTCTTCTCGAACACGTAGGCAGGTTTGGGGGGAAGCAATGAGGGGTATGTGGAGCACCAGTGGAGAGCTATTAACATGCCAAGGGTGCAGTTCCTGGAACTTGTAGAGAGTAGCTGCTGTAAGCCCGCTGACAGATGCGGCTAGTTGCCGAAGTCGCCCTCCTCTTCCCTTCCTCTGATCTACTGGGGCTGTCCATTGGATGGACCCAACTGGAAACCAGAGGGCAAAGGGACCCTTGATGTAGCTCCCAGGGTAGAGAGCAGGGTGTGGCTGGGAACGCCTAAATAGGACAGTGGAGGATACCCTGTACCACCTTCTTTTTCCTAGAAGGCCTTGGGAGTCCCGAAACTTGTCTCTCACTTGAGAGGGAATGGTCCTGTTCCCCAGACCACTGGGACCACAGGAAATGTGTTAATGGGGAAGACCCCTGAACCTCAGCGCTGTTCATCTCCCATACTCTCTCATGCACGTGTCTTACCAAGGGATGTCCTCGATGCAGTGGACCAGTGAGAAACACTATGGTGTGTCAATGATCAAGTTCTTTCATGCTGTAGTAAGACGGCAGGAGAATTGACATAAGCCTGAGACAGGACATACCAGTGTACTGCTGTCTAAGCCCCGTGAAGGCAAACTGCTTATTTTTACTAGCAGGAACAGAAGTCAGGGTGGGGGACCCTGGCACCTGGTATGCAGTTTTTGACCCAGAAAATGCCATGGTGATTTCTTCCAGTAAATATATCACATGTGGAACATTACCACTTAATAAGAAGTTTCCAACAACCTCCTGTTATTCTCCAGCATTCCAGCTGGCTTTTTTTGTATCAGCTCTACAGGTGAGCTATATGGAGATATAGTAGGATTCCCACCCCTGCATCTTTTATATTTACCCTACTTGTTTGCCAAGATGTGCCTTCTTTCCTGAAGACTTAAGTTTCCATATGGTGTCCTTCTCCCCAGACAGAGCAGCCTTCAGTAATCTTATTGTGTAGATATGCTGGTAATGAACTCTCTTATAGTTTTACTTCATTTGAAAATGTCTTTGTTTTGCCTTTCTTGAAGGATAATTTCTCTGGATATGGAATTTTCAGTGAGCAGTCTTAGTTCTTTACAGCCGTGCTTCCACTGCTTCCTGGCCTCTGTTGCTTATGTTTAGATGTAAGCAATATTATATTATTGTTCCCCTGTATGTGGTATATTATTTCTCTCTGGCTACTTTCATTATCTTCTCTGACTTTAAGCAGCTTGACTCTGGCGTGTGGTTTTCTTTGTATTTGTCCTGCCTGGGGTTCACTGAATTTCTTGAATCTATAAGTTTGTGTCTTTCATCAAATTTGGCTATTTTTTTTTTTTTTTTGAGATGGAGTCTCGCTCTGTCACCCAGGTTGGAGTGCAGTGGCACAATCATGGCTCATTGCAACCTCCACCACCTGGGTTCAAGTGATTCTCCTGCCTCAGCCTCCTGTGTAGTTAGGGCTACAGGTGTGTGCCACCACACCTGGCTAATTTTTGTATTTTTACAAAATTAGTAGAGATGGGGTTTCACCATGTTGGCCAGGCTGGTCTCAAACTCCTGGCCTCAAGTGATCCATCTGCCTTGGCCTCCCAAAGTGCTGGGATTACAGGTGTGAAGCACTGCACCCAACCTAAATTTGGCTACTTTTGGCCATTATTTCTTCTTTTTGTCTGATTCTCTTTCCTTCTGGGACACCTTTTGATATTGCCCTACAGCTCCCCCCAGGCTTTATTTTCAATCTTCTTTATTCCTCTCTGCTCTTCAGATTGGATAATTTCAATTGATATATCTATTATTTCAGCTTCTCTGTTTCCCCACCCTGTCCTTTCTGGCCTAACTTTGTCATATCATCTCTTCTTTCATAAGGACTAAGGGGTTTCAGAGGGGTGTCAGAGCTCAGCGCTAGCTGGGATTGAGGGCCAGAGAGGATGGGGGGAAGGCCTTCTGGAGGCAAACATGTGATGTCATTTTTCAAGTGAGAGTTTGGCCCATGGGGGTAGGTAGGTTATGGCACATATTCACACCACCGGAGACAGACAGACTGAGCCACAGGCAATGAAGCCCTGATGGAGAAGTGTGAGCTAGAGCCGTCAGAGGCAGCTTCATGCAGGAAGGAGCGGCAGAGGATCCTGGGGTCTGGTAGGTCCCTACTGTGTATCAGACTCTTGGCTCGGAGCTGTCTGATCTCGGCGGATCCATACAACGCCACCTAAGAACAATTATGCCATGTAACAGATAAAGACACATGGGTTTGAAAAAACTTATGGAACCCAAGGTAAAGCAGCAAGCTAAGTGACCATGAACATGTGACAGGGTCCCATCAGGGAAATCTATCTTGATGGGCAGGATTTTAGATGTTGGAAGACCAGGTACATCCTTCAAAATTTCTGTCCAAAAAAACACTGTCCATGATCCAGGTTTTTATTCTGGGTAGTGTTAGTCCCACAGTTTGAACCTACTGAGTCTCTTGTTCCTTCTGCCATATTGGGAAGATCCCATCCTGGCTCTGACATTGTCACTGACCAGCTTGGGTGACCCTGCAGCTGACTTCACCTATTCAACATCATTGCCTTCATTTCGAATGTGAGGAAATACAGTCTTGACTTGGATTCCCTGCAGCAACCACGCAATGAAGTTGCATCAAGAATTTCAAAAGTGCTTACACACATAAGGTCTTTAAGGGTTGTTTCCTCATTTCTATCCAGGCTCCATTCACAGAGTGGTGCAAATTTATTCATTCCTTTATTAAATAAATATTTTACTTTCTAGGTATGGGGGAATACAGCAGCGAACAAAACATTTTTAAAAGTATGCATTTGTGGCATTTACATCTCACTCTACAATTGCCTCTCTTGATTCAAAGTCTCTGCTTTTGAGCCTCATTCTTGGCAGTTGAAAACTCTGGGCTGAAATCCCAACTCTGAAGAAATCAAGCTACCCTGCTAACTCAGTTTTCTTGTCAGTGGGGTTGGAATCATTATGGTTGTTTAGAGGCTAGAATTAGGTGATGTATGTAAGAGGATTCAGCACTGTGCCTGGCCCATGGCAGGTATCATTCTTTGAAAATCCACTCTTCATGTCAATCCATAGTGGACATAGAGAGGTTTCTCCCTTGGGCTTGGTACTTTTGGAGTTCTCTTAGTAGTGAATCTGCTTTTTTCTTTTTAAAGCCTTTATGTGGCTCTAAGATGGCATTCGAATGTTCCTCCATCCCCTCTCAGTGGCATAGTGCAAGTGACATTGGTTCTTCTTTTTCTCTTCCCTTCCATCCCAGCACATCCCAACTCCCTCCCTACTGAAATGTTCCTACCCCCCTGCCATCCCCTAACCTCATGTGACTTCTGAGAAAGTGGCTCTCCTTTGTTCTCCTCCCTCCAATATATGGCCACGCCCCTCTACCCTGCAGAGGAAATTCCCCCAGTACCAGGTCCCTCTGCATTGCACTGCACTGCACCAAGTCGACCCTCCCTTCCCCCAACCTCTAGACCCCTCCTCACTTGCTCTCTCTGTTCTTCTCATCCCCTTCCCACAGGTTATGGGCACGCTGCACCTGGCACCGATGCGGGCAAGGCCTTCTGCATGTTCTACGCCGTGCTGGGCATCCCGCTGACACTGGTCATGTTCCAGAGCCTGGGCGAGCGCATGAACACCTTCGTGCGCTACCTGCTGAAGCGCATTAAGAAGTGCTGTGGCATGCGCAACACTGACGTGTCTATGGAGAACATGGTGACTGTGGGCTTCTTCTCCTGCATGGGGACGCTGTGCATCGGGGCGGCCGCCTTCTCCCAGTGTGAGGAGTGGAGCTTCTTCCACGCCTACTACTACTGCTTCATCACGTTGACTACCATTGGGTTCGGGGACTACGTGGCCCTGCAGACCAAGGGTGCCCTGCAGAAGAAGCCGCTCTACGTGGCCTTTAGCTTTATGTATATCCTGGTGGGGCTGACGGTCATCGGGGCCTTCCTCAACCTGGTCGTCCTCAGGTTCTTGACCATGAACAGTGAGGATGAGCGGCGGGATGCTGAAGAGAGGGCATCCCTCGCCGGAAACCGCAACAGCATGGTCATTCACATCCCTGAGGAGCCGCGGCCCAGCCGGCCCAGGTACAAGGCGGACGTCCCGGACCTGCAGTCTGTGTGCTCCTGCACCTGCTACCGCTCGCAGGACTATGGCGGCCGCTCGGTGGCACCGCAGAACTCCTTCAGCGCCAAGCTTGCCCCCCACTACTTCCACTCCATCTCTTACAAGATCGAGGAGATCTCACCAAGCACATTAAAAAACAGCCTCTTCCCATCGCCTATTAGCTCCATCTCTCCTGGGTTACACAGCTTTACCGACCACCAGAGGCTGATGAAACGCCGGAAGTCCGTTTAGGTGTGGGGAGGGAAATGGGACAGAAAAGTCATTTGTCATAGTTGGTGTTAATTTCCATTGGTCCAACTCGTCTTTTCTTATTTATTTATTATTATTATTGTCATCATTATTACTTTCTCTCCTTCCTCCTTTCTTGGTCTCTTGGTCTCATTTTCCCCCACCTTTCCAGCCAGACAGAGCAGGCCAAAGGGAAATACAGGCCCATCCTCCTCTGAAACTCACATCTGAGCATGAAGCATGGATCTCCTCCTTCCTTCCCAGCAGACTATGCCTTACATTTCTCACCCCACCCACCCCATCATCTCTGCAGTGGTTTTCCCGGGACAGATGTGAGACCAAGACCACGGAGACAGAGCTGAGAGGATACCCACCCCAAAGCTGCACATCACGCTCAGCCTTCAATCGCCTACCCTTAGTGGTGTCTCTGACCTAACTCCTTTCTCTTTTCCTAAGGACTGAGTGACTGTGTGTGTGTTGTGTGTGTGCTTCTGTGTGCACGTGTGTCGTGACAAAACGGGAAGTATTAGGTATTCCGTTTTCTTTCCCATCACACATCATAGCCTGCTTTTGGCTGCTTCCAAACAAAACGGGAAGACAAAACCCACAAGGTTTTTGATTTATCGTATTTTGCCAAATCAAGCATGTTTCATTAAGCAGTTCTTATCCCTGATGTGTCATGGCCATATTTTCTAAATGCTAGGTTCTAAATTATATTAATGTTTTTTAGGGGCGGGTGGGCAAGACGACCCAAACCATCTTAGCTTGCCAGTTCAGACATTTTTTAAAAAGCATGCACTTTGTTAAACTGGTATGCGCTATCAACAAAAAAACTAGAAATGGAATAATCCAAAGCCAATAACATTAACTTATAAAAGACATTTTTAATTTTGTCACCTCCAGTTCCAACAATTTACCATGCAACTGGAATTGTCAGGGGAAACGGGAAAATTGTTGGAACCCCAGAGTATCTATTTCCCTCTTATTGATGATTTTGTGCAGCACCTACCCTGCATAAATAAGAATTATAGTGTTGGAATGCTTGGGTGAGAATGGGTATTAGTATGTGGCTGTGGTTCCTTTTCCTCATGAAAATTGACAGGGCATTCCTCATTAAAAATACATATCTATTTCAAGAAATATCGTCTCTAATTGCATTTGATTTGTAAATAGGGTAAAGTTCACATTGGTCTCAGGAAGAGTTTAGAGGCAAGGAGCTATGTCTTGGCCTACTGGGAACTTGCCAATCTCAGGGGAAAATTTTGTCTGAGTAGTGTAGAAATTCCTCCCTACTCTCAATAGGGGATGACCCCAAAGGGAAGACCTGCTATCCTCTTGGGGGAGGTGGTGGGGTAGTTCAGGCTGTAGAATATGGCACAGTGGAGGCTCTTACAGTAACAGGCTTAAAGGACAGTTTGACCTCCAGATTCACTGAGGGGACTTTAATTTCCCTCATTACCATCCCTGCCATTTTCTAAAAATCACCCATTCATCCATCCTCCCATTCCTCTTTTGTAAATGAAGTTCATGGCTCTTGCATGGAAATGGACCTTGGCTATACTCAGAAGGAACACGGTTTACTGGCCTGTCTCAAGGCCCCAACGAGATCTCCCAGAAAGGAGGCTTTGCTCCCTAGAAAGAGTAGACCTACAGGATTTCTTAAAGGAGACAACACCTGAATGCCACCAGTCCCAAGCATTTGGGCCAATGGGCTGAAACACTGGAGCATTCAAGACTCCTCTGAAAAGGCTGTGCATGTACTTTAATGCTACATCCCATGTTGAAATTTCCCCTTCGTCCAGGACACAGGGCCTTCGAAGGAGTCTGCGAACCTCAGATTCTCTAGGCCAAAGTTGACAGTTCTCAACCTTCAAGGTCTTTATTGATTCACTTGTTTTAAGATTTTGTTTAATGGGAGGCCCTACTTGGGGCTCTAAAATCTGTCCAGAGAATAGCAGCAGTTCAATTTTTTTTTTCCTCTTGGATGAGATTGTTGACTCTAGGGGGTCAGAGGTATAAAAGCCCTAATGCATTTGCAGAATGCTTTATGCTTCAGAAGAGTGTGCCTGGAATAAATGTGGGGTTCTCATGAAAACCTTTGTAAGAGGTGCCTTCAAATGGTTGGGGGGTGTGATCTGATCTATGACGACACCAAGGCACTGAGAGGGTGATTTGCTCAGTGTCACAGGCTGGCTGTTGACAGAACTGAGACAGGTGTCTCAGTCTGGAGCCCAGGAGAGTCCAAGGAGCTGACTTCACACCACCATGTCCTAACTCAGCCCTCGGAGGAGGGCGCCTGCCTTTTTCCCCACTGGGGGCATGCAGCAGGCCCTTGGAGCAAATTAAAGGGACGCTGAGACCACCCTGCATACAGAGCTGGTTTCTCCACTACACTATCTGTGTCAATTTGGTCATATAGGAGCCATACTTCTGCTTGAATGCCTCAGGTAACAGAGCTTCTCTATTCCCAGGAACTATAGAAAACATTCTCTCTTCTACAGGATTAAGGATTATAGGATGAAGTCTTTTCTCCTCACATGACCACTGACATAAGTATCTGAGGCAACTTGTAATTTATCTTGGCTCTATTTCCCTCCTATGTCTTCTCTTTGCTACCAGCTTAGCCCTTTGAAGGATGGTCACTGAGTCTTTCAAAGTTAAACATCCTTGTTTATGGTCAGTATTTAGGGGATGGAGGCAAATCTTGGTTTTGCTTGGTGATGTTCATTTTTTGCTCAGATGGTCCATCTCTTCCCCCTGCTGTGGTCTCTGGCCAAGGAGATATCTAGGTATAGCATGAAATGGTCTCAGAGTGGGGAGGGCAGGGGCCAAGTTAAGGGTTCAGGGTTCTTTCTTCTCTTAATAAAACAGCACTAAACAGAGATGCCCAACTCCTACCACTCAATCAGCATTAGAATCAGATCCTCAAAGCCAGGAGGAAGCTTGGTCCAAGTCATCTCACTGAGCAGCCTTTGTTTTCAGACGAGGACATTGAGGTTCAGAGAAGGCGAACACTTATCTAGAGGTCACAGAGAGAGGATTCTAGGTCTTCCCACTGATTTCTCTACCATGTTCCTGGCTACTTCTGTTGCTATTTACAGCCTTCTGAAGATCTCTTGTTGCTGGACAATTTTAGTTTCTTAGCCCCAGGTCTCTCTTCCTCCCTCTTGCACCTGGTAATTTCTTTCTTTCATCCAAGTGATTTTCATACCCTTCTCCCAGTTAACCATGCCCATTCAGCAAGGTGGTCGAAGTCACAGCAGGCTGCTTGGATGTAGGGTTCAACTTCTGTTAGAATGAGCTCAGGAAGAGCCACGTGCTACCAGAATCACCCAAGGTGAGCCCACCAGCCAGTACCTAGAAATCAACATGCCTTGTAGGTATTTAGGGATCATCAGTACCACCGCCCAACCTTCCTCCTATATTTGGAGTGGATAGATGAAGATTGAGCACTCTTAGTTGAAAAGAGTTCAAGTGAGAGTAATATCTCTAAGACCCCTGGGGGCAACACTTGCTAGAGACCATCCAGCTATAATCCTCATTGCACCCATCCTGGGTGGAAAGTGCTGTGTTGGCCTTCAGCCTGTTAGACTCTTTTACGTAGGACTGAACCAACCCCTCTGGGTTTTGAGATACTTGGTTGTCCCTACAGCTAGTATCAGATCTGTTCTTTCCACCTGCACTGCTTCATCTTGAAATCCTGGCAACAGCCCCTTAAGCACAGCGAGCTGCCTGGCTCTACATGTGAACCCCCTTGGAAGCATCTGCGCGCTCCCACTGTGCATGGCTGATTGGGAGGGGAATGCCTGCATTCAGGCATGGTCACAGCAGCTCATTTGCAGCCCAGGATTCCCACTGGGGTCCATCATCCTTTCAGGAGAGTTGGCAAATGGACTTAGACCACTGTCCACAAAAGCCTCCTTGGGAGGTGCTCATTAAAACCCCACCCATCAAAGGGAGGGAGATTGATGAATCTCAGCTCACCTGTTCCTTATCTGTGCACAGGGCCTTAAGAGAACATTGGGACAGCATGAGAAGCTTGCAGATAAGCCTAGGCAGGTCGTTTTTCTCTGCCTCATCCATATCTGGAAGCCAATGGGTCCTGATTCTCACTGACAATCACTTGCAGCTGGAGGGAAGAACAGGGTTTCTCAGAGGCCTCCCTTGTCTGTGCACATTGGCCAGGAGAGGGAGGTGAGCAAGGAGAAAATGACCAAAAAACCACCATCACTGAGGCTTATGGCTCCATTTCTTTTTGTAATATTCTTTTTCAAATGACAGGCCCCAAGATACCCTTTGAAGCCCTCTGCAGAGGCGCCTGCCCCTGTCCTATCAGTGCACTGGCCCCGTCATCAGTGAAGCACTCTGGCAAACTGTGGCTTTGTTCTGGAAGTGGAGTGACTTGGGGTCTGTCCCATGCAGGCCAGCTGCCTGTGGGTCTAAAGTGGGTTTCCTCCAGAGTCGTGGCCAGCACAGACCCTGGAAACACCGTAGATGAGGACAGGATGGCAGGCAGGGGACCTGTTATTGTGCTGTGCTCCACTGAGCTCCTGGAAGTCATTTCACTCCCTGGGCCTCTGGGGCTTCCCCATCAACACAACGAGACAGCTTGGGTGAGATTTATGGGCACTTAGCACAAAACCAATTTGACCCACAAAAGCATTTGGCCTGGATGTTCTGATCCCTGGGCACACTTGAAGCTTGAGCCACCCAGAAGAAAGCCAAAAATCACTTTGTTTGGCAGGGGATGGGGAGCTGGGGAAGATGAAGAGGGACCGGCAATAGCAGAGAGAACCATGGTGGTCACAAACCAAGGCCAGGTGCATTCTGGGCTCCCCAAAGCGCTGAGCATAAATCCATTCTATGTGGTTCTTTCTTGACCACACCTGATAGAGGCTGCTGATTCAGGAAAACAGCAAATCTATGACCACGGTCCCCCACACTGACCTTCTATGTTGAAGATCCCAGAATTACAAAGAATGGTCCAATGAGCTTCCCTAGACCTCTCGCCCAGACCCCCAGCCTCAATACTTTGCCACCCTGCTCCCCAACTCTCACTCAGATGTTTGGACAATGTGTCGTCATGTCTGCAACTTTTCAGTGGTTCAGCCAAAGAAGAAATTGTCCGCCATGAACAAGAGCACTCTCCTACCTAACGGTGCCATTGTCACGCCTAAGAAACATTCATACAATCTTATTGTCTGATACAGACTGTATGTAAATCCCCAATTGTCCCAAAAATGTCCAAGAGCTTATTGAGTCTAAAATACAACCCAAGATCACCTCCCATAATTGCTTGTCTTGTTGTTCCAGACTTCCCCCAAATAGGACGTCCCCATCACCATTTCTGTCTTCACAATGTTGGCCTTTTTGAGAAGTCCTGGCCAGGGTCTTATAGAATAATGCCCTGTGATCTCCTCTGCTTGTTTCCTCAGGTTAAGACAGTTTTGGCAAAAAAAACCCAACAGCGTTGATGTCGAGCAGCCATGATTTATGCATTTGATGTTTGGCTCTCTGGGGACCTCTGTGGTAACTGCTTTCATTGTGGATAAATAAGTCATATTAAATGTTGTTTTCCTCTGTTAGGGGAACTAACTGCACATTCAAGAGAGGCGTCCGTGGATGCTGGGTCTCACTGCCAAAGCCGAACACGGCTTCGGGATTTCTGCCTTCTCAAGTGGACCTCTGCTGTGCTGGGCGAATGCTCTACTCATTCCCCTACACAACTGTGGGGATGGTCCAGCTACACATAGACAGGAAGCCCAGAGAAACGCTCGATGTGAGGGTCCCCGCAAGCCCGTCGGGCTCTTTCGGCACCTGGCCCCCCCAAAGCTCCTCAACGAGGAGTAGAGACTGCCAAGCCCTTCCACTCATTCATCATCATAAAAATGTAACTTGCTATGGCAGCCTCTTGGCCATTAAGGGCTATACTTTGTGACCTCTGTCCTTGAGATCTTTGCTCTGACAAGTTCTATAGCCTTCTCAGTGCTGCTATCGTGACGCAGTGTCCCTGCTGTGGCTAAGTAACCTTTCGTTTTGATCAAGATTTGTCCACGCAGACTCCTACCTCTGCGCCTTTGCCCGTGCCGTTCCCACTACCTGGAAGGTCTCCCCGTTGCTCTCCAGCTTTGAGGTGGAGACAGAGCATCTCACACTTCCTTTTGGTGTCTCCTGACCCTTTTGCTCCCTGCTGGACTTGGCGATGTCCTCTTCTGGGCTCCCCTAGTCCTTGTTTTGGTTGTGAGCGACCGCACCAGGGAGCAAACCTTCTATGGCCCCGGCCACAGGAGCAGCAAGCACTGGGCAGTGCCCCAGACGGAAGGACCATCGCGAGAATAAAGGCACTGAGATGTCTGGCATCTTGCCCAAATGGCCACTTATCACCGTGATTGAGGCACGTCTTAACTTGCTGAAGTGGAAACAGGGTAACTCAATGCACGCCTCTGCACCATCCCTGGAAACCAATCCAGATCTATGAGAAGAAAACTGGTCATCATAGCACTGGTGATTCAACGGCACCTGCCTGGCAGGGTGGAGTGTGCCCCATACAACAGGGCTGGAAGCTGCCACGCCAGGTATTTCTCATAAGGCCGGTACAGGGATGGCACCAGACTATGGGAGCATACTTGTGATGTCACTCTGAAGAAGTTGGGCCCCGTGATGGGAATGTCATCAGGAAACTGGGTCCACACTGTTTTCTTGTGGCAACACTTCTGGTGGAGGCTGCGAGGGGATGGGGACATGCACCATGAGTGACTCAGGAACCCCCAGCCTCTGTGGCCTGGCTCCTGCCCACCCCTAGCTCTGGGGCCTTGAGAGAGGCAAGCACACGCTCTTCTCGCCTCCAGAGAGCGGCGTGGGGGTGTGGATACTGCTCAGGCCCTGGCATCTCGCACGCCTAGGACCAGCCTCTGCCATTCACAGGTGGGTGGTGGTTTTGCCTCTCTGAGCTTCAGTTTCCCCACCTTTAAATTGGAGATTATACATAACACCTACTGCAAAGAGTGCCTGTGAAGACTAGATATGCTGTGATGACATTTAATGGCACCTGCTCTGTGCCAAGCACCCTGACAGTGTTCTTATACATGTTTGCATTTCTCACAAAAGCAAGGCCCATGTCTCCCAGAGGAAGTTACTCTGGGGGCATTGGACTTGAAATCAAACTATGGAGAAAAAAGTGATCAAGTCTGGTTGAGGAACTCAGGCAGGGCTTCATGGAGGAAATGGGTTTCGGAAATCACTGAGGCGAGCCTTAGAGGAGCAAATGGGTGCTATTTTAGGCAGAGACACAGCTCAGGCAAAGGCATGGGCCAAGGCCCAGGGGTGCGACAGCACAGGGGGCACAGATTCCATCCCACCGTCAGTGGAATCCTGCCACTCTTGGGAGACATGACACAGCATAAATCTCAAGGCCCTCCACAAGCTGGCCACATCCTAAGTCATTCAAGCCACTCTTCTGCTCAAGAACCTTCCCTGACTCCCTAGTGCCCACAAAGTTCGTTTATGTTAAGGTCCTGCACTCTAACCACCCTAGCCCGAGTCTCAGGCTTTCAGGGAGGCACTATCCATCTAGATGTCCCTCCTGGGTCCTCCCCCCATAATAAAATTCTAAAAATAGATCCTGGAGTCTCACCAAACTTGAATTCTGTGGCATCCCCTTGTTTGGGTGGGGTTTTGACAGGCAGAGGACATTAGCTTGAATTTGCATATGGGGATCTTTCTGGATAAGATCTTGGTCTTTCACTTAAGCATCCTGGGGTCTTGTCTTGATGAAATCTTCTGCTGGTTTTACCAAAGACTAGCATGAAACTAACAAAAGGAAAATGCTGTATAAAAGAAATTCTTAAGCTTACTTGGCATGAGGAACTTGTTTCCTGATTGATTTCATGAAAAACAGTGATCTTGACTCCCTGCATCTGTGCCCTCTGGGACTGAAGCTGGCTAAGGCCTTGTGGGCACTTGTTCCCCTCACCCCCCAGGAGATGAGACCTATGGGTCTGTCACCCAGCACAGGGTCCTCTGAGGGTGTCAGATGATCCAGGAGTGCCTACTGTCAAGGTGAGTGCTGGTGACCCAGAGGTAGCAGCTCCTGGTGAGAAGCTCTGTGTGCAAAGCTGTTCCCATCAGGACTTAGAAATATGAGCTTGATTTTGAAATGAGGCCTCTGGGTGGTGGAGGCTGAGGGAGGGCAGAGGCTGGGGTGAGGGTGGGATGATGTACAGGAAAGAAGTCAAGTCTAGGGAACATGGGTGGAATCAACACTCAGATTTTGTCTTT
Organism: Homo sapiens; assembly: GCF_000001405.40. Lineage (NCBI taxonomy): Eukaryota > Metazoa > Chordata > Mammalia > Primates > Hominidae > Homo > Homo sapiens. Next base: position 139,609,983 of record NC_000008.11, on the reverse strand, counting down.
GTGATTTGCTGTGTGACCTAGGGCAAGACATCCCACTCCTCTGGGCCTGAGTTTTCTAACTTACAGACTAAAGGGTCTGGCCAAGCTACCAAGGCCCACTCCACCCTGCCCCAGTGTCCACCATGGACAGGACGCCAGTGTGGGGAGGACTGGCTGAGCTGACTTCAGCTGCATTGGAAAATATCCCCCCTCCACCTCCCCCAACACCCTCTGTTGCAGGTGACTCTCAGATGCTTTAGTTTTAATGACATATGGATCCTTAATTAACCAACAGCCCTGTGCAATCTTTGCTTAATTTCTTGGTAGGCTCACCTCCCGTCCTCACCACATGAGGTGCCCTGCTCTAAAGGAAGAAAGCCTTAGCCAGTTGAGCTGTGAGTCATCAGTATCTGCAGAGCAGCCCACAGGCCTGGCCCCTGGAGCTCACCCTTCCTGGTGAGAGAGGGGCCTGCCCCTGCCCAGCATTTACCTTTGGGCTTGGCCTGAAGCAGCTGTTCCACCCTGCCATGTCTTCCTCTGGATTCCTCACTCCAGGGTTCTCTTTGCTTCCTGGGAGAATATGTCCCCCTACCCCCTTCTGAGGGCCACTTGGCCCAGCAAAGGGCCTTGCCTCAGGTCAGCTTAGCTCAGCTGGGGCCCAAACCTCTTAGACTTGCATATAGTGTAGCACCGTGCAAGTGAAGATGTTTCTTCCCGCTGGCACACTCACTCTTCACGCTAGGTAGGTGGGGGGGGGGTGGGGGGGCAGAGCACCCCCATTTGGCATATGGGGTAACAGGGCTCAGAAAAGCGGCAGAGCTGGAACTCCAAGTCAGGTGTCCTGACTGCATATTTCCAGGTACCTATCCTGAAGCTCCCGGAGCGGGGCGGGGTGGGGTGGGATGGGTCCCTCAGATTGCCATGAGGAAGGGACATAGATAGGGGCATGCCTCAGGAGGAAGAGGGAGGGGGTGTCATCTCCAGGTCAATCAAATACATACGCGGGGGTGGGGGCAGTGGGCATTTCACATCAGCAGGCATTAGAGAGGAATAAGTGCCAGGTCAGCCAGAAAAAGATGTGCCGAGTCTGCCAGTTCCTTCACCCAGTTCAAAAGCCCAGCTCTGGGCTCAGCACCACAGACAAAACCATAAGCCAAGAGCCACGTTCAGATGAAGCCTTTGATTGTTACTAATCACACAGAGCTTTGTCCATCTTTTCTCTACAACAGTGGCCCCCAGAAGGCAGATCTGAGACCAGCAGTAATGGGGTCTCTGGCCTGAAGGGTGGGCTGGTGGACCTGAGCTGGGTACGGCGTGCAGTACGTTGTGTAGTAGAATGTGGCTGGAGGGCGCAGGTACACCCCCACCCCGCCCCGCCCCCCCGCAAAGCCTGCAGTAGCCCCTGCACAGGACAGGGCTCTGTGGTGGGGGTGCAAGAGCCTCTGCTGAACCCTCCCACACTGTGGTGTGACCCAGGCTGGCCGCCTGTCCCAGGAAGTAGATCTGAGAAAGAGCTAGAGAAGCACAGTGATGCTCAAACACATCTGGCAAATGCCCCACTAGAGCCTTCGTTTCCCCGTCTGCGAAGGAAGGATCTGGAGAACAGGACTGTTCTGGAAGGATTGGGGGGTGGAAACCCCTGTTCTGCAGATGCTGCTGTGATAAACCACCGAAAACACTGGGTGGGAATCTGCCCCCAGGGTGGGCCTGGGTTTTGTCTGAAGCTTTGTGTGAGACTCACAGGTTGGCAGGGAATCTGGAGTCGGTGGGGAGGCAGGACTTGCCCTTGTCACCAGCACCTCCCTCAGTGTGGTGACAGTTGGTCCTGGCACCTGAAGGGTCCAGTTGGGAAGACAGAAGGGTGAGTCAGTTCCTTGGAGACCTCTACGCATCCAGAGAGCAGTGCTTGATTTCGAGGAGGGAGGTCTTGTAAGCTTCAGCCATGAGTCTTTGTCTCAAAGTCTGAGCTCTCAGCCTTGCCTCTTCTAGCCAGCAGGCACTGGGTGGTGTAGACATCAGGGGCCTTCCTAAGCACCCAACCCTGGTTCCTTTCCCTCCTCATTTGTAATAGGACCACTTGGTCTTGGCAAGTCACTTATCCTTTCCTACAAAAGATGAAAAGGCCAGGTGAGCTAAGAGGCAGGTGTCTTCCAGGTAGATACTGGTGAGGATGAAGTGACAGTGTGGTCACATCCTGGACTGACATTTCAGTGGGGGAATTTGGAGAGACAGGGCCCAGTCTTTCCAGCAGTGGGCTGGGTTCCTACACAGGGGCCAGATCCTGTCTTCCAAGGACATCACCTGTTTCAGGTAGATTAGTTCTGTAGACTCCCTCTCCTCTCACTGGAGACTCGGCCCCTACAGAGCCCTTTTAATCCTTCTGATGGATTTTCCCATCAGATGGGGTCTCCTTGATGACCCCAGCACTCAGTGCCCAGTGAACCAGATGCCTGGACAGTGGTGTGGGTGGGAGCATGCTCCAGGGAACCAAATTCCACTTCTCTCAGATGACACAGCTATGAGGCATGAGGGGCTGCAACAGTGGGCCCGGCAGCTCCCGGGGGCCCCTTTGTGCAACTCGGGCTGCCGATTCAGCCGTTTCTCCAGCCACTATTGACTGAGCACGTTGAGCATGTGCTGCCTGCTGTCCTTACTGGGGGCCATGAAGGTGAGCTAGACGATCAAGTCCTTGGCTTCATGGGACTAAGATGCCCATGGACCACAGCCTCCCTGATGCACAGAGTCTAGAAGCAGTGCCAAGGAGCAGGGAGCAGGAATGGGAACCAGAACAAGTCTGGGCAACTGTTTTACTTTCTCACGTGGAATTTTAGAAGTTGGGTGGAAAAATAATATGAAAGGAAAAACACAATTAGTGGGAACCCAGTGAAGCAGAACCCACAATTAACAAGATTTCTCTATAATTTGATAGCTCCTCAGAGGAGCACACTACTGAAAAAGGCTAATTATATATTTGTTTGTTCAGCCCACAAATAGCATTTTGACAGCCGTTTTGTGTGTGTGTGTTGCGGGGGGATGTGGGGGAGAAGGACCTTATGAGATCATCTCAGTCCACCCTCTGCTTCATCAGAAATCTCCACTAAATAGATATTGCACTGGGTTAGGCAAAACTGTTGATTTTGTTGATTAAAATTTAAATAAGAAAACAGATTAACCCCCACTTGAGAGATTTGAAGATATCAAGTATATCCAAAAACATTGATGAGGCGGCTTACAGTTAAACAGAGACACGGGACAGAGATATCAAAGATGAGTAGAATTTAAGCCACTGAATTAAGGAGAAAAACTTCCAGTCCATTCCCAGCAGGCCAAGAAATTGCTGATAATCCCTCTTAGATGTACAGTATTTTTTACTTCAGCCAACTGTGTATCCTTGTACCTTAAAACATCAAAAGGAAAACTTGTTGCTTTTGACTCCAGGCATAGAAGAAATTAAGCTTGAATTAGTTCCAAACTCACACCCATCAAAATGATTGGCATATACTCATGGGGCACCTCCTGGGGAGGGTGGGGTGTGGGGATATGGACCCTCGTGCATCCATCTGGGGTATGTGTGTGCATGTGCATTGACCGGATATCTGTGGGTCTTTGGATTTTTGTGTTCCTCCTCTCCAGCCCCCAGCATAGCTGGGCATTTTTGTGACTGTGCAGTAAGGGGACCTGGGTTTGGTTCTTATGAAGATGCTACCGGAGGCCTGCCACAGCACTCCCTGTGGGAGGGTGATGGAAATCAGGAAAGTTGTAGCAGAAATGGGCTTAGTTACCTTGGGACTGTTTGTTCACATTCTAGGAGGATGAAATGGTTGGTCCCGGACCCTTACCAGGACCCACCTTCCTCCCTTGGTGAGCGGGATTTGAACAGGCCCATTGTGGTCAAGGTGTCAGGCCTTTGGTAGGAAGCTGTATCAGACTTGGCAAAAATCAGCAGTTCAAACTCATCCATAGAGAACCAAATTCAAAAGGAGCCTACTGCTTCTGTTTGTTTTCTTTTGTTCATCTTCTCTGGCCTTCTCTGTGGAGATGGCACCTTCACAAATGGCCTTAGAATGCCGTTCTGAAGTTCAACAGAATGAGACAACCATCAAATGAATATCAGAGGTATTTATTATTGTCACAGCTTACCTAATATTTTAAAGAAAAAACTAGTAACTAATGTTTACATGTCCAAGTAGACATCCAGCCCATGTAGAATATGTAACTTACACAAGGGTTTGCATCTTTCTTTTGTAACGAGTGCGGTACGCAGCCCTGTATATATTTTACAATGTCTTTACAGAAAAAAAATCATTTAATGTGGTGTTGTACAATAATGCATTTTTCTAATTTTTTTCCATTAAAATCTCTATGGCACGTTTACAAATGTATCTTGGTCTTTCTTCACTGAGAAAGGTTGGACAAGACCTGCTTTGATGCCTCGTCTTCCTGCCTGTAAACCACATTCTGAAAGCAGAGTGCAAGGTGGACAGTCCTGGCTGTATACCCTGTTTGCTCTTGGTCTTCCTCATTGTAGACAGGCCTACTCGGAGGCCTTTCCCCTAACAACCTCGGTCAAGTAAGGAATTTGCCTTAAAATACAAAACTATCCTTTTTGGACTTTATGTGCTGACTCAGTTATTTTGTGCAGCTTGAATTGGATCCAGGAACCAGAAAGTAGATGAGCACCATTTCCAGGAGGCAATGAAACCAAAGCAAACCAAACCAAACCAAGAGTTTGACCTCAACTGAACCGAGACCGGATTTGCTGATTTTTGTTTTTCTTTCATGGCCAAGGAATCTGAGTTAAAAATGAGGCAAACCATGCTGCCCTTTTCCACCAGTGTGTGTATGGACACAAGAAGGGAAAACGAGGCAGTTAGCAGGTGCTCAGTGTTCTTTATATCGAAGGCAAATCTGCTCCTTCCAGCTCCATAGGAGCTGCCCAAGTATTGGGGCTCCCGAGCTCCACCTGGAAGGCTCATGAAGACAGGTTTCTGGGTCGTGCCCTTAGTCTGGATCCAGGATGGGGCTGAGAAGGTGCATTTCCAAAGGGCACTCAGGTGATGCTGCAGCAGCTGTCCCAGAGATTAACGGGAGATGCTGGCCAAAAGCAGACCATGGCCACAGGTCATGTTCCTGAACCTGGCCACACAAAGCCAGGCTGTTTTCTGTCTTTCTCGGAGGCCATGCCTCCTCTTTCCCTGCTTACCTGCTCAGCTCTGTTTGGCATCCCCCAGGGCCTACCCAGGGCTCATCCAGGAAACAGATGGGCGTGAGCCCTGGTAAGAATTATTAATTCTTAGTGATTGAGGCTTAATTTACATACAGAAAAACTTACTCCGGGGTGTTCCGTGTTCCTTTCTCTGCATTGTGACTTGGGGTCTTAAATCCTCTTAAAATGTAAATAAGGACGGATTGCTTTCTCTCCTCAACCCTTCTGTGGATGCCTGGCTAGAAGCCAGGTCTTTCCTACCGGTCAGCTTTGCTCCTATCTGCGTGCCCGGCTTGTGCTCTCCATGGCGTGCAGATGCGCCCGCGTGGCACCCCCACCTGCTGTTCCCTCAACCAGCAGCTCTTTTCACCCCACCTCCTCCCGTCCCACAGTGTCTCTGCTCAGATGTGACCTTCTTGGAGGGTGCCTCTCCAGCCTGCTTTCTCCTCTAGCACTGATCACCATCTGCCACTACTAAACACTTGACACGTCTATTGTGTCTCCCCCAGGGAAGCATGAGCCCCACAGGGCAGAGGACAGGGACTTTCACTTGCTTTATTCATTCACAGCTCTACCCTAGAGCCATATCTGCAGACAATAGTCCTTCAGCCTTCCCTGAATACCTAAATGATGGGAAGAAATCAGAGTCTGCGCCCTGGAGAGCCAGGGAGGCTCTTGCATCCTTCTCTTCCTCTGCTCCTCCTACCCCAAACATTAGTCTCACGGCCTGCACTGGCCCTGAAGGAGAACTTCCTGGCTCAGATGGATCCAAGGTCCCCAGCACCCTGACACATGAGCTCAGGGAGGCTGTGGGACCGTCCAACTCATGAGGCAGGACCTGTTGCTAAACTGCATCCTGGGGTCCAGTGGCTCCAAGAATGTGGACTGGGGATCCACAGCAGGGCTGGCTCTTGGTTTATGACCTAAGGCAATTTCTATTTCTCTTCTCTTTGGAAGACAGTTTCTATCCTCAGTGAACCAGGTTAGTGCTTCCTAAGAACTCTGTGCTTTCCAGAATCTTCAAGGGATAATATGGCTGAGTTCCTTTCCTGGCTTTTCTATTATTTTAGCCAAGGCCCAAGCTCAGAGGGACACCCTGAGCAGGTTGGACAAGACCTGCTCTGATGCCTCGTCTTCCTGCCTGTAAACCACATTCTGAAAGCAGAGAGCAAGGTGGACAGTCCTGGCCGTATACCCTGTTTGCTCTTGGTCTTCCTCATTGTAGACAGGCCTACTCAGAGGCCTTTCCCCTAACAACCAAGTAAGGAATTTGCCTTAAAATACGAAACCATCTTTCTTGGACTTTATGTACTGACTCAGTTATTTTGTAAGTAACTCAGTAAGAGGGCAGTCGTGGATGAGGCAGTTTTGAGTCCCTGGCTAATCAGTGCACGATCCACAACTTCCTTTTGCTCCCTAATGAGAACTCTGTGTGATCAGGACACCTGAGATTCTAACCCCACAACAGCGCCTTCCCCTCTCTCCGCCACACCCCTGCTGCTGGTCATTCAATCCAAACACACGGGTGCTTGTGCCGCTGCCCAAATGAGGAATTGGGGGGCAGGTGGGAGACTTTGGAGCATATTCCAGGGAGTCTTCATCACTGTCATCATTGTTATCACCGTGTACCTGTTAATGGAAATAATGGTCACTTAAAATACTTTTCTGCATATCTTGGTTTGTTCCTCCATCATGTGGTTAGATTTTCACTAAGTTCTGTGCAGTTTACATTTGGGATGATCTGATGAGAACCGTAGGAGCACATCACAGCAGGAATACACAGCATACTTGTTGTGAGTTCCCTTGAAGAGGACACTTGAGGAAAAAGCAGTTATGCTCTAGGGCAACTGAAACCACGGTGACAAAGAGGGCATGACTGGCAGCGATACGCCACCATGTAAAGAATGTGAGGTTTCAAAGGTTTTACTCTCCCTTTCTGCAAGTGGAAAATCCTATCAATTAAGAGCCACAGCAGATGTTCCAGCTTGCAGGGGCCAATTTTCAATTGAGCTCCTTCTCACGTGAGCACCTCTGTGTTATGCTGCACGATGAGCAGTATCAGAACTTCTTTGTTTTATAATGATTCTCACAAGCAACCCAGAGGGGTGAGCCCTACCATTTAGTGTCCCTGTGTCCTTGGTCACTTGGCTCATCTGCAAATGGTCAAGTAGACATTATTAAATAAGACATAGGAGATCACCTGTGCTAAGCAGTTCCTATCATCGTGTGGTAGGCATTGCGTGCTAAGTTCTTTTCTGGTAATTCTCAGAGCATCTCCTAAAATGCTTTCCATAGCTTGCTGGTCCTATAAGGTCTCCCACCACCCTCCAAAAAAATGTAACAGGCATTGCTGCGTTCTAAGTCCCTTTTGTGCAGATTTACAACTCACACCACAAGACATCTAACAGTATTTACTGTCTTAAAGAAAAATTTGAACTTTGCCAACCTAGGGGGTTCCTGAGCAAATCTGATCAATCCGTTTTCCCCGGAACACTGGTGGCATTCATCACCAACCCATCCTGCATGCCTGTGATCGATCGTCAAGGCTGTGCAGCAGCCCCTCCCATCTTTGCACCCTCCAGGCCTATCAGGGTTGCACTTCCTGGTCCCCTGGGTGGGTGCGGTCATGTGATTAGTTCTGGCCAATGAATCACAGGTGAAGCTGCACAGATCACTTCCCGGCTGCAACCTGAACTGTGTGAGACCCTCCAGGACTTTCTTTCCTTCTGTTGCACTGACAGGCAAGTTTCAAGACAGTGGCTAAGCCCAGGTCCTGAAGAGAGGAGGTAAGGTGGGGACTCCCCAGCTGGCCCATGGTGGACACAAACGGTGAGAAAAAACCTTCAAGCCACTATGACGTAGGGGTTTGTCAGCCTATCCTGACTGCTCCAGGTTTGTTCCTGGGGACACCGTTCCTCAGGCGGTTAGTGCCTGACACATGCGGGTTCACAATAAATATCTGAGTTAATGACTGGCTGACATCATCTTCCCAAACAGTAAGAGGGGTCTCTATAGAGAACCTAACATGCAATAAAATCTTACATCAGGAGCAGGGGGTCTTAATTATCTGGGTTAAATATTGCCTACTCCAGTTTCACCCTCATTCAGGGACTTTTAAGCAATATTTCATCCATAGAGCTTTTCCATTTCAAATGTGATTTTCACTTTCAATTCTTTGTGTTTCCTCCTTAAAACAGGACCGTGCAGGCGGCCCCAACAGAGGACGGGGACAGCTCTCTCCTTCTGTAAGTGAGGCAGCCTCATCCTTCCCTGGATCCTCAGCATCTCTTAACCAGCAGTGGCAGAGGTTGAATTAGAATGGCACCAGCTTCGGATAAAAATCCAGATCTCGCTTTTCAAAATGTGTCTAGAGCTGGTGGCTGTAAGGAACCAGTCAAGCCTCAGCTGTGACTCTAATCCTGCCAAGTCCACCTGAGAGCCGACTCATTCATCCAAAGAGAGAACGGTTTGGATGGAGCTCAAGGTGCCTGGCTCGCTGGCATAGCCCAGACAACCTCTTAAAGGCCGGGCCACAGAGCTAGAAGGTCTGTCACTACTCAGTTGGGGAAATCGTCTGAGAAGTTCAAGTCCACTGCCTCGCAACTCAAATGAGTCAGCCTCACCAACCAAGAATCGCGTTCATAAACAGACTCAGAGCCTGCGTGCCGTGGGGTTTCCCCGTCTGCAACTCTCTCACCTGGCCCTCCTGCAGGGCCCGGCGGGGACTGGGGAGGGTCAGTGCTCCCTGGGGCGGGGACTGGGTCTGTTTCCAGGCTCAGTGCCTCTGAGTCATACAGATGCCAGGTGGTCCTGCTGCTTACCCTCGCTGAACCTCAGGCTTCTCGTGTAAACAGGGCGCTTTTGAGGAATTATTATTAACATCTCCCTGTGAGTCAAAGCACCTACTGAGATAATGTATGTGATGCTTGTAATAAATGCAGCTACATGCCAGGCACTCTGAGATGCTGCCTTTGTGGTTATTATTTTTAGCTCAGCCGTATGCGTGCCGGAATGTGTTCCTGTTGGCTGTGCGTCTACCATGGAAAGTGGCTTCTAGTGTGTTTATTTGCCTGGCACCTGCCCCTTTTTGCTGCTCCTTGCAATAGCCCAGACTTGAGCCAGGGTACAGACCCAGAAGCCATTGAATGAAAGGGAGACCCAGTGCCCTTGAGGAAGCACCCTGGTACACTGCCACACATTTATCCTGTGAATTTTTCTCATCGCCTTTCTCGAAGGCAGCTATGGCCATTTACTAGGGACACAGTGCACTGGGAGAAAGGAGAAAGATCAGACTTTTTGGGGATCACCAGACCCTGGCTCTGAACTGACACCGATTCCAGGAGGCCTGGATGTTGCTGTGGTTTAGCAGTCAGAGGAGGTGATTACGGAGTGAGGTGATCCCTGGAGTTGTCGCTCAGGTCCATCTCAAAGTGGGCACCGTGGGTCTCCCAACCCATCCTGTGGCTGCTGACCAAGTTCTGGAATGCATCATTGGAATAGACACTCAGCAATGGGCAGAACCTGTACACTGGTCGTAGACCTCGCCCCCAGCCAGGGCTGAGGGTGGACCTTCACGCAGGCTGAGCTAACTATGGCACTGTGTCCTCTGGGCCAGAGGTGGCTCTGGGGACAGACTCCAGTCACAAATTGACCACTTGGAGCTCTCCCTATTCTTTCCTAACAAGAACTGGATGGGAAGAGCTGTCTGCCCCTGAGGCAGGCTGGCTGGAGGGGATGAAGCCAGTATTCAGGCATCTTGCAAGGTCTAGGAGTGCTTAGTCCTGGGTGAAATCACCCCCATGGCCAGATCCACTCCTGTCCCTTCTACTGGCTAATACAAGCTCATCAGTTTTTAATGATCCAAGCCAGGTGAGCTTGGATGCAATGACAGACTCTAGCAGCCTGACTCATTGTAGGGGGAATCTTCTATTCTCCCCTCCAAATCCCTCTCCACCTTTGTCTACTCTGCCCTGTGCCCATGGAAACAAACCTGTGTGGCTTCCATGTAGGCTTGGTCAATGCAGAGCTCTGGCAGGAAGTCAGGAGGTTGGAGGAAAGAGGGAGGATTTATTCCCTTTCCCCTGTGGCAACTCTGTGGTCTGGATGTTTTCTAAAGGAAGGGCCTCAGCCTCTGCCAGGAGGCCCTCTCCACACTGTCTCTGGCTTCCAGGTTCTGAAATGCTCTTTCTTCCTGGCCTAAGGAAGTGAATCCTGGGTACTGCACTATCCTTTATGGTTTCCTTATACTCTGCTGAGCTTTGGAAAATAGTCCCTTCATTACAGCATCTGCAAATTACCCAGCAGGACTTTGCCATCTCTGTCCTGGTGGACCCTGCCTGCTTGACACACTGCACCCAGACAGCCCAGACTAAGTGGACAAAATGTCATTATGATCATCACTAGAGCATCTCATCAGGAGAGCGAGGTACAAGTCTTGGCCCAGGCAGAGATCTTGGGAAAGATAATGTAAGTGATCTAGGAAAGGAAAGTATTTGCTTAACTTAGGAGTAAGCATTGTTCTATCGCCACACACTGTGCTGAGCACCTTCTGATGCCAGGTTTCCTACTGGGACAATCCCCCCACCCCAAGGAACTGGCCTCAGCAAGTGAGGAAGGCCCTACTATGAGGGAAGAAATCTAGAGGTCACTCCATACCCCCAATTTTTTTATGGTCCGTTCAACATCAACTCATCCTCTCCTGGAAGCAGTTCTAGATCCAAGTTTTTTTTTTTATTCCCCAAATTTAACTTTTATTGAAGCATGACATGCACTCTGGAAACATGCACCTCTATTGAGGTTTGTCCAGTGGGCACAGGGTCCAGGGAGCAGTGGCACCTTTGTGGAAGACAGTCATTCATTAATGCATTGGCACAGCTTCAGGTCACAGAAGCACAGGTTGGGGAGGGTTGGTCCTATTTCCACCTGTTTGCATCACCTTAGTTGAGCTCACCTGTGCACTGTACAATCAGTACAACGTGTGGGCAGCCTTTGTTTTGAACACCAGATAAATTAGAAGTTATTATACCAAAGGCCATGCAAGGAAGGCCAAATCAGACACCTTGGTACTAACCAAAAGTTGTACCCCAAATAGGCTTGAGTATTACCTTGATAGAAGGCAGATGCACCCTATGGGTATGGTTAGTACATGCCTAGTCCCTTGTACACAAAACCATATTTATTATTGAGTATCTAAGGTGGGGTCAATTTTGAGACTTCTTAAAGATCCACCTCATTCAGGAAAGTTATTGAGAGTCTATTATACGCCAGACACTGTACTCTAGGGACTTGGGATGTGAATATTAGATACACAAGTGCCTTTGAGGAGCTTATAGTCCATCATGGGGTGACAAAAAAAGTAACAGATAATTATACCATATGTTTGAAGCAGTGTCATGGAACAGAGAAAAACAGTAAGGGATTTGGAGCCCAGCAGGAAACAGGTGGCTGTACACAGTTGGCCGTCAGGACCATTCTCCACTGGAAAGGTGAGCTTGAGCAGATGGGGGCAGGAAGAACATTCCAGCTGCTGATGGGCAAGAGCCAAGGCTCCAGGCAGAAGCGTATCTGAGCTCGGGGCCCAGGAGGCCCCTGTGGCTGAATCCCTGCTGTGTTCTTCAGATGTGAAGATGGCCTCTACTCCCTAGGCCTCCCAGCAACAGACCCTGTGATGCTCTCACCCCTCTGGCTATCCTCATCCTCCTGGACTTTGCCTTAGGTCAGCTCTGAGCCTGGCTCAGCCAGAGGTCTCTGGCAGAATCAGGAGGCAGGTTGGACATCTGTAGAATGGCACATGGAAGTGGTGAGCACAAAGAGGGAACAAACTCCTGCCTGCTGGTCCTCCCCGCTTTTTCAGGGCCCCAGGGTCTGTGAGGCCAGGAGTTAGAATGCATGCCCCATACAGCGATCTCATTTGATTTCTCTCTTGCAGGGTTATGGCTAACAATGGTAAGACAACAAGGTCTGGGGCTTTGGCACAGACTTGGCCTGCCTACTCTGTGGGGTCAATAAAGCGTGGCGAGGATGGCAATGTGCAGTCCATGTGTCCCCTCCACTCCTCTTAGCCACTCCCACATCCACAGAAGATTCACCTGAACTGCCGTCACATGCTGTAGTGCCTGGTGCAGATGCCAACTTACACTGACTAATAGGGACAAGCTGGAGAAGGGCCGGAGCCTAGGGTGGTGATTGCTGTTGACAAGTGTGACCTTGGAGTGGAATGAGAGCCCCCACCCCCCAGCTGTCCCATGATCTAACTTCCTAGTGTTACAGCATGGTTGTCTCCAATGTGGTTCTGCTGATATGACCAGACACAGCAGCTCTTAGCTCTCACCATTCCCCTTGGAAGCATCGCCCACATTTCCCTTCAAGGGGTAACAGCTCTGATTATTTCTTGGTGAACCCCACTATCCTGACTCTTGGCCCAAACTGAAATGGGGGTGCTGAATCCACTCTTGGCTTTGGCCCTAGGATCAGAACTTAGGATTCTCTGCAATTCTTCTCTGGCTCCTCCAGCCAGAGTCCTCAGCCTATAGGGCCTGGGTTCGGGGTAAAGAGAAAAGGAAGGGAGGGTCTTTGTTCACTGCTGCTCAGAGAAGAGGAAGCTGGCTTGCATATTCTTTGAGGGCAGTGTAGTCCCCAAAGAACCATCAAGAAAAGCAGGCCTGTTTGCTGGGCCTCTGGCTTTGCCTGTTGCCATGGCAACGCCCCAGTGGGGCACCAGGAATAGATGGTTTTTGAAGGGGGTGGGGGCACGTGGCATCTTGTTTAAAAAAAAAAAAAAAAAAAGTTGGCATGTTGGGGGTAAGGATTTTTCCTGAAGGCATCCTCTGAGCAGGCAGGTGCAGGGGCCTGGGTTATGGTCCAGGGGTTTGGTGCCCTGGAGGGCTGCTCCCTTCTTCCTGTCCTGCCAGACAATGGCTCTGCCTTTTATTCTAGAATGCAGCTCACAGTGCTGGCCATGAAAGGGGAATGAGGTATGAAGTTCAGGAGCATTTGGGGTAATGGCAGGGAAGTAATTAATATTCACTCACCCATGAGCCCTGGAGATCAGGCCACCCCCTGGCCACACAGCCAGTCTTCTACAGTTAATGGGAGAGAGCAGGGCTTCGGGTCAGGGGGCCTGAATCCTAATTCTAGTTCTCCATCTCTTGCAGAACAAGCCCTGGGCAAATTTCTTATACCCTCTCAAGGGTTCAGAGGTTATATCAGCTAGGTATCCCACCAGAGAAGCAGAGCCATTAGGAAATATATATTAAGAGATTTATTGGAAGGAGTTGGCTTACATGATTGTGAGGTCTAGGCAAGTATGAAATCTGCAGGGCTGGCCTCCAGGATGAGCAGGCTGGGACTCTCAGGCATGGGCCAAAAGTGGTATCCCCCAGGTGGAATGTCTTCTCCATCAGGAAAGCCTCAACTCTGCTCTTATGGCCTTTCAACTGACTGAACCAGGCCCACCTAGTTTACTTAGGACAGTCTTCTTTACTTGAAGTCAACTGATTATGACCTTTAATCATACCTATGAAGTACCTACCCAGAAACATCTAGATTAGCATTTGATTGAATAACAGGGACTGTAGTCTAGCCAAGTTTATCACATAAAAAAGCTATGCAAGTGCTTCCTCTGTAAAATGGAGCTTGTCATTTTTTGGGAGGCTACTAAGTGACCTACATGAGGTAATTCATTTAAACCTAATACTAGCAATAGTAGGTTCCAGGCATGTTCTAAATATCTCTTTAATCCTCACAATGAACCTATCTGGCAGGTGCCATTTTGATCCTTGTCTTAGTCTATTTTCTGTTGCTATAACAGAATACTACCGATTGGGTAATTTATACAGGATTGAAGTTTATTTAACTCATGGTTCTGGAGTCTGGGAAGTCCAAGAGCATGGTGTTACCTGGTGAGGGTCATCCTATGGCTAAACGGTGGAAAGAGGAAGCAAGAGTGTGTGAGGGCACCAGGGGCCATTTTAAAACCCACTCCCAAGACTCACTTTTGAGTTAATCTATTTCCTGGGGGCTCCACCCTCATGGCCCAATCTCTTATTAGGCCCCACCTTCCAATACCATTGCATTGGGGATTAAGTTTAACGCATGAATTTTGGGGGGCAGATTTAAATAACAATCCTTATTTACCAAAGGGGAGGTTGAGTCAAATTACTTAAGTCTGAAGTCTCACAAGAACCAGCAGGGTCCAGAAACCAAATAAGATATTTCACATTAGGTGCTATGCCAGGCACTTTACATGTGTTGTGAGAGGATCAAATTCAATCTGATAAGGGTAGAAAAAAATTCCTACTCTCATTCTCCAAACAGGTGATAGACTACTCTCCCCACCACACATGCTAATATGCTGTACTCTTTTATTCCTCAGTGCCCCCATACGGTAGGTGACATTATCCTTGTGTGATAGCTTAGGACACAGAGGAGACTTGGCTATAGGCCAGGCAAGGAGTCAAGCCAAGGTCTGGGGACCCCCAGGTCCCTGCATTCTTGGATATTTTGCATCTTTGGAGAAAGTCATTGGTTGGCCCTGGCACTCTTGAACTCAGGCTCCAAGGCTCAGCTCTGGGGTTACCTTACTGGTGTATGTACTGGCTTTTCTCTAGATTTGTTCTCTGCCCACCGATTCCTGCTCTATGCCTGGGAGGCTGATTCTAGGATGGCATCATCCAGGCCCCCCTTGGCTTCCCTTTGGAGTTGGTCAGTGGGCGACACTGGCAAAAGATGGGAGCGTAGACAGAAAGATATCAGGATACCTATCAAACCTCAATCCCTTGCTGCCTTGTCATGGAGTGGTCCATCTCTTTCTGGGGTCTAGCAAGACCTCCACCCCCAGACCCAGACCCCTGCAGCTTCCAATGTGGAAAGAGGCTTCCCAAGGTTCCTAGACCCCGGGTGCCCCACTCTCCCTTCCTGGTTCCCTTAACTCTGCCTTCATGTCTATTAATAGTAGCTTCAGGTACTCTCTCCAGGGAAATCTTTGGACATCCATCTGCTTCCTGTTAGAGGCTTGATCAACTGCTAGGCCTGGAGGACTGTCAGTTGGGGGACTGCCTAGAGTGGTGGGGGGTAGCTTACAGGAATTAAGGCAGGGGTGAGCAGGGCCCTGCCAGCTGTTGCAAAACAAAAACAAAAACAAAAACAAAAAAACATGCAAAAACCTATCATACCTCATGAGCCTTTGAAAGGCTCAGCCAGGCCTGGCACCATTGCATGTGTATGGGAGAAAGGCTGATGAAGTCAAAATTGCTAGGGATTGTCCTGGTGTTAACATTGAAGATCCCACATTCTCTGTCCCCTGAGTCCCAGGAAGATCAGGACAGGTGGCCACCCTAGAGTCAATCACTGCTGTTTTCATGGAAGATGCTCCATCCTTGGGAGATGCCTATAGTCCTCCCAGGAGCTCTGGTCCAGGCCTCACAAAGGAGGCAGGAGGGACTGACCCTGCAGAGACCAAAGCCCAGAGGGAAAGGGACACCAGGCAGTCCTATTCTCTGTTCCCGCCTCACCTGGAAGGCAGTCTAGAAATGCTATTCCCACCCCCCTCCAACAGATTATCTGGGAAGGCCTGGCTGGGTGTAATTGCTTGGCAGATTGTATCCCCAGGGCCCAGCACAATTAGTGAGTGTTTAATAATCATTCAAACACAATGAGATAAGTGCTCCTCCTCCCTGCCTCTCACTGTACAGTCTGCATTCCCTTAGGCAGGTTTAATTGCTGTAATGACAATGTCAACTCACAGGCCACCTCCTCTTGAAGTCCTGATAGGGAAGAATGAGCAAAAGTTTGTGTTTAATCAATTATGTCAGGCAGGGAATTCAGGTTACAGGAAACTGCCTTTGCATATGTTGTTCCCTCTGCCTGGGCATCCCTCACCTCACTGATGACAGCCCTCTGTGCCTCCCCTCACTGGCTCAACAGCCCATTCCATGCTCACTCAGCAACAGGCATCCTCCAGTAGCTGGGCAGAGGACACTGAACAAGACCAGCAATGCAGAGCAGCAGCTCCAGGGCCCCACCTCTGCTGATCTGTCACCTGCTCTCCCCATTGCACCTAGGTGAACCAGACCACTTGTAACAATATCCTACGGATAAACCCTTCCCCCTTAAGGCCCACACCCTGGCGCTTCATAGGGGGATTGGAGGTGCCAGTCAAACTCTGGGAGTAAGGACTCAAATCTCTGCTGTGAATCAAATCGGGACCCTCTGCTTGGGGGATGACAACACTAGCTTCCACGTTCTCTGATCCATGATAGCTCCCACCACTACCAGGATACTGGTATCCTAAGCCAACAGGAAGCCAGGAGTGGGCCGAGGAAGGCTATTGTCTGAATCCTTTGCCACGGACTACCAGATGCTGTGAGGCCTGACCCAGCCACCTCCTCACCTTCCAACACGATCCTCCCTGGCTCTCTGCCCCTCCCTCGGCCACAATCATCTCTTGGCCTCTTCAGGGCACCAAGTGTCCTCCTTGCTCAGGGTCTGGCCCTTGTTCCTTGGACTGCTTGGAATGCCCTCTCCTGGGGCCTGGTCAACACTTACTCATCCTTTGGACTCGGAGAGGGATTTCTTGAGCATCCCCCACGCTGCCCCTTCCATGTAAATCCTATGTTCCTCTAGTTTCTCACAATGCCTTAAGCCTTTCCTTCAGAGAGCCCAAAAGCTAAGTGGGAGTTGGTCAGGTGGAGGTAAGGGGTTTTATGAGGAGGAGAAAGATGTTCCTGGCTGAAGATAGATGAGCAGAAGCAATACATGTCACTTCTGGGGGAAGCCATAGGTCTGGTGTATGAAGTGCCCCATCTTAACACTGTCCGTGTTAACCCCAGGACGATCCCTAGCAACTTTGATTTCATCCTACTTTCTCAAAATTTGTAAACATTTGTAAGACATTAATCATCGGTCGACTATATACGCCTATGCCCCACTCGGAACAGAATGAGCCATTGTCATTGGTACAACTTCAGTGCCCAGCACTAGGGTACCTACCACACAGCAAGCAACAAGTATGACCCCCTTTTGGAAGAGAAAAATAGACATTTGGGGAATCATCCTCTGTGGAAAACAGGTTTCGCTTTATTCAACATATGTTCCAGAACTTCTTATCTAGCAAATGTCTGTGGCACTTACTGTGGCCAGGCATGGTTCAAGTGCTTTGCATACATCATCTCATAGAAACTATGAGATAGCGATGATTATTATCCACAACAAAGGAGGAAACTGGGACACAAACCTTCAATAATCTTAGATAACCGAGAAGGCTATGGAGATAGCCCAAGTGGGAGAAGACAGTAGGTAGTTTCTTCAGATCTTCAATCCTGTGACCATAAAAGGGGTAAGGAGGGGTAGAAGGGTCGCTGTCCCACTCTAGGCAGAACAAAACATCCAAACTTTATGCATCCGACTTCAGGAGTTCAGATGTCGTCACAGACACCAACATATTAACGTTCTCTTGCAATTATTCATAGCTAAACTCATCATGTTCTTGCTTTTGGTAGAAATATAATCATAAGCCTTAAATTTCTTTGATTTCACCTTAGTTAAAATTTGATAGAAACCATAGACTATGAGACTTATCAAAGCATTAATGAGAATATCTCTTTAAAATAACTTTACCATGAATCTCTTTCTAAGTGCTTTGAGAGTACGAAGCACTGGGTTAGCCAGGCATGCGCTTTAGTTTGGAAAGGAAGTCAGAAAATATTTGCACTAACAGTGGTCATAACATTTTAAGTTAAAGCTACACTTTCCCTGCATTTTATCATATGTTTTGAGACAGGGTCTCACTCCCATTGCCCAGGCTGGAGTGTGGTGGTATTAGCTCACTGCAGCCTCAACTTTCCAAGCTCATGCGATCCCTCCTACCTCACCTTCCTGAGTAGCTGGGACTACCGGTGCATGCCACCATGCCTGGCTAATTTTGTGTGTTTTTTAATAGAGCTGGGTTTTTGCCATGTTGCCCGGGCTGGTCTCAAACTTGGCTCAAGTGATCTATCCACCTCGGCTTATCAGAACATTTTAAAGAAAAATAATTCACGGCTTAGTATTCTACACCCAGCAAGATTATCATGTGTGATGTCTGAATAAAAACACAGACAAAACTCAGTCCTGGATCTTACCAACAGTGGCAATAGGTCTCTTGGTAACAGCAGTCTTTAAAATGTTTGCTCCCAATTCACTCTTCTCTAATTCAGACTAATTGCTTGGTGCACAGCAGTCATCTTAGATCTTGCCTTAAGTTTCTTAGTGTTTCATCCATTCCCTCTTCCACTTTCACTGTGTATTCCCCCTGTGCTCTGTTGGACCATATCCTCCAGCAGCTTTATGCAAAATGGTTGCACAGGATATTATTAAACAGAAAAGTCCTCAAAACAAAGTATTTTACTAATCATATTTGATTAAAGCTGACTTGGTCATTGTCTATTGATGTTGCAGGTTGGGTTCCATGGAAAGTGTCAGATGGAACTTTATGAGCAGCGCAGTCCTGGGGCAGTTGGAGAAGCAGGGTAACAGGGTTGGAGGGAACGAGTAATCAAACTGCTAATCCCACAGGGAACTCTGGAACTGGATGGCTCAGAGTTGTCTTGGACTGGTCCACAGTGGCTGGGCCTTTGTACCTCTGCATCTGCAAGGAAGGGGGTTCACCCTTGGACCCTGGGTAAAGTGACTCTCTTCAGCTAAGGTCAATGCCCAGAGAAGAACTCAGCTAACAGCTATCAGCCACCAGTACTCCCATCATCTAGTAGTCACTTGGTCAATAATAAAAGGAGTGGGGAGAGACCTTGTGGTACACTACAGTGTCTACTTCAATTGGTTTTTCTTTTGTTTTGAGACAAAGTCCTGCTCTGTTGTCCAGGGTAGAGTGCAGTGGTGCAATCTCTGCTCACTGCAACCTCTGCCTCCCAGGTTCAAGTGATTCTCTTGTCTCAGCCTCCTGAGTAGCTGGGATTACAGGCACACACCACCGTGCCCAGCTAATTTTTTTGTATTTTTAATAGAAATGGGGTTTCGCCATATTGGCCAGGCTGGTTTTGAATGCCTGACCTCTGGTGATCCGCCCACCTTGGGCTTCCCAAAGTGCTGGGATTATAGGCGTGAGCCACCCTGCCCGGCCTATAATTGGTATTTTTATATGCTAGTGTGTTCCATGTTTTGCATTTATATTCATAAATATAACCATTTAATTATTTTTTAATATGAAAATTACACTTGATATAGAAAATTAAGTGAGGAGCTTTCAATCTTTTTCTGGTATTTAAGGCTCTCAATAAGCTCACTTAGGAAGGTGAGGGAGAATGGAGAATAGGACCAAGGAGCAAACCCCAAGGGACTTTCCAGGAGAGGTTGAGCCAGGGAAAAGGACACAGTGAAGGTGACAAAGAGGAAGGTGAGGCCCGAGAACCCCAGGAGAGTTTGTGTGTCAGATACTCCATCGCAGCTGTCATTTGATTTCCCTATGAAAAGATGAGCATGATGGGTGCTCCTCCACTTGGAACATTTCCTCCTAGATAGAAAAATCTCAGTTAATGTTAACTCCTGGCTTTGACCAAGCTTGTCCTTTTGCATCAAGAAGGGAGAATGACTTGACTGACTGGTCAATTTTGGAACAATGAACTGGACATGCTCAGCTCAGACTCCTCTTCTCCTCCCTGGGGGTCCCAGTGTGCCAAAGGAGAACAGCCTTCTCCTCTGCTCCTTCAGGGCCAGGCCCCGTCCCACACTTCCATGGAGTGTGTTTGTTTAATTTTGTGGCTTAATTTTTGGCTCTGACATGAAGTCACATCCTCCAGCTCTGCCTTTGTCAGTAATGAGGCTGACACATTAGAATTCTGTTTTATAAATTCTTCAAATGCATTCCCAAACCAGTGGGGAATGGAAGGGTGGGACATATTTTTTAGGTGGCTTGGTTCCTTGGAAATCCCTCTGTAATGGAATGTTTGTGTGCCCCTAAAACTCACATATTGAGACCTAACCCCTGGGTGATGATGTTAGGAGGTTAGGCATTTTGGTGGCGGAGCCCTCCTAAATGGGATTTGTCCTCTTAGGAAAGAGGAAGCCAGAGGGCTCTCCAACCCTCTTTCTTCCATGTGACATCACAAGAAAAAGTTGGCTATCTGCAACTTGTAACAGGGCCCTCGCCAGAGCTCAAATATGCTGGCACCCTGGAGCTTAGAATTCCAGCCTCCAGAAGTATAGGAAATGTCTCTGCTGATTATAAACCACCCAAGTCTTTGGTCTTGTTGTGGCAGCCTGCACAGACTAAGGCACTCTCAAATAACTTAGTTTGCTTTTGCACACTTCAAGTTTTTACAAGTTTGATCCAGATTATTTCTTAGATTCCAGATTAAGTAACAAATTCTCTGTACAAGCATATAATTAAAAGTAGAATTCAAGTATTGAAACTGTCTAGATTTAACTCATAATATGTGGAGTCAAGGGTTATACATGTACATTATCTAACACTTGCAAAAATACTATGACTTAGGTGCTATAATTAACCCAATTATAGCATTGCTTACCTGGCTTACATACTGTCATTTTTTTGAAAAAAGCTCTACTGAAGTAACTTTGAAGGCCACACATAACTAAACTTGTCTTGCTTTCATACATGAACCACCAGAATTAAAAGCACTACACAATGTTGTAAAACAACTATCATAGTAGAAAAGACACTAAATGATTTAAACTCGTTAAACAAAACACCTAACTCTTAGGTTTAAATTCATCTATATTACTTACAAGAGATTCACAAACTTGTTTATCCTTTTATCTTTAACCTCATTTTTATTCCAGGGCAATGTGAATGAACAAAACTGGGAGGGATATACTGATTTCGGACACAGTATGAAATAAAATGAAGGGCTAGTTGGTGTTTACAAGTGATCCACTTCACAGTGAAGGCACAATAGTTGATATTAATATGCTTAGTAGAGATTCACAATACAAGTATGTTTTAAGCCCTGAGGATGACCAGTTATGCTTATGTGACCATCGCCAAGTCCTGCTGAAATGACCAATCCAATGGTGAAATGTTTTCAGTGCTAGTGTATTCTTGTGAAAAGTCCTGTTTTGAACTTCCAATGGTTACATCAGGAATCATTGCAGAATCAGGGTTGAAAGGGAATTTGCTCTTTGTCTTTTCATCCTAATCGATCGAGATCCTCTACAGATATTTAGAGTATTTAGAAGGTCAGAAGAGAAAATTAGTCTGGGAAAAACAAAGCAAATATTCTCCAATGAAGTAGAGTTCCTAGAGGAAACTGGAGAGAACAAAATAAGCCTCAACTGTCAAGACCTCACAGGAAAAGTTGTAAGTTAGAAGAGGGTGGACAATGTATTGTAAAGATGCTCTCAGTTATGAGCAAGAAAGCCCATTTTATCTGAGTCTTCCCATGATCTCATTGTATAACAAGCCCCACCAGTTCCTAATAGTTTATTTTATTTTTTTGAGACAGAGTTTCACCCTTGTTGCCCAGGCTGGAGTACAGCAGCACAATCTCGGCTCACTGCCACCTCCACTTCTCAGGTTCAAGTGATTCTCCTGCCTTAGCCTCCCAAATAGCTGGGACTACAGGTGTCTGCAACCACACCCAGCTAATTTTTTGTATTTTTAGTAGAGACAGTTTCACCATGTTGGCCAGACTGTTCTCGAACTCCTGACCTCAGGTGATCCACCCGCCTCAGCCTCCCAAAGTGTTGGGATTACAGGCATGAGCCACCGTGCCTGGACCCTAATAATTTAGAACTACTGTTCATGACTTCCTCATGGTTCTGAGCTAATTGGGCTCAGCTGGGTGGTCCTTACTTGTGCGATTGTGGTGGTATTTGTGTGTCTGCATTTGTAGTTGTGATTACTGCGGGTGTATATATTGGTCAGAGTTCTCTGGAAAAACAACCAATATGGTGTGTGTGTGTGTGTGTGCATGTATGTGTATATACACATAGATTGCCTTATTTACCAATTTATGTATGCATATACTATATATATATAAAGTATGTGTATATACACAGGGAGAGATCGATTTATTTTAAGGAATTGGATCATGAAGTTAAGGAGACTGGGAAATCCAGAATCTGCAGGGTGGCCCAGTAGGCAGAAGACCCAGAGAAGAGCTTATGTAGTTTAACTTCGGAGGCCATCAGGCTGGAGACCCAGGGAAGAGCCAACATTGCAGTCCAAGTCAGAGGTGTGTCTGCTGACAGAATTCCCTCTTGCTCAAGGGCAGTCAGTCTTTTGTTCTGTTCAGGCATTCAACTGATCAGATGAGGCCCACCTACCTTATTGAGGTTAATCTGCTTTACTCAAGGTCTACTGATTTAAATGCTAATCATATAATACAAGCCTTTACAGCAACATCTATACTGGTGTTTGACCAAACAACTGGACCCCATAGCCCAATTGAGCTGACCCGTAAGATTAACCATCTCACACAGTCCGGAGCCACCTGGAGGCTCCACTGTGTGGGACGCTACCCCTGCTCACCCACATGGTTGGCAGTTGACGCTGAGTGCTCAGCTGTCAGCTGGGGTAAACACTAGCTGAGTTCACAAGACCTCTTCCTGGAGCTTGGACTTCTCACAGCCTGGTTTCTGGGGTCTCAGAGTGTCCCAAGAGTGAGCCATCCAAGAGCCCCATCTCTTTAATCCGAGGACAGAATCCCCCAGGTCAGCGTGGCCCATCCTTTTTAGTATTTGGTTTGTGTTAAGCTCTTGAAGTTTTTGCTTTCCCCTCAGGTCTGTATGCGGGAATCCCTGGAGGATACTCAGGTAAAAACAGAATCGTTCTATTCAGAAATGTTTCTCAGAACTGGACGGAGCCAAGGGAAAGCTTAGAAGCTGAAAATACAGAGTAGCCTCTTCCTTCTTGCAATCAGCTGAATGCAACTTTGGGGTTTCCTTCTTTCCCAGAACTCACTCAGCTTGTCCACTCTGTACCAAACTGATCCTTGTAAGCAGAAGGTCATGCTGGCCTTGGACCCAGGAGTCCATTTAGTTTATCTTCTCACAGGTGTCTTTGTCTGATAGAGGCACAAGTACCTTTTCCTTATCTAGGCTTGTGCTTGTTCATTTAAAAAGCTATACGGTATGTTTTGTTATCTCTGTTGAGGATTTACATTTATTACAGAAATAAGCCAGAATCAGTGTGTTAACATTTGTGTTAATTTCTTGGGTGCTGGAAGGAAAAGGAGATTCCATAAGGGAGAAACATAGAAAGCTTTCAAGATACTAGGGAACAGCCTATAGTTTAACCTGGACAGTCAATGTGTATTTAAAGAAAAAGCACTCATGTTATAAACACCCTTCTATATGGATGACACATTTCACTATAAAAGACCATATTGAAGCTAATTTATGAAACAAAATCTACCTCTAAGATATTGAGAGAAGTTCATAACAGTGACTCAAAAGTTTTCTAGGTTGTAGGGTTGGTCAAATCACCTTCTTGGCAAGTCATTCTTTTAAAAACATTTCACAAGGAAAGCATCTGTTTCCACTAGAATTTCAAATTTGTTGCAATGTTTCATGTGTAATTTTCTCTAGATTTTCAAATTAACCATTAGAGTTGCAAAGTAATTTAATAAGCTTTAGAGTTGCAAGTATAACCAGATAAGAAATACAAGAATATCTTCAAAAAATCCAGTTTCTTTATGCACATATTTATATGTACTTTTACATAAGTGCCTCTGTAGGATGACATACATCATATTGAGTGTTTCTGGCAGGGGAACTGTGTGAATGAGGGCCCCTAGAAGGGAAGAGGCCCTGGAAGGTAGACCATGTGGCTGAGGCATAGTTGGTAATGAGGAGGAACAGCATGAGATGAGGTTGGTCAACCAAGCAGGGGCCAGAGACACCTGCAGGTAAGGATTTGGGATTTTATCTTGAGGGCAAAAGACACAAAAGTAAATAGAATATTTTATCAAATACAAACATGCCTTACATGTAGGGCTGCATGCTTTTATGACATATAACTAATCAAAATCCATTAATAGTTAAGTTGTATCAGTTTTGCATCTTAATATGAGGAATATCTGTGTATATAGTTTTGTAAATTTGTGTGAATATTACGCTAAGATAAATTCCTTGAGTTGGGTTGGTCAATTGATATGCAGATTTTCAGTGATCACGGTTTTATCTTAGTGGAAACCCTGCCAGGAAGAGGATGAGTTTGCACTGCCTTTCTAGAAGGAACTAGTCTCATTGACTGAGAGCCCTCAGCATCTTGTAAGTGAGCTGTGATTGGCATCGTGTCATTGTTTTAAGGTGCAACCTTCTGTTGCATTCAGCAACTTTCCTTCCCCTCCCCCCGACCCGCCTCTATTCTCCCTATTTCACAGGGACTGCTACCTGGAAGCTACATTTTCTAGAATCCCTTTCTGGCACTGTACTGGTTTAGACCCCATCACAAGAGCCTTCAGGCAAGATTCAGAAGCAGCCTGGGAAGCGACATCCATCTTCTGGAAGTAGACAGAGGCAGGGATCTGAAGGGCTCTTGATCTGATATCTTCCCTAAAACATCTGCCTCCTTGCTGCTGGTTGTAAATAGTACCATTGACAGGGACTTCCTGCTTCCCCTGGCCTGGGTGGCAGTAGCAACTTTGAGCAACATCTGAGAGCTAGCAGTGGACCACCTTCTTCCAGCTTTCCCAGATGTTTTATAAACAGCTATAGTTTTCCACCACCTGCCACCTTTTTTTTTTTTTTTTTTTTTTTTTTTTTTTTTTTTTTTTTTTTTTTTTTGAGACTGAGTCTCACTCTGTCACCCAGGCTGGAGTACAGTGGTGTGTTCTTGACTCATTACGACCTCTGCCTCCTGGGTTCAAACAATTCTCGTGCTTCAGCCTCCAGAGTAGCTGTGATTACAGGTGCCACCACACCCAGGTACCCCATTTTAAGTCTCTGCCTACTTGAAACATCGAGTGATTTCTGTTTACCTAATGATCCTGATACATTTACACTTCATTGGTTATTAATGAGGATCTCTTCTCGCATGTTTGTTGGCCATGGTCATTAAGAGATCTTCATGTGTCATTTTGCTTTCTATTTGGGGATTTTAACGTGTTAATCTCTTCTACTGATTTACGAACACTCTTTAAACAAGTTAGGCATTTTGTTTGATTAGTACATAAAGTCTTATAGTTAAATTCATTTGAATTTTAAACAAAATTAAATGTTTTAATGTAAAGAGGAAGTATAAAGCTTGGAGACTAGCATAATCAAAAGACTGGACCGGCACCTGGGGTTCTGATCCACTGGGTGATATTGGGCCTGATTATTCCTGTTGTGGGGGACTGTCCTGTACATCATGGTATGTCTAGCAGCATCCCTTGCCTCTATCCACTAGATAACAGGAGACCCCCACCCTGCCCAGTTGTGACAACCAAAACTGTCTCAGACATTGCCAGATATTCCCTGTGCTAAAGATACTATATAGGACAGTCCACCCTGTTCTACTGATGTCCATCCCAGTTAACTGCAGGAAGGGCCTTGGTAACATGATCTCCAGCATGCCAGGGATTGTCACTATGTACTTACTATCAGTCATGGGGTCCTAGTTTCAGTCTGGCCAGCAAGGGACCCGAGTCTAGATCTCCCTTATCCACTTTCTGAAGCCTCTTCCAGTAACAGCTGTCTTCAAGTTTTCCTAGAAGCAGGTCTCAAGAATTCAAGCGCTAACTTTCTTCCTTTCCCTTTTCCTCATTTCCCTATTCTTTTACTATCATTTCCTAGTAACCTCTTCTGAATGAAGGGCACATTGTCAAGCAAGTTAACCCTGTGGGAGGACTCAGAACCAGAGGGTCGAGATTATCCCACCCGAGTGGCAATTGGGCTGAAGTATTTATATAAGACTTTCCATCAGTCCCCAGATGGGGTGGTTTCCAGGGGTGCAGAGTCCTGGGTGCCTGAGGTCTATGGTATGTGCAAGGACAGAAGACTGCAGTGGCTGGAGACAGTGCTCAATGAGGAGGGCGAGAGGGTGGTGGTCACACCATGTGCACTATAGGAAAAGGCAGAAAGGGGCACTGATATTCACTGCAGCAGAGGTTACGTTCTCATCACCACTGAAAACTGGGGCTAAGCTTTTCTGGAACCTTCTGAGCGACCACGTAGAATGTGCTGTACAAGGCATGGGAAGAATAGAGTTCTCATCATTACTGAAAACTGAAGCTAACTAAGCTTTTCTGGAGCCTTCTGAGTACATAGAATGTGCTGTACAAGGCATGGGACAGAGGAGTCTAGTTCTATATTTCATTACCCCTTTGGCCAGATGGTAGTAGCTACCTTGCAATTTCAGGTTTGTGCCTGAGCCAAAAATGGAGAAGAGGGCTCACGGGGCAGCAGGTGTTCACGGGGCAGCAAGAGAGAGAAGTCTTGGGCAGAAAGCAAGGCAGATGTGGTGCAATTAAGATGGGGCATTGTTCGACCACCCTTATCTAAATTGCTGCAGCAACTCTGGAGTAAAAAGGGTAGGGCAAGGGCGTGAGGGATGAGGCATGAAAGATTAAGCCCATGCCCATCTAAGACTTTGGGTTACCCTTCTGTATTTTGCTAAAGCAGTTCTAGCATCTTAAGTTCAACTTAATGCAGGCCAACAGTGAACTCATGTTTAGACCAAACAATTGATGCTAGCTGCTCAAGACAACACATTAAGTCTAGACTTTTATAGAAAGTAAGTGCTCTATTATTACTTGAAACCAGTACAATGTTACATTTCTTCTTCCCTGGACTAATACCTTTATAATCTATTTCCAGACACACCCCTAGTTTTCTGCTGATGTAACAACCAAAGGTTGCAATCCTGACAGCGTATAAGCTATTGCTTTCTATGTGCAACTCTGTCCCCTGGGTGTGTGTCTCTATTTAAGTTACTGGTCTAAAAGAAATGAGAGGTGGTAGAAGTGTGCCTTGTGGAGATTCAGAGTCCCCTTGCAAGGTAACTTTCTTGGGTGAAGTCAGTAGAGGATCTTTAAAAGCCAAGGGAAGTTTGAATCCTTAGGCAGGTAAGGCTTGGGTGCTTCTGTAGCAGTGGCGCTCAGTAGGATTTGGGAGTTGGCGAGTGATTTGAGTGTAATAGTATCCTGAGAATGGGGAGGGCGAGAATGAATTGGAGTTTTATGTAGATCCCTGATGTAGATATTAAGCTAACTTTTGTGATTATTTTGTAATATGAAGGATTAAAATCTGGGTTTGGCTTTATGATACACTGACCCCATAGCTATGAGAGATGAGAGATGAGAAATTAGGGAAGTCTCAGAAGCTCCAATTCTGACAATGCCTCGCAGTGACAATGAAGGCTGAGGAGGAGGAGCTTCACTCTGTAAAATGCTTCAGAAGTTGCCAGGCTGCCCTGTTTGGGGGCATCAAATACCATCAAATCCAGGTTACAGGAAAACAAAGTCACTATGTATTTCAAGCAGAAATGATTCGACTTAGGGAATCACATACTTATCAACTGCCAGCAGTACTAGGGGAGTGAAAGTTAGAAAGGGCCAAATAACTCCAGGTTCACTGCTACAGAGAGGCAGGCAGCAGCTGCTACACAGGGTATAGGTCCTTAAGGAACTCACTGCAGGTTTTATGGCTCTTCTACATGCCTGAGGCAGGATTAACAAGGAAATTGGAGGCTGCTAAAGCTCCCATTTGGCAAGCACACACGCTGGAGAGGAAGAAACGGGATCAGTTTCAATTTCACTTTCCAGGCTTTTTGTGTTTCTTGCTAGCAAAATGCAGACTGTATTTAGGACTTTAGAGGTAAGGGACTCTGCAGATACAGTTGTTAGACTTCTAGCCCCATGGTACAGGGGAGAGCAGAATAAATTGTGGTTTCTTCTTCACACAAATGAACTTGAATATAGCCAGTGCACATACAAAAATATGTTCCAGTTTTTTGGCTTTGAAACGTGCAGGTTCTGAAATAGTGGGAAAAAAAAAAATCCCAGTTTTGGCAAGAGCATTTGAAAGAAAAAAATTTACTAGAGAACTCTGGATCTTGGACTTTGATTTGTTCAAATGTATAGAGATAACTGGGTTAAAATTAGTGTTCAGCATTTGCAAAGTTGAGAATTGTTTGGAAAGATGCCTTCAAGAATCAATTATGATACTTAATTGGAGACATGAAATTTCTGCTGCTAAATTTGTCAGATGCTTATTTTAGAATCTCCTATTTATAATATGTTTGCATCTTGGCCAAGTTGAGTGTTTGATAAATCTGTTTCTTAATTACTCAAAAAAAATTAATAAGTTATGGCTTCCAAGTATTCTATAGCAAAATACACTCTGAATAGTTGAACACATTAAATATAAGGTATGATTTAACTTTTATTTCTAATTTAATTTCCCATTTGAGAAAGAATTCTTTTATGGAACAATCAGGCTTGAATGATTCCACGGGCTTAGAAAACAAGAGATTAAAAGCTTTTAGGCTCAGTATAAAAGAAGGAAAAAAACAAGAATGTTTGTCTTAAGACTCCGTTGAGGCTATTGCCTTAGTGGAAAACGAGAGTTGGCTAGTCTGGTTCTCCTTAAGTCTTGTAATAAAGTGACTATGAAAATATCAAATGTCACAAGTTTAAACAAGTTAGAAAGTGATAATATATAATATCATGTAAGTGGAAAATTTAAGGTTTCACTGGGATAACTTCCTTATCAGAGTTTGCTAACTGGATTAGGGTAAACATTTGTTTTTGTAGTCAAGTGCTAGCGAGCTTTAAAAATTTAACCATTATTACATGTTTCACCTCTATGATTGATACTGAAGGCTTTTTTTCCTTCTGAAGTTTCTCTTCTCATGGTATTTGCTATTTTAACCCTGTTTCAAGCAAATAAAATTTAAACAATTAAGAATTTCAGGCATATTCTATTATAAACTATTTAAAAGTTTAAATGCATGTACTAAACATGAAATAACTTCCTCTGGCTGTGTATTTAAGAATATTTGTGAATTTCTTTTCAGTAGAAGCTCAAGTTTATAGGCGTCATTACTTGGCTAGTTATTCGGGTTAAACATAATATGCCTTTCCTGTGATATTATGTTAGTAGTACAAGTGCTGTTGTATTATAACATTTGACTTTTGGGGATCATAATACAGTAAATAGTAAATGGACATATTCCATGTGAAGTTTGAGTAATTCTTTAAATGGCAAGATGTGCTTTTTTTCCATGAAAACTCTTCATATTCAACATTTGATAGCTTTATCTCCCCATCCTCCCTTTTCCAGAGAACATTGAGAAATTGTGGTTTAATACCAGAATTTTCTGTGGAAAACAAATCATATTGGAACTAAGAAGTTCTGGATTTTGTTCATAATATGGGATACTTTGTAATTGACCCAGACACTTGAAAAGATATGGGTATCATTTGAGAACAATGGAAACATTTGGTATCGAGAGACAAAAAACCTGCACTTCTCCCAAGGCTGAACAACCACCTTTGAAAATCTACTCCATAAAAGCCAGTGGTGATACAGGCAAGATTTGTCAAAAATAAACTTTCTCAAAACCCTGGAAATTAGTCTAAAGGCTTACAACAACAATTTGAGGAGTATATGTTCAAGGAAAATGGATGGATTTCAAGTATTATCAGTGAACTTTGGGGCATTTTAACTTGCTCTATTCCAATCCTCCTCCTCCCTCAGCTTCGTGGTAACCTTGAGAACCATAACAGCTTTGCAACTACAGTAGCTCTAGAAATTAGCCTGGCAAGCCACTGGAAGAGGCAGAACAATTCGGAGCTCCCTAGTCGCCCCAATTCCAGAATTTTCCACTATTTAATCTGAAAGCCTCCAATGACAAGATCCAGCCTCAGGGATATTCTTTATTTTACCTGTGTAACCACTTCTATGCCAAGGTGTTTGCTGATAATCAGACAATTATTTAACATCACAGATATCTAAGGCAGCATTACCAGTTGGGGCTAACAAGAGGCCAACCCTACAGTTTAAAAGGAAAAATGGAGATGTCTATATGGTGATAAATTCCAACATATTCCTGTCAATCTAAATGGCTACACACAAGTGCTAAGATGTTGCATGCCCAGGAAAGGCTTAAAGTCCTAAATCTCTCACTTCTGATTTTGAAGTTCTTTGCAAACAGGAGGTAAAGGCTGAGGAAGAATGGTAAGCTATCTGCCAACACACACAGATTCCCTTGGCAAAGGCTGGAAGGGTTTTGGATTAACACATTTAAGGAACTCTATCCAATCATGAAGGGATCACTACACTCAGCAGAGACTTCAGTGGCTGTACATGACCACTAAGTAGTAAAAATCTTACACAATTTAGGAAAGTTACAAAAACAGCAGCAGCAGCAAGTGCAGCAGCAGCTAAAACAACAAAACCTGGCAGGGGGTAGTGGAAGGGAGATCTGATTTTTAAAGTGTCCAATCTTCAAAAAAAAAATTACAAGACCCACAAGAAATAGGAGAGTATGCCCATATAGGTAAAAATAAAGGACAGCTGATAGAAACTGTCTTAGAGTAAACGTATTGGGTATCCTGATACTTTAGATAACAATGTCTCACCAAATGGAGAATATTGATAAAGAGACAAAAATTATGAAAAAGAACTAAATAAAATTGTGGAATTTAGGAGAAAATACCTGAAATATGAAATTTACTGGAGTACAATGGAAGATTTGCACTGGCAGAAGAAAAAAGTCAGCAAACTTGAAGACAGATCACTTGATATTATCCAGTTAAAGAAAAGGAGCTATGGAGACCTGTGGGACACTATCAATACTATCATATGAATAATGGAAGCAGCAGAATAGGAGAGACAAGGACAGAAACAATCATTTGAAAACTTCTAAAATTTGATAAACATTCATCTGCACATGTAAATTAGCTTAATGAACTCCATGTAGAATAAACTCAAAGACATTCATACCCAGATGCATCATAATGAAATTGTCAAAAGCCAAAGTTTCAAAAGCAATAAGAAACACTAAGATTAACAGCTGACTTCATCAGAAAGCATAGAGACCAGAAGGCAATTGAATGGCACATTCAAAGTGCTGAAAGATAAAGGTTGATCAGCCAAAAATTCAATATCCAGAAAAAGAATATTCCAAACACAAAAGTAGAGATTAAGACTTTCCAGGTAAACAAAACCTGTAAGAGCTGCCAGCATTCCTGCCCCACAGGAAATAACAAGGGAGTCCTCCAGGCTGATATTGAAAATACTAGGCAGTAATTTGGATCCACATGAAGCAATAAAGAACACTGAAAAAGATAACTACATAGGTAAATATAGAGACAGTAGGAATGTATGGTTTGGTTTTCTTTTCTACCTGATTTAAAAGATCACTTTGTGTACTTACAACCAGAATTCTAGTAAGCTGTTTTATAGATATTGGCAAAGTGATTTTAAAGTTTATATAAGAAGAACAGAATAGCCCACACAATAATGAAGAAAAATGTTGGAAGTCCGACATTACCCACCTTCAAAGACTTACTATAAAAGCTACTGTGATCAAGACAGTGATACTTGTGAAAGAATAGACAGATTAATGGAACAATAGAAAGCCTGGAAATAGAGTCACACAAATATGTTACTCATCTCTCGCAAAGGAAAAAAGTGTTTAACAAGTGGTGCTAGAACACTTTGATGCCCATATGGAAAAAAATGAATCTAGACAGATTTTATACCTTTCACAAAATTCAAAATAGATCATAGCTCTAAAAGCAAGATACAAAACTAAAGCTTCTAGAAGATATTATCGGGGAAAATCTAGGTGATCTTTGGCTTGGCAATGAGTTTTTAATAAGAACACCAAAAGCACCGTCCATGACAAAAATTGGTAACTTAGACTTTATTAAGATTAAAAACTTCTGTGTGAAAGAAGCTGTGAAGGTAATAAAAAGATGCAGACTGGAGAAGATATTTGCAAAGCACATATCTGATAAAAGAGCTATATTCAAAATACAAGAGGCTGGATGTGGTGGCTTCTGCCTGTAATCCCAACACTTTGGGAGGCTGAGGCAGGTGGATCACTTGAAGTCACGGGTTTGAGACCAGCCTGGCCAACATGGCAAAACCCCACTTCTACTAAAAATACAAAAATTAGCTGGGTGTCATGGTGTGCGCCTGTAATCCCAGCTACTTGGGAGGCTGAGGTATGAGAATCAGTTGAACCCAGGAGGCGGAGGTTGCAGTGAGCAGAGATTGTGCCATTGCACTCCACACTCCATCCTGGGTGACAGAGAAAGACCCTGTCTCAAAACAACACACACACACACACACACACACACACACACACACACCAAAATACAAGAACTTTTACAAACCCAAAAGGAAACAACAATCCAATTCAAAAATAGGTAAAGTCTCAAAAGATACTTTAGGGAGATAAATAAATGAAAAACAAGGATATGAAAAGATGCAACACATTTCGGGAATTGTAAATTTAAAAAACATTGAGATACTACTACATACCCATTAGAATGATTGAAATTTTAAAAAGTGACAACGTCAAATGCTAGCAAGGACAGAGCAGCAGGACCTCTTGTTCTCTTGTTGCAAAAGTTACAGCCACTTTGGCAGATGGTTTGGTAGTTCCTCACGAAGCATTAGGTAAAAATGTTTATGACTGTATGCTAAGCGTCACCTTAGCATGCAATCCAGAAGTTGTACGCATGTACGCATAAGCATCTTTACCCAATCGATTTGAAAACTTACATCCACACGAAGATGAGAATGTGAATGTTTATAGCAACTTTATTCATAATTGTCAAAACTGGAAGCAACTATGGTATTGTCAATGACAAGAATAAACTGTGGTACATCTATACAATAGATGTTTCAGGAACAAAGAGAAATGAGTTATCAAGCCACAAAAAGATGAGGTGACCTTAAATGCAGATTGCTAAGGTCAAGAAGCTATACACTGTATGATTCCAATTGTATCACATTCATTAAAGGACAGAACTATAGACACAGTAAAAAGATCAGTGTTTTCCACGGTGTTCGGGGAGGCAGGGAGGGATGAATAGGTGGCGCACAGGGGATTTTTAGGGTGATGAAATTATTCTGTATGATATTGCAATGATGGATATATGATGTTAGTCATTTGTCAAAGCCCACAGAACTTTTATGCACAAGGAGTAAATCCTAACGCATGCAAGTAAAAATCATTTAGTAGGTCAGGGAATCCCGTGAAAGAATGCAGACTGACAAAAGATTCTAACTGTAGTAAACATGTATGAAACAACCTCTCTAGAGACGGAGAGGGAAAATGCGATAACCCAAATACAATTGGAAATAGAGTTTGTAAGACTAAATGTAAAAGAAAATGTACAAAAACATGCTCTTGTCAATAATGTAGTTTCCCTCGGGCACGTTGATTCTAATACTTCTATGTGCATACATAGCAGTACTATAAGTTGAATAATTAAATGGACAGGTGGTAGGACCTAGATGTCTTACTGTAGGAATGGGAATTTACAGCTTAGCAAGGAAAGGAGCTAGAATGATCTATGTGGTAATGGATTAGAGTGTTAGACATTAATGTGAACTCATGTTTAGCTTAACATCAATATAGAAACTTACAGATATATATATACACACACAGGTTAGTGTCTACACATACACACACTTCTTTGCTTTGTTGTCTGAGAGAGCTGTATGTGTCTGTTTTCACGCTGCTGATAAAGACATACCCAACACTAGTAATTTATAAAGAACAAGAGGCTTAATGAACTCACAGTTCCATGTGGCTGGGGAGGCCTCACAATCATGGCTGCAGAGGCAAGAGAACTTGTGTAGGGGAACTTGCCCTTTATAAAACCCATCAGATCTCAGACTTATTCACTATCACGAGAACAGCATGGGAAAGACCCACCCCCATGATTCAATTACCTCCAACTAGGTCTCTTCCATGACACGTGGGAATTGCGGGCGTCACAATTCAAGATGAGATTTGGGTGGGGACACAGCCAAACCTTGTCAAGGGCCTAAAAAGAAATGATACTTCAATAGCAACAAGTGTACCCAGGACAGGGATCTTGGTTTCTAAGACCATTCTGATAAAAGGAGCTCCTTAGAGAAATGAATGATTCAGAGACAGGGGCAGGAAATCTGCAAGGCGAGTCTGTAGCATCTTGTAATGCCGGAAAGTAAGTATGTGCTCAAACTAAACAAGACAAGACACATTGATGGGGAGTAAATCAAAAGGGCATAGGAACAAATTTCCTGGCCAATTCGAGCAAAAAGTAAGTAGTAGCGGATTGTAACCAAAGTATAAAATAAGTATCCATGAGTCCCCTACGAATAAGAATACATTCATTAACAGGAGAGGAGACACATCTCTCATGCAGAAAAATTTTAATTGACATGCTTCATGAAAGATGGAGTATAACTTCCCATCCCTTAAATATGGGCTGTGTATTGTGACTTCCTTCCAAAGAGGACAGTTTAGAAAGAGCGAATGAAAGGAATGTTATGGTGGAGAAATCTGATAAACACTAGGTTAAGCCAGGTAAAAAGGCCAATATTAAAGTCATCATTCCCTCTGGTGGGGCTCCTGAAAGTTTGCTCAGGAATGTTTAATCCATGATGCAGTGTGCCTTTGAGGGGGTACTGCTTTATCCTGGAGGATGGCTGAATCCTCAGATGTCTGACCCATGTTCAGGTGGTACCTCTCACAGGAAACTTGTCTATCCTGACAGACACCTTTGCAACTCTTGTTTGACCTGTGTCCAGTTTATTTCTACCACTACGGCCACTCACAGAAAGAAGGAAAGCACCAACTCAGGAAGAAGTTAGATTTGGATGTGTGCATCAGGCAAGGCATAGAGGTGGCAACTCGACAAAACATGAGATCACAGAGGTAATTTATTTACAGATCCAGGAAGAGAGCAGTGTGCCTCACAGGGCCAATGGGAGTAGCAGGGAAGCCATCTGGGAAATGCATGCTCAGCTAGTTCTGAAGAATGAAAGTGATGGTGGGGGGACTTGAGGGCCAAAGCCTTTTTGGGGGTCCAGGTGGCACCCAGTTAGGTTTCCCGTGGAAAGTGCTGACTGGTGGGTTCAGAGCAAGCAGGTGTGAGTTCCATGGGATCACGCTGTGACCGAGAGGTAGCCGCTCCTGCAGCATATCTGCAGTTCACCTGGGTCAGTGGGGTGAGCCAGGTAGGTTGTATCTGGCCATCCCATAGGGAGGTGCCATCACCAGGAGGCAGCTGCAAAAGACAGATATCTGGATTGACCACCCTGAGGAACTGGAAGGAGGCAAAGAACTAGAACCTGCATCAGAGGTGACTAAGTCCTGCTTCTGGGCAGAGAAAGTCCCAACTTACATTCAAAATGGATACAGAAGCAACGTAAAATTACAGGAATTCACCACCCTCTCGTATATTGCTGGTAGGATTGAACAGTGACATTCATTCAAGTTGTTAAACATTGTGTTACCATATGATCCAGAAACTCCATTCCTAGGTATAAACCTAGGATTTTTATTTAAAAAATAAATTCCAAACAGTCAATCCCAGTGCAGTATGGTGAGTACATTTGTTAAGTGCCCCATGGTCTCAAAATAGGTGATATATTTAAAAGTGACAGCACCATGCAAAAAGCAGGGCATGATGCTGTGGCCCACTGGATGTTGAGCTTGGAAATAGCCAGAGGTGACCAGAAGCCTAAAACCTGTGAAGTAACAGGGTCCTAAATTCCACCTGAGTAGAATCAGATAAGCCAGACTCCCTGCATGAGGACAGGGCTTAGGAGCTTCAGGCCTCTAAACATCACTATGGGGCCTTTTTAACCTTTACATTGGGCCTTACAAATGTATTTGGTTGGTGCAAAGGTAGTCGTGGTTTTTGCTATTACTTTCAATGGCAAAAACCAGTTATCTTTGCATCAACTTAATAGCTGGCTGACCCAGCCACACTCAAGGGATTCTAGCCCTTACAGGTACCATTCCCCTCCTCCTCTCTCACATGCTAGAGATACTGCTCAAGCCAGTGCATGCCCTTTTGTCAGACAGACTCCACGGGGGCAGAGTCTCTGCCTTTAGCATGCACTTCTGGGCCCCACTGGAGGTTGATTCAGTAGGTTTGGGGTGAGGTCAGTGAATTTTCATTTGTAACAAGTTCCTAAGAGATGCTGCTGTGGGCATGGGGACCACGCTTTGAGAACCACTCCCCTAGTTCTACCATTACTAGCAATAGCCCACCTATTGCCAGCAACGGGGTCCTTGTCATCTGGCCGGTGAGTAATCTGCCTCCAAAAATCCCATTCTATAACTCTGCTTCCTAGGACCACTCTTGGTAGCACACTGCTTAAACTGATTTTCCCCAGGAGCATTGCAGGAGGATGTAGGCCAGTGATTAGGTGGTGGGGATGAGGAGGATAAGGAAGGGGATGAAGAGAAGCAAGGCCATTTCAGGCACAACGTAGGCAGTGGGTGTGGCTGCTGCTCCTGTTTGGGGGAAATACTTTGGGTGACAGTCTCCTGATGCAGAACACTTCAAATCAGAGACATTTCTATAGAGCCAAGTCATTAACACAAAGTGAATTTAAGTATGCAAGAGGTGGATTGTGGTTGACATTGCCATGCGACTGAGAACCAAGGGCTGAGAGGAGACATGGATTCCATTTGTCCTCTCAGTGACCCATGTTTTGTTTCATTCCTGTTCTTGATCCTACAACTTGGGGCTTTTCAGACAGAGGTACTCGTTCCCAAGAGAGGCAAGGGCAAGAGACCTATTTAACCATAAGCTCTGGTTTCTCCCTAAGCACTGTACACTCCTTGAGTTAAGGAAACAGCAGAGGAGAAAAAGGGACACCATCCTGGCAAGGGTAATTGACTCCCGTCATCAGGAGGAGGTAGGGTTGCTTTCACCCTGGCAAGTAGGAATGAGTATGCTTTGGTACCCAGATGATCTACTTGAGTGCTTTCTTGGCAGTCTTTTGCTCCGTTTTGGTTATAGACTGGCAAGTACACAGCATTCATAGCCTCAGAAAAATGTGATGTCCAGGAGATCAGGCCCGTGAGGGATGACAGGCTGGGTCATGCTATCGGGGAAGCCACCAAGACCAGCAGAGGTGCTACACAAGAGCGAGGGAAGTCCGCCTGTAGAGGGTGATGCTGTCGATCAGGTGACAGGCCCAACACCAGCTGCTTCATGGGATATAGCTTCTTTAACCTCCCTCTTCTGTATTTCCTTCAGAAAGCAAGCTCCACTAAAATCCTAGGGTAACTTTTAGAACTTATAAGAAGAGGTGGATCTGGGTGGTACAGGATGGACTGGGATAGACACCTTCGTGTACTGGTCAAATCCTCTTTGAAACAAAGTCTTCTCCTCCTCAACCACCTAAGAAAGTGCTACCTGAAGAAAGCCCTAAACTTTCACTACTCTATGGGAGACCGTCTCAGATGAAGAAAGCTTCTCTGCCTAAGGTCAGTCACCATGCCCATGGTGTTGACAGGCAGAGATAATATAAAAGCCTGGCCTTCTTCCCCAATTTTGGGATA
Source organism: Homo sapiens (assembly GCF_000001405.40). NCBI lineage: Eukaryota > Metazoa > Chordata > Mammalia > Primates > Hominidae > Homo > Homo sapiens. The sequence goes on along the minus strand of NC_000008.11, from coordinate 139,572,328 downwards.
GCTAAGAATCATCCCAGCTTCAAGATTTTCTACAGGGTAAACTGTGGCCTCCACTGGACTGTGTCATAGCTCAGCTTCTCCTCTATCCAACCTTGCTTCCTTTTTTTCCAGAGGTATTGATCCCAAAAGCACTCTACAATAAATACCTTGTGCATTATTGTCTCTCAGTCTGCTTCCCAATCTGCAGCCATGTCAGTGCTTAAGAACTAGGGCCAGACTCATTTGACTTCCTGAGCTCATTCTGTTAGTTTCAGACTGAGAATCTGTACAATTCCATACTCTGCATTAAATGATAGATTTTTTTTCAGAAATAATCTGCAACAGAGCAGCTAGTAATGGCCATGGAGGCTTCATCCTAGAAGACCTAGCATAAGAGGACAAAAGGGAACTCCACTGCAGAGATTCAAGTGTGGCATATCATGAGACCATTATTGCTAGGGAATAGGTCATCTTGGTAGAGGGCTGGTCTTTCTTTGATAGGAAGATCCAACATAGCTCAAAGAGGAAGTAACTGATATACTAGAAGATGATCCACCCTTCATTCCTAAGTCCTAAAATTAATCAGATCTGAGAGATGGTAGAACAACAACATTGAACACATGGCTTTCAATGCCCAGGGATTTTCAGTGGTAGTCTCAGCCTGGGTCATGATGACATCCATTTAATGGGATGATCCTTGAACTAAAACTTTACTATTAGCTCCTCAACGTTGAGTGTTGAGATCAGTTCTGTCAAGGTAATCCATTCTGTGTATCTGTCTTGCCAGTCACGTTTTCCAATATTTTTGGCTTTTCCAAAGCTGGTACAGCTCCAACAAATATGCCTTGGATATGCTGACATGAGACCCTTTAGGAGGATAATAGTTCCATCATGAGTCCTAAGTAGTTCCTCAGTTTGCTGTATGTATCCCACAAGACTCTAGTTGATGGGAAATGTACATAACAAAGTCATTTTAACCGTTTTGAAGTGATGGTATTTAGTGTATTCACTGTGCTATGCAGCCGTAACTCTTATCTAGTTCCAGAAAGTTATCACCACCCCAAAAGGAAACATCATCATCATGATTTCTTCATATGGACTTAATATGGCCTCATATGGCCTTCATATAGCTCTACTTCCTTGTACAGAGCTTGAAGGTCAGCCAGAGGTGAAAGCCTAGAGCCTCTTCAGGCCTTTTGAGTAGGAGTCTAGTCCCAGACAGGTATGCATGTATATGGCATTCTAGATTATACATGGGAATTTTTTTCAAAGCCTTTATTCCTCCAAATATCTCCTTCCCCAATATCTTCCCCACAGGCATTTGTATCGATTGTTCACCTGACCATTGTTCCTTTCCTCAGGCAGCTGTGGCTACACATTTGCCTTTAAATACTTTTAACAATTGCCACCCACTTAATCTCTGGGGAAACAGACAGTTGAAACCAGAACTTGAGCTGAAGCTACCAAGTAGGTCAAAACACACTATCACAGTTCTGAGAATAAAGTTCGCATTGCTTCCTGTGGTGCCAGCAACCTCTCCCAGGAATGTGGGCTCTGTTTTTCATAGCAAACTCCCAGCTGGTAAAGTAGGAAGATAGTGAGCAGGGGTAGTAAAAATGCTACATGCATTTTCTTACCTAAATTCAGCAATTTCTTTCTTCATTAAGCATTCCCTTGCTAAGGTTTTAATCAGATTCTAGTGTTCTTAAGTTGCCTCTGACAGTTTTTGCCAGCTTATTAGTTGCTTTTGTGGAGGGACGAAGTTTTGGAGTTCCCCATTCTATCATTTTCAGTAATTCCCCAGGAGATTAATTGCTAATCAGACTCTAGTGAATAAAGAAACCAGCTTTAAATATAGGTATATAAACTTATGAACTAGAGCGATTATGGGTTGTTTTAGGGCCATATGTACCAATTGTATGAAGAAAAAAATCTAATGAAAGGATCTTTTTATTTCCCCATGTAGAAGAGACTAATCTTGAACCTTGATTACTTTCTCAGTCCTCGTTCAGGTTATCACAGGGGTCCTAATACCTCTTTAACCCTTGAGATAACATATCCCACCAAGACTAAGTCCCCATTGAATACTTGAAGGTATTACAGAAAATCTGCCTCTTACAACTGAAGAATGTCTGACATAACAGCCTGCTGGAAATTGGACAAATGAATGTTCAGCAACTACATGGTTAATAAGTTAAAACAGCCAGCTCCAGAAGCTCGCCTGCAGGACGGCAAAGTGCCTTGGGCGTCACTTTAACAAACCCATGGCCACCAAGTACCTGGCCAGTTGGCCACACTCATGTCCCTCAGGCACAGCTTTACCTTATTCACCATCCTAACTCAAAGCTGGAGAATCCTAAGCAGTACTGAGGAAGAGAGGGGTGTGGTACAGTCTTCTGGTTAGATAGGATCATTTCCTTGGCTTAGCCATTTTGAGCAGACACTGCCAGTGACCTGGCTTGAGTACTCTATCTGGATGTTTCCCATGGTTTCCACAGATTCAAGACTAAATTTAGGATATTGAGATTTCAATGAAGGGCTGACTTGATCCAAGACAGAGTAAGGCCAATACTCTACCATCATAGAGAGAAAACAAGCTCTCCACTGATGGTTTTGTGTTTAAGACACAGGATGAGAAAATATGAACTTATAATAAAGTCCTTATATACTGTTCATTTTTAAAAATACCGTTTTAATGCAAATAAGATGGAAACTCTGCCTTTATCTTTACCATTTACTGTTTACTGTTTTTGGAGACAGAGTCTCACTCTGTCACCCAGGCTGGAGTGCAGTGGTACGATCTGAGCTCACTGCAACCTCCACCTCCCAGGTTCAAGTGATTCTCCTGCCTCAGCCTCCTGAATAGCTGGGATTACAGCCATGTACAACCACACCTGGCTAATTTTTGTATTTTCAGTAGAGACAGGGCTTTACCATGTTGCCCAAGCTGGTCTTAAACTCCTGACCTCAAGTGATCTGCCAGCCTCGGCCTCCAAAAGTGCTGGGATGGTGATCTGCCAGCCTCAGCCTCCCAAAGTGCTGGGATTACAGGCATGAGCCACTGTATCAGCCTCATTTACTGTTATTAGTGCCTAGTCTGTATTATAGACCACATTTAAAGCAAAAATTAATCTTCATCTTAGCACCTGATACTCCAACCCTAGTAAAACCCATTGTCAACCCTCCACCCCATGTCCTTGGGCACCAACACCACAATTTCTGTGCATACCAGACTGACTTCCCAGAGCAAATGGCTGCATCTTCTTGGAGGGCTGCCTGAAGGCTGCAGAACCACTTTGCACAATGGGCTGGAAGTGCCTTGGAATTAACACCCCCCCAGAAGCACCCTTTAAGTCAATGGCAGATACTTGTCTGGGGTATACAATAAACTAGCTCTCAAGTCCAGGACCACTCTGAAGTCTGTTTTATATTATGAATATGAGAGCTTTCCTGAAGGGCTCATCAGTTCTTCGCTGTGCGAGCCGGCTTAAGACGTTTCTTCCTGGCTGCCTTTACTCTCTGTATCACCTCCCCTCCCTGCTGGTCCTTGTGTGCTCAAGGTAAACCCTTGTTTCAGGATCTGCTTTTATCTACTTGCTTCTCTCTCAGGGTCTTACTTGCTTCTCTCTCAGGGTCTTACTTGCTTCTCTCTCAGGGTCTTACTTGCTTCTCTCTCAGGGTCTTACTTGCTTCTCTCTCAGGGTCTGCTTTGGAGGGAATCCAGTGAAGACAATGGGACAAACTTGGTTTTATTAAAACATAGCTGAAGATTTGGTCCTGACCACCAGTGTAATTTGCTCTAATAAAGACTGGACACCACTTCCTTCCACCCACCACATCAAATGCCATGTGTGGTGGACTAGACAACTAGGTAGAAGGAACCACAGGGAATTTGCTTCTACTAAGGAGTTACCAAAGTTCAGATTGCAAGTGAATTGGAATGGTGTTGGTTATATCAAGGAAGTCAACTCGGAGGAAGAAGGAATAAGGAAGAGGCCTGCTTCAGCCAAGATTGATTACCCGATTTACCAAATTCATATGTGTAGGGGAGGCAAAGGGGACCTGACATTTGACGGGGAAGGAAGGTCTTACAGCTGATGGAAGGCCACCCCTCCCTGTCCATACCTCCTTTTCCCCCCAGTTCCACCCCTCCACCCAGAGCTGTCATTAGTATCTTCCACTAGAAGCTCCATGACAGCAGGGGCCTCATCTTGTTCATGGACATGTCCCTGTACACAGAACAGTGCCTGATACATAGCAGACACGCACATTTGGTTAATGAATAGACTCTAGAGGTTAATAGTTTAGAAAAACTGGTCAATGAAAATGGAACTTCTCAGCTGGAAAAGAATGCTAGAATCAGCATGGAGGTCAAGAGGGATAGAGAGAGAATGTTACACCTTGTAGAAAAATGGAATTAGCTGATTTTGGCAAGGAAGAATTTGTGCATAAGCAGAAAACTCTCCATTCACTTCAGCCAGTGGTATCTTACCTACCCAGGGGACATACAGTGCTTTCAGAGACTCATCCTATTTCCTGGAAGGGGAAGAACACAATATAAAACAAGCAAGTCATCAATATGGCTTATGGTAATAGCCCCATGGCTCACCATTGACGACGGCGGTTAATGCCAAACCCTGTAGCTGAAGGCATCAGAGTGGGGATGGGGGGGTGGGGATGGGACACAGGAGCCTCCAGCATCATGCTTATCTTTTAGTCATGCACATTTCAGATTCCACTCACCTATTCTCTAGACATTGAACAAATGATCAACAGGTCATTTCTTACATGTTATAAATATCCTGAGACTGCATAATTTACATAAAGAAAGGAGACTTAATTGTTTCATGATTCTGCAAACCATTCAGGAAGCGTGGAGCCGGCATCTGCTCAGCCTTTGCGAGGAGGCCTCAGGAAGTTTTTACTCCTGGCAGAAGGCAAAGCAAGAGCAGACATCTTCCATGACAGAGCAGGACCAAGTAAGAGGTGGGGAGGTGCCACATGCTTTGAAACAACCAGATCTCATGAGAACTCACTCACTATTGTGAGGACAGCACCAACACATGAGGGGCCCGCTCCATAACCCAATCGCCTCCCACCACATTGGGGATCACATTTCAATGTGAGATTGGGCAACAAACATCCAAACCATGTAACTTAGCAATTAGTAGGGAGATGAAATATCTACTTGACTAGCCAACTCATTCCACCTCTTGACAGCTGGTTAGAAAATCCTTATTTTGAGCCATGCCTGCCTTGCTGTTAATATACATAGACTCTAGTCCTGACATGGTGACTAACACCAACCCTTCTTATATTAGATAGTGTTCTTTCAATATATTAACAAGTCTCACAGCTGCTAAGCCTTCAGGGCTAACCGGTCCATGTGTGTGAGCTGTTCCTCCCAGAAAATACATTCCAGAAAACTGAAACATGTTCATGTGTGGAGACAAATTGCTCATTCTTGATTAGATGCTTAAGTGACCAGCAAGTCAGTTGTCTGACATGTGCCTTGTACATGATTCTCAATCTGGTGGCCACATGTACTTTATTTAAGAGTGAACACAGTCCCAGCAAATACCATCTTCCAACCCTGAGTATCCCTTGTGTGCATCTTAGTATCACATCTTCACTCATTCTTCTGGGCCTCATTCCATAAGTGAACATGCTTGGTGCTATCTATCATGGTGGCAGGATCCAGCTGTAGGGGCCCAAGCTTCTCCTCTCCCTGGGATAACATTGGTTCTGTCTTCATCCATCCCAGAGGTAAGTTATGTCAACTTCAGGGGTCACTGTGGGTTCCCTCAAACTGCAGCATAGCATCATAACTACCAGACTCAGACCTCATGGGAAAATGTAGATGTTATCAGCAAATTTTAATCTCCAGATTAAAATTTGTTAATAAGTGGCCCTAGACTTTTAGATTTCAAAGCAAAAGTGCAGTAGGACTGAGTTATAGGCTTTACTTTGGTGAGTAAGATACCAACTACTCAGCATTTCAGAAGCAGTAAGAATATCAAACAATAATATGTGTTGCTTTGTTAGTCACAACATTAGTCCTATTTTGTGGAATGTGAGTGAAATCATTTTATGCTGGCAGGGGGTCATGTACTGCTGTTTGAGAACCATCTCTTTGCCTGGCAAATAGATATCTTACAACATTGCCCTTGTACACACTGACAATCTGAACATGCTAGGGGCAGAGATTGAAGCCTGAACAGGAGTCCAGCTGTGGGCATCATAGGATGGGTTTCAGAGTTTCCCAACTAAGTACTAAGAAGGAGGTCAAACTGCAGTGTGTTATGCACCATAAGAGGTCTTTAGTATCATTCATTATGCAAGAACGAAACTAAGAAACACCACATTAACTCATCTAAGATTTAGATTTGAGACATTTTCTAGTGCTTCTATATTTCTTTACTTACATTTTCAACAAAGAACACTGAACCTCATCTATACTTTTTCAAGACAGTTGGCATGTGTGAAGTTTTATGTATCCACTTGACTGGGCCATGGGTGCCCAGATATTTGCTCAAGCACTACTCTGGGTGTTTTTGTGAGGGTGCTTTTAGATGAGATTCAGTTTCAATCTGTAGGCTCAGTAAAGCAGAGTTTCCTCTGTAATGTGGGCGGACTTCTTTCAATCACAGTTGAAGAACCGAGTAGGAAAAAGAAAAGGTCAACCCTTTGCGAAGTAAGAAGATTCTTCCTGCCTGCCTTCAGACAGAGACATTACCTTCTTTCCCTGCCATTGAACAATTAGAACACTGGTTCTCCACAGTCTCTAGCCTACTGGCCTTCAGACCAGAACCATAGTATCGGCTCTCCTGGGTCTCCAAGGTTTTTTCTCACCCGGCAGATCCCAAAACTTGGCCTCTGTAGTCATGTGAGCCAATTTCTTATAGGTCTACACACACACAAATTGGTTCCATTTCTCTGGAGAGCCCCAATGCAGCATGTTTGCTGGCGAGTGGCATTTTCAGCTAGTGTCACAAATAATCCACTTCTAACAAAGCCCAGTACATGGCCAACTCAGCTCCTGTGTTCAACCTTGACTACATCACCCATGGAGGCAAGATCTTATAAAACCTTCAGAATACATCCTCATTTGCAGATGTGAGAAACTCAGTACCACATCACTTAGGAGACCAGCACAAGGTTACAAGGTTCACAGTAAGTCTGGGGCTATAGCTTCATCCCACTGATTCCCAGCACTATGTGATGAAGGTCTTTCAACCTAATTGGAAGACCTGGGCATCAGTTCCTTCTCCACTGGTAACTGGCTGTGTTGCTTTGAGCAAGTTAAATAGCAAGCTAGTTTCTTCTTCCAATGTAGGGGCAATGGCTTTGGTGCACCTCAGTAGAGAGAGATCATGATAGTGCCAAATACAGTAAGTTCCTCTTCAGAGGATTAATTTCTAACTTCCTTGTTCTTTGTTCAAGATCAACTTCCTTGCCCCTTCTCCTAAGCTACCTGCTCTGTAAACAACTTCTCCCACCAGTTCCAATCTGTAACTCACATCTCTTCCTTATTTGGAAAGAGTCCTATTTTACTCCTGGCTACCCATTCTGTAAACTGCCCCCCCGCTGAAAGAGCTCTTCCTGGCTTTGCTGTACCCTGACATACCCAAACATGCTTTGTACCATAATGGACAGCCTCCCCCTTCCTGCCTAATTAGCCACATTCAATTTTAAACAGTAGCCAATTGGGTCAGTTTAGATTGTGCAGTCTGACTCCAGCCAGTGGGGACAGGACACAGAAGCAGGGACTAAACATGTTAGGGATAAAAACCCCTTTTCCCTCCTTTGTTCAGTGTTCTCCCACAGTGGCCAGAAGTGTGAGTGGCACCCTTCTGCAGAAGTAAATTTGCCTTGCTGAGAAAACCTTTGAGTGATCTTTTTCCTTGTGACCCTGAGCTCTTGTTTCTAACAATAGGCTTCTAGCTTCCCAACCATGGAACCTCCCATGGTTGTATGGGACCATAATCCTCATGTCCCCACACGTATAGTGACAAAACATGGAGACACTAGGAATTACAGAGACAGATATTCTGGCTAAGAGATTAACCAGAACTTAATGTGTCAAATTGAGCCATAATGGACCACTAATACTTAAATTTCATGAACAAGTCCTCAAATTCTGTAGTTACTTGTTTAATTTTACAGCAGTACTGTAATTCTGGTGCCCAGTTAGTACTTTGAAGTTGAGTTGCAAGTTTCCCGAGGACAGTGAAGGTTCCTAATGGCCTCCTGTGTTCCTGCTGAGGCCCCATCATCAACTCTCATCCCAGGAATAGCTGACCTGGTTTTATTACTAAAGGGGATACCTAGAGGCAACAGTGTCACATTTACTTCTCAGATTAAAAACCAGCATTAGAGAATTTCAGGCCAGGTTTTATGACAAGAATTCTGCTCATCAGTCCCATAGGACATCTGCCATAACATGGGGTTTTTTTGGATTGAGCAAGTTACATGCTGATGCTTCACATAGATATCTACTGATAGAGTGACTACACCCACCACCATTTAATCCTCAGAAACCAAAAGAGCTACTGAATTAAGTAAGAACACCCAGAGGACAGGGCCTGACTCAGTGGGCAATGCCATGGTAGCCATTTTCTTCATTATGCAGACAAAATGGAATGTTCAAAGAGTATTGTGTACCTTCCAGTGTAGAAATTGACATGACAGCTTCTATTCAGCAGAGAACCACACAAGACTTGGCTGTCTCTAATAGAATTACCAGGTTAAAAATGGAAATTAATGGGGAGGAATTCAGTCAAGGGCTTCAGGAAAGGCTGCACTGCCTAGCTCTCCCACTTCGGCTCTGGACACTCCATGGCTCTAGGACTTAGCTACTCTCCCTATTGCACCTGCATGAAGCCCCTGCCTGTCACTGGTTTCCATGATGGGGACCTCCCTAGGTTGTGAGGCCAGTCCAGGGTACAGCCATCTCTGCCCCAACGTATGTTTTTGAATAAATAACCCAAGCCTCACAGTGGCTTCCAGAGCTGGGAATATTCAGTTCAAGATTCTTAGAGGACAGCCAAAGACTTCACAGGAGAGAAGAGCTCTTATGTCTGAAGGGGCCTCTGGAGGACCATCCTGTGGCCTTTTTCTGGATCTCACTGGTCAAAGGCTGCCATGCTTGCCAACCCCTTATGGTGAAGGAGGCCGAGGGCAGGAGATCTGGTGTTAGGGATGGAGGGAGGCAGCCAGGGAGCCAGGTTTCCTGAGTAAAAGCAGAGTCTAACAGCCCAGATCACCAACAGTCTAGTGGCATTTCTAGAACCGCTGAGAACCTGGGCTCCCAGGGCTCATGGACCGGTCCCCCTCATTTTCTGAGAAGAAGTAAGCATCTCAGTTTATATTAGCTTTTGATATCAGTGTTATTAGAAATCCCTAGCATAACTAAAATATTTGACATTAGAGTTTAGAGGGGGAAATAAAGTAAAAATTAACCTAAAGAAAGTCAGAAAGGAGGATGACTGTAACTTAGTATGTAAGATAACTAGAAAGCACATAATATGTTAGAGTTAATTACCAGTAATTGTAAATACAATTAATGTCCAGTTGAAAGCAAGTTGTTGTCTGAGGTTTTTTCTTGAGACAGGTTCTCAACTCTGTTGCCCAGGCTGGAGTGCAGTGGCACAATTTCGGCTCGCTGCAGCCTCAACCTCCTGGCTTCAAGGAATTCTCCCACCTCTGCCTCCTAAGTAGCTGGGACTACAGGTGTGCGCTGCCACACCTGGCTAATTTTTTGTGTTTTTAGTAGAGACAGGGTTTCACTATGTTGGCCAGGCTGGTCTCAAACTCCTGACCTCAAGTGATACACCTGCCTTGGCCTCCCAAAGTTCTGGGATTACAGGTATAAGCCACTGCACCTGGCCTGAGTTTTTTTGTTTTTTTGTTTTTTTTGTTTTGTTTTTTTTAAAGGGACCACAGATGGCACCTTCCACTGGCTCTTCTTGCTCAGTCTCCCTGTGTCCCTTCCCTGCTGTCTTCTCAGGGACTGACCTCCCTGGTACCTGTCAACAGGCTCCAGTGCCCTCTGGTGTCTAGCTAAGGAGAGTCCCAGCAGGATATCAGAGAAAGGAACAGGAAAGAGTTCTCAGCATTTAAAACCTGGTTTCCTGTCACGATGTTGCCTTGGGCTGGCCAAGTTCTTACAAAAACAGATTTGGATAAAAGCACTTAGATGTTAGTTTATCTCAGAAAAAAAAAAGTAAAAATTAAAATTAGGACAGAGTCTTGCCCTGTCACCCGGGCTGCAGTGCAATGGCGCGATCTTGGCTCACTGCAAATTTGCCTCCCGGGTTCAAATTATTCCCCTGCCTCAGCCTCCCAAGTAGCTGGGATTATAGGCATCCACCACCATGCCCAGCTAATTTTTGTGTTTTTGGTAGAGACGGGGTTTCACCATGTTGGCCAGACTGGTCTCCAACTCCTGACCTCGTGATCCTCCGGCCTCGGCCTCCCAAAGTGCTGGGATTACAGGCATAAGCCACTGCACCCGGCCCTATCACAGGTAATTCTAAGGAAGCAGTGGTGAGGAGAAAAAAGGGAAGTAGGAAGAGTCACAGTAAGGTATCATCAAAGCTGTCACCACTGCCATCCAACAGAACCTCAGGTCCTTCAGGTGCCGCCTGGGATCAGTAGCCGAATTCAGAAGTCAGGAGCCTACCGGTTCATTTCTGAGTGCTGCCGCCAAAAGCATTAATGTCCCCCACCTTTTCTAGCCTATAAAGCCCAGTGGTCTCTGGGCACTGGAGAAAGCCTTGAGGCAAAACTGAAAGCTGCAAGCCTGCTGAAGGTGGAGGCTCACAGGGGGAGGAGCTGTCCAGCACAGATGTGGCTAGAGTCAAGAGTTGTGGTGGGGGTTTGACTCAAGGTTCAAGTGTGCCTGCCCCAGTGAGGGCACTGGGTAGCCAAAATAAACTGCTTGTTTCCATGGTTTCTTCTTCAGCCCTGTGACCTGGCCTCATGGGAGTGGGAGACTGGGAGTGGATAATTGAGCATGTCATGATTGGAGAGAGAGGAAATTGAAAGGACTCCATGGAGAAAACAGACCCTATGGAGGGCTTGACGGAGGGTCAGGAGGACTCCTCTACACCCTTAATGTAGAAGAAACATGCCTGCTTGGTAAGGGGTGGAACAAATGTGGCCAAAGAATCATACTGGGGGAAAAAAAAGTACAAGCAGAATTTTACTTTTAAAAACATCTTAAAAATTGTAAGTTGACAAGTTATATTTATAGGGTACAAAGTGATATCATGATTTACAAACACAATCAGAATTAAATCAAGCTTAACATATCACCTCAAATACTTTGAGCACATTTGAAATTTACTTAGCAGTTTTGAAACATACTCTTTTCACCACGTTGCACAATATATCCCAAAGAAAAACTTGTTTCTCTTGCGAATAGAGGCTTTGTACCCTTTGACCATCATCTTCCCATTTCCACACCCCTGCCCCCAAAAGATGTTTGATGACTCCAACCCACTTTCTGTCCCTACATGATTTCTCAGCTGGCAGGAGTAACACATGAAAAGCTAATCATTTTACCTCTCCACCCACAGCAATGTGTATGAGTGATCAAGTTCCTCTACATCATTACCAGCATTTTCTGTGGTCACTATTTTTTATTTTAGCCATTCTCATAGGTATATAGTGAAATCATTGTGGTTTCATTTTTCTGAGGACTAATGGTCTTGAAAATTGTATACTTAACTTGCCATCTGTCTCATGTCTTGCCTACCTTCTTTTTGTTCCAGCTTTGAAATATAATTGCCAAATTAAAATTGCATATATTTAAAGGTGTATACCTGTGATGTTTTGATATGTGTATCCATTGTGAGATGATTAACTTAACACACCCATCACTTTAGATTGTTACTTTTCCTGCATTAATATATAAGATATACTCTCAGCAAATGTAACAACCTGATACATCCCCAGAGATTTATGCTGACTGAAAAAAGCCAATCCCAAAATGTTACATAAGTGGAATCATAAGATGTGTAACATTTTTGCAATTAAAGTTATAGAAATGTCCAACAGATGAGTGGTTGTCAGGGGTTGAGGGAGTAGGTGGAGGGTAGAAGTGGGTGTGGCAGTAAAGGGGTAAGTGTGGGGTCTTGTGGTGATGAGATGTTTTGTATCTAGACTGAATCAATGTCATTATCTGGGTTATGGTATTGCACTATAGTTTCACAAGATACTACCATTGGGGGAAACTAGGTAAAGGGTATAATGTGATCTCTTCATATTTCTTACACCTGCATATGAGTCTACAGTTACCTCAATAGAGGTCATAATTTTTTAGAAAAGGAAAAAAGTTCTAGTTATCAGAAAGGAACCAAAAGGGACCTTTGCTTAAAAACTGGCAGGGGGAGGTGGCAGGAGAAATATCAAGTCATCTGTCAAATGTTCAGAAAGCTCAGCTTAGGGAATTTCTGTCCATGGAAGCAAGTTTTTTTGAGACCTAGTCATTTTGAACATTTCTAAAGCAGCAGCATAGGAAACTAACAGTCACATGTAAATGAATTGACTCCTAGGGTTGTTTTGAGGGTTATCGGTTTTAAGATAATGAAGCAGATACAGAAACACTAAGTACACATGTCCAAGGTCTTATTTAATAAGGCAGAGGTAGGATTTGAACTCAGGCAACTACAAATTTTACATTCTTCCCTGTACTTTGACAGGATCAGAAAAAGGGCAGGTACGTACAAGGTGAAATGAAATGGAACATAGCTATGACCAGAACCCATGCAGGGAGAATCAAGGGTTAGAAGGAGGTAAGCCTAGAAGGTGGGAATTAGGTTAGGGTACTGCTGTAGTCAACAGGGAGAAGGGGTCAAGTTGGTTTGAACCTGGATTTAAGCAGTAGAGCTGAATGAATATAGTTAAATTCAAGAGGTTTATAATTGGAATAACCCAGATTTGGTGATGGGTTAGATTTTTTTGAATGGTGGGGTTAGTGAAGAGTCAAGTAGAGGATTTTCAGCTTGATCATCTGGGTGCAGGGCACCACTGGAGAGAGACAAAAGGATAAGGGAGAAAGAGCAGGTTTGGGAAGAAAGAACATGCAATTCATTTAGGGCAAATTGGGTTGGAAAGAACTGGAAACATTCAAATATGCAGATGTGTACATGGGTCTGGAACTCAGTAAAGTCTTGGTCTGGGGGTGTACAAATTAGAAATGGGTGGGATAGATATTATACCCAGGCAGACCGTGCATCCTGGGAGGAAAGTCTAGAATCCACCATTTAAAGGAACATGGTGGAAAGAAAGTCAGCAAAGGAGATAAAGCAGCAGCCCCAGAGAAGAAATCCAGGGAAAAGTACCTAAGAGTAGAAAATGCCTGGGGAGGAGGAAGGAGAAGCACCAGGGTTGGACTCCAGCTAGAGAAGTCACAGGAAAACATGCAGAAATAGCATCTAAGGTTGAAGACACCCCCATCCCTTGGTGGAGAAGCCCACTGTGATGTGGTATGAATTTGGACACTAAGCAACCCTTCAAAGGTACTCCTTGAAGCCCTGGGGTGGTGTCTGGCCTCATAGTTTTGGAGAAAATAAAGAAGGAGAAGAACCACCTAGAGTCAAGCAGAACTGAAGAGTTCCAAGCCAGGATTTGTCAATAAAACAAACAAAAGGGTGAAAAAAAAAGAAAATGAAAAGAGAACAAGAAAGTTTATCCTCCAAAAACATCCAGGAGATATCAACAAGGTAAGAACAGCTTCTTGGAAGTTTTCTAGGATGCTTCAGTATTTATAAGAATCAATACATTTGATGTGAACAAAATTCACCTGGGCTCTATTTTCTTATAGAGGAGGCCTTTCAAGAGGTCAGCTGTAGGCTACAGTCACCCCCCATGATAATTTCACTTATGCAACTTGATCTAGGATCCATCCTCCTTCACCTCCAGATACCAGCCAAGGAACTCCACATGGGCTTTGTCTGCAGTATCCAGCTTGGAACCAAGACACAGGGATTTACATTCATTTCCTAGCCACAGCCTAAGAACCTTCCCCTGATCTTAAACTAGATTCCTCAGCAAGTAACCAAGATATCAATTGTTTCCTTCAACACTCTCCAGCAGAGCAATGAGAGAACAGGTCTGCAGCCCTTCTAGGTTCTCCAGGTTTCTGGAGCACCACTAAGACCGGGCCCCAACCAGATGAGCACCATAGCAAGACTGAATGGGCAACTGGGCCACCACTCCCAGGCCAGCTCCACTGCTGGAATGCTAAGAGTCAGACTTCCACCGCACCCTACCCTCCCAATTGCCCTACTGCCCTCCAGTTCAATGCCCTAAGGGCTGGGAAAGAATAAGTGGAACTCCAGATAGAAGATGCCTCTAACTTCCTACAGAGGAGGTCAGACATAGCGTTCTGTCTCCCTAGGATCTAATAAAGGCTAAGAGATACTCTTCTCATGCCCCAAACAGCATCTTCATGAGGATCTGGTCCCCTCTCCCTGGGAGGGAAATGACTGGGACTGAGATGGGTCTGCAGTGGGCAAGCCTTGCCCCCTTATCCCTCAAGTGTCACTGGAGGCTAGAGACATGAGGGGATGAAGGACACAGATGTAGAAGCAGGGCATGTCTGCTGTAGCCAGGAGCTGGTGCTTCTAGCACCTTCCAAATCATGGCTTCTATTCCACTGGGGGCTGAAGGAAAGGTCAGGATACTGGGGACATTTTAATAGCTTTACATTATGTTTCTATTGATAGAATGATTATGTATATGAAATAAATGGTACTTATTCCTGATACAATAGTTTTAGGCTACAACTTCAGACACACTTAAAGGAAACACTAATTTCAGGTAAATGGCATATCATTTCATCTTTTACATTACAAAGGATACATTTTTTCCCACACCCACATCTGTACAAAGGAACCCATCAGAAACTGAAAGCTAGTGGGATGGGATTGAAGAAAAATTGCCAGTTTGTCTTTGCGACTTTCTCTTAAACATCTATCATGGATGATTAGGGTCACCAAATTGAAGGCCATACAAGAAAAGATAACCAGGCTAAAAGAGATCAGACCCACCACACCAGATGTGCCCTCCCTACCTCTTGAGCACCTAAAGGCACATGTGAGGCAGTCAAAGAAGGAAGGTAACAACGCAGAGGGTCAAGTCTATGTGAACTCGGGGAATCTTAACCTCTTAAAGTCCAATTCTAAGGGAGAACCTTCCTTCCAGACCAGGCTGCCCCACTGACTTCTCCTTCAGTCAGTGGTCAGATTTGGGTTATTTCAGCAGCAATCAGAGCTCTGCTCTTGGGTGGAGAGCCCTTGGTAGGGGGATCATTTAAGGACTTTGCCCCTCTCTAGAGGGCCCAGCTCTCAGATGAGCCACGATACATTTCATTGACAGCAGTGCCTTCTCTCTCTAGGGAGACTGGTTGCCCTTCAGAGTCATGGCACCAGCAGGTGACCTGCGTTCTTTGGAGATAAGACCCCTTACACCGTTTGACATGGGTGAGAAATGTGGTCTAGAAGCAGCTAAAGGCTGTGGATTCTCCATTGGTGGAGAATCCATCTGTTTTGGAAGCCAGCAGAGCCATGCCCTGGATTCCTACCTGGAGAAATGGCACCCCCTGACTTTTAAGCTTAGCACAGTAGACCTGCTACACACTGCTGCAGCTGCAGTCAGCTGCCTTACCTGGCAGCCTTCACCTCATGGCCTTTTTATTACTAACATCAAGGGCAATGATTGCTTCTTCTTAAATGGAACCTCTGGCCCAGACTTGGTTGGGATCAGAGGAGCTGCTTCTAGCCTCACAAAACCATCTGTGGTTGATTGCAAGACAAACAGTTTTCATAGCTGGGGACACCACTGAACCTCTTGCCTACCCCTGCCTGAATCAGATGCCCAACAGCAGAAGTGACTGGGCAGAGCATGCAGAACCTGAACTGCAAGTCCGTGTCCACTGAGGACACCGCGCAGAGCACCTGTACCTTCCCAGGAATGTGTAGTGCTGTTTAGGACCTAAAATGGATTTCTTTGGCTTGTGCTACAAAGACCTTTAGTTGAGAGTTCCAAAAGCCTGTGGCTTTTCCATCTCCGGACATCAGTAGGCAATGGAAGAATAATTGCCACTTTTTGCCTTTGAGTAACAAATCAAGGTTCTGCCATGGTGACATCTTGTCGTTGGAAGATGCCTGAAGTCTGCCGAGGTCACAGACTCACTTTGATTTATTTTGGGAGAGGCTTCCAACTGAGAAGGAAGCCAGCTCTGCAGGTCTTTTGTGCTTCTGCCACGAGACACGGAAAAAAAGCACTTCTTGTTCAAAAGCCACCATCAAATCCAAACATAGAATATGTGGTGGGATAGAGGTGGGGTGGCTACCTTCATGCTTGACCGACAACAGAGGCCATGGGAAGTGAGTGCTATAGCATGGGTGAACCTTGATGACACGTGCTGAGCAAAAGAACCAAGACAAAGGCCACATGTGGTAAGATTCCATTTACATGGACTATTCAGAATTGGCAGCTCCATAGGCACTGTAGAGCAGTGCCCACCTAGAGCTGGGGCAGGGGAGTAAAGGATGCCAATGGGTACAGGGTTCTAAAGTCAGGTAGTGGTGATGGTTTAACCGCCTCGTGAATATACTAAAAACCCAAATTATATACTTAAATTGGGTGAATTTTATGTTCACCCATTTAACATAATTGGTTACGTTCTGTTAACCTGTTAGACATGTTAGCTGGCCTCTACCAGTCACCCGAGGACTGGCACAGTGGACACAGAGGCAGTGGTGTCCATGACAGAGGCTGCATGCAGGCCCAAAAGTATGGTCCACTCAACTCCTGCAGCCTCTATGGCCGGCAGGGTGGACATAGTCTTGAGTCCCTGCCATTGCCCCATGCCTCAAGGAGATGAGATGGCTGCCTGGAATCACATATACTCAGTTGGATTCTTTGAGGGGAGAGCAATTTGTTCTCACATTAACGGACACACATTCTGGGCATAGATGTGCCTTTCCTATCATCAGAACATCTAAGCAAGAACTGCTTTTGTGGAGGGAGTTACTGGATGGCCTGACCCATAGCATGGGCTAATATCGTATCTGACGATCAGAGTTACTTTGTAGCAAGGGATGTGCGGGAGACTCTTGGGACTGGCAGGTGGCATCACATGCTGCACTATCTGGACACTGTTGGCCTCAGAGCATCACAACAGCCTCCTGGACGTGCAAGCTAAGGCACTAGCTCAGATCAATCCTTAGGCAAAGATTGTGCCATCCTCCTGGATGTGGAATAGGAAGTGAAATAGATGGCTTTGTGGGGTGCATCCCCCTAAGAGAGGGCGAATGGATCTGAAGGTCAACAGATAGAAACAGGCAAGGCCCTGCTTGCCATAACTTGCAGTGACCCCCTGAGGGACCACGTGCTTCCTATTCTTGCAGCTCTTAGCTCTGCAGAGTTCCTCAAAAGCAGCACATGCTTGCCAGGGAACCTGGCAAGGGTCCCATGGGAGCTCAAGTCATGGCTGCTGCTTGGATACTTTGGGGTACAGGGTGTCTATGACCACCAGGCAAGAAAAGGGTTCATCACCTTGGTAGGAACATTGGCCCTGTCAAAATGAGATAGTTTTGCTGTGACACAAGGTGGAAGAGTGGAGATACTGCACACTCAGTTAGCCCTCCGAGACACTTGGTTCTTCCTTGTTTGGCTGTGACTGAATGGAGTACAGCAACACCAGCCTGAGAGAGAAAGGCCAGCAGGGGCTCCGGCCCCTCAAGAACGAGGGTCTAGGTAAGCCACAGAGAGAAATACAGGTGTCAGAGAAGTGAGTTTGGAATAATTAACTATAGCCTGGTTCCAGAAGTTGATCGTGGGCCACAAGAGGTGATCACCTTCCTCCTCCTCCATTGTTCTTCCTTAATTCTAAGGTTCCACCACTCACCACCCTCCAGAAGAAAGGCCCACAAGTGGCTGCAAAAACTGATGCTCCGCACATGTGGAGAGATGGACCCATGTGGCACAAAGTGATTGGCTGTGACAGCCACAGAAGTGTACACCTTGGATCACCCTTTAAGAAGGTGTGTGTTCACCTTCCAGGTGAACAGTTGTCTGACAGCCTCTAGCTCTCAGCATCTTCAGGGTTCTCAGCCTCTGAATTGGGGATATATTCTTCCTGGGAAGGCCCTGCTGACAACTGAGCATGGTGGGTACTAGGGCCTGGCCGTCTCTGCCCAGTGCAGGGCTCTCATAGGGCAACTTGTGCTCTGGAGTTCCCATCATCTGCCTTGTGTTCTGGGTCCAGCTAGGAGGGTGAAGTTGGTGAGAATGAGGAAGCTGGTGAAGTAAGGAAAGGTGAGAAGCAATGTAATGCAGTCCCATTCTGGCTACCCTGTCTTGAGGGGGTATAAATTGACATCCACATTGCTCAACAGGTGCAGGTCTAAGTTGACATCCACATTGCTCAACGGGTGCATTCACTGGGCCTAGAAGGGTCACAATGAGTAATTGCACTTTTGAGTCATCCATGAAGAGAAACAAAAGTGCATCTGCCTGGACCCTCAGTTTTCTGTCCTCACGGGTCAAGGCTTATCCTGTGAAGAGCTGCACCCTGCACCTGTAGCCCCTTCAGCATTTTCCTGGAAACCCAAATCTCATATTTCATGTTATGATGTTTCAACCAGGTCTGAATGCAGAAGGACAACAAGCAACAGGCCAGCTTGTCACCCAAGACAGAGATGGTCAAAAAATCCTAGAAGGTGTTCAAATTGTGACCAACATGCTCTGCCACCATAAATAAGACATCCTGTGAAGTCTCATAAGTGGAACAAGTCCATGTCAGAAGCAAGCAGCTGCTCAGGAAGCCTTCCCTTCGAAAGGCATGCCTTAGCCCTGATTCCCACAGTGACTAGCTGATGTGCCTAGCATATCCGCAGCCATGGGTTTAGCACCAAAACAGGCAACACTCACTGGTGTGGAGGCTAGAGAGCTCATGGTGTG
This sequence comes from Homo sapiens, assembly GCF_000001405.40. Classification (NCBI taxonomy): domain Eukaryota; kingdom Metazoa; phylum Chordata; class Mammalia; order Primates; family Hominidae; genus Homo; species Homo sapiens. The sequence continues at coordinate 139,553,371 of NC_000008.11, read as the reverse complement.
GTCATTAGGTGCCATATGGAGACTAGCTTCAGGAGAGAAGTTCCAGCCAGATATATGGAGGAGGAGAACATAGAATAGCAAGACATGGAGTAGAGTCCCGTTGCCTACTTGGAATAGGGGAGTATTCAGGCCAAGGCTCCAGCTTCATTTCTTCTGAGCACTATCTCATGCCAGCATCTCAGCACAAACTTCTACGGGCCCTTCTCTGCCTGAAGGCTTTTGACTCTGAGAATGCTCCTTTATTTGTTATGCCTTCTGGAGTCCCCTCTGGTCTGTGTCCAGTGAACTGGGTATGTGGGATCATCCCAGGACATGGAGATCTGGTGGTGCAAGTATCAGGAAGCAGCCCTCACCCTGCATTGATGTCAGGGGAGTCCAGTGAAGACCTGCTCCAATGAAAGTCTTTCAAAGAATCAGTAAGGACTTTCTCTCCATTGTAAGAGAGCTGCTTGTATGTTCTGAAGCACTTGTCCTTCTCTATGGGCTCTGCTACTGTGAGTAGTGCTAGTGAAACACAGAAAAATGAAGCTAACCTAGAAGAATCCTGACTTCATTGGATAAGGTCACCGTGGGAACACATTCCTCTAATCTAATCAGTAGCTTTCACATTTGACCCCTCTCAAAGGTCTGCCCATGAAAAGATGCACACATGCCACAAAAAACATCTCACTCCAAATTCCAGGATGCCTAGGGAAAGCAACTCAGTCTGGAAAATGGTCCTCTTTGGCTTTTGCTCTAAGTACTTAAACCTTCAATTACATCCATTCTTTTACAGAGCCATGAGTTACCTCTCCATGGATGTACCTTTTCTGAGCCTCACCAAGAACACACATCCTTCCAAAAGCTGGGTAAGACTCATTTTATGGGACAGTGATATGGTTTGGCTGTGTCCCCACCCAAAATCTCATCCTGAATTGTAATCCCCATAATCCCCATGTGTCTAGGGTGAGACCAGGTAAAGGTAATTCAATCATGGGGGTGGTTTCCTCCATGCTGTTCTTGTGATGGCAAGTTCCCACGAGATCTGATGGTTTTAAAAGGGGCTCTTTCCCGCTTCACTCGGCACTGCTCCTTTCACAGCTGCCTTGTGAAGGTGCCTCACTTCCCCTTCACCTTCTGCCATGATTAAGTTTCCTGAGGCTTCCCCAGCCATGCTGAACTGTGAGTCAATTAAACCTCTTTCCTTAGTAAGTTACCCAGTCTCAGGCAATTCTTTATAGCAGTGTGAAAAACCAATACAGACAGATTAGCATTCTTTCTGTAGAGTGGGTAGGATAGACATTTGCCTACTGAAGAGGAGCCAGGGATCTTTAGACCTCTGTAAGTATACTGATATTCTTCCAAGGAAGACAGAGGAACATCATTCCCAGAGTTCTTATGTACCATCAGCAGAAATTCTTCCAGGAAATCTGAATCAGGTTGACCACAGTATGATGCAAATCAAGCCAAGGACAGAGTGGCACCTTCACACAGTCTCAGCTATGGTGTGTGTGTGGTGGTGGGGGGGGAGATCAGCTTTTCATGGGCTCTAGTGGGCCACGCTACAGCCCATGTCAAAGCAATTGGTCTCAAAGCCACATTGGTACCCAGTCTCCCTCCTCCACTTTGAATTTCCTCTGACCCTCAGCCACAGCTTCTACTGGAGTTACTGGCTTAGGTGGTATGAGCTCATCCTCACCTTTGAGAGGTGTGAGCCTCTGGTGGTCAAACCTTTCTCAGGCTGGATCATTGTACTTGTCCACTCACCAGCATAAGTGGGTGACTGAGGCACTTGTCCTTCTCTATGGGCTCTGCTACTGTGAGTAGTGATAGTGAAATACAGAAAAATGAAGCTAACCTAGAAGAATCCTGACTTCATTGGACAAGGTCATCATGGAAACACATTCCTCTAATCTAATCAGTAGCTTTCACATTTGACTCCTCTCAAAGAGGAGAGACTTTTGTAGTCTTTCGACTACAAAAGAGTCTCCAGGTAGATCACCTGAGAAACACATGCTTCCCTCCCTTTCTTCCTTATAATTGCAGTTCTACCTGTACCTGATGGTCAGAGCAGTCACCTCCCATCATCCTGGTGATACCTATCCTTGCCTGATTGTCCCTGGATGTCAGTCCAAACTACCTGGGCTGTTGTCATAGCTTATACTTCAATGGGACTCTTGCTCTGTCCCTTGGCAAGAATAAACCCTCCCATTGGGATTGGGATCTCCAATCCTGCAGATCACAGAGTTAGAGAAGGTAAGCACAAAGTTTCCCATGAGTCATAGGGGATGACGGTAAGTGGGGCTACACCTATTTCTATCTGTTGGTTTCCAGAATCATGCGTGCTTTCTACTGGAGTAGAAGGCCATAAAGAGTTCTCAAAACTGAGCATACATTTCTACATCCTGGTTGACAGCACCCAGCTGCAGCATCACCTCCAAGCTAGTGCTTCAGTTCCATGTCCTTTACCTTCTGCCATGAATGTAAGTTTCCTGAGGCCTCCCAAGCCATGCTGAACTGTGAGTCAATTAAACCTCTTTCCTTAATAAGTTACCCAGTCTGTTAATTCTGAGTATGGCAGGCCATTACTTTACTTTGTCAGGACAGCTCTGTGTGGTGCTGGAAACAGACATGACTTCGTCTAGAACCCTGTGGATCTGCAGTGTTATTTTTCCCCATGGGGGTTTGCCACAAACTTTACAACGTACCCTTTTCCCACCATTGACATCTCTACCAACTCAGGGTCTACTTTATTGTATGGTCTGAATGTCAGGGCCAGCCTCGACTGCTGCAGAGCCTTTTCCTGCTTGCAGCCTCACACAAAGCCAGCAGACTTGTGTGTCACCCAGGATCTGGGCTGAAACAGTACATCTAGCTTTTGAGTAAGGCCTCTTGGAAATCTAGAGACTAATCTGGCATTGCAATTCTTTGTGGTAATAGATGTAAAATGCCACAATTCCTCTTCCCCTTTCAGCATGCCTAAGATTTGGGGATTGCTTGTTCCAGCAATTAGCAAACTCTGGTGCTTATTGTAAAGAAATAGGACATTGGAAGAACAAATGCCTTCAAGCTTAAAAAAAAAAAAAAAAAACAAGGTGACTCAGAGCAGGAGGCCCCAGACAAGGAGGAAGGGGCCCTGCTCAACCTGGCAGAAGGGTTATTGGACTTAGGGGGACCAGGCTCAAGTGCCTCTGAAGAGCCTATGGTCAGAATGACAGTCAGGGTTAAAGACATTGATTTTCTTTTAGATACCAGTGCTGAACATTTGGTAGTAACTGCCCCGGTCACCCCCTTATCCAAAAAGACTATTGACATAATTGGAGCCATGGGGGTTTCAGCAAAGCAAGCTTTCTGCTTGCCCTGGACTTATACTGTAGGAGGACATAAAGTGATTCATCAGTTTTTGTACATGTCTGACTGTCCCTTGCCCTTGTTGGGAAGGGACTTGCTTAGCAAGCTGAGAGCCACTATTTCTTTTACAGAGCATGGTTCTTTGCTGCTAAAGTTACCTGGAACTGGAGTCATCATGACCCTTACGGTCCCCCAAGAGGAGGAATGGAAACTTTTCTTAACTGAGCCAGGCCAAGACATAAGACCAGCTCTGGCTAGGCAGAGGCCAAGAGTATGAGTGGAAGACAACCTCCAGTGTTGGCAGTCAACCAAGTCCCTGTACTTATAGAAGTTAAGTCTGGGGCCCAGCCCATTAGGCAAAAACAGTATCCAGTCCCCAGAAAAGCTCTTAAAAGGTATCCAGATCCATCTCAAACACCTAAGAACTTTTGGAATTATAGTTCCTTGTCAGTCTCCATGGAACACTCCCCTCCTGCCTGTTCCCAAGCCAGGAACCAAGGACTACAGGCTGGTACAGGATTTGCACTTGGTTAATCAAGCTACAGTGACTTTACGTCCAACAGTACCTAACCCATACACATTGTTGGGGTTGCTGCCAGCTGAGCACAGCTGGTTCACCTGCTTGGACCTAAAAGACGCTTCCCCAAGGGTTCAAGAACTCCCCCACCATATTTGGGGAGGCATTGGCTGGAGACCTCCAGAAGTTTCCCACCAGAGACCTAGGCTGCATATTGCTCCAGTATGTTGATGACCTCTTCCTGGGACACCCCACGGCAGCCAGGTGTGCCAAGGGAACAGATGCCCTACTCTGGCACCTGGAGGATTGTGGGTATAAGGTGTCTAAGAAAAAAAGCTCAGATCTGCTGACAGCAGGTATGTTACTTGGGATTTACTATCTGATGGGGAGTGCAGCCTGGGATCAGAAAGAAAGCAGGTTATTTGCAATCTACCAGAGCCTAAGAGCAGAAGGCAAGTGAGAGAATTCTTAGGAGCTGTGGGGTTTTGTAGACCGTGGATCCCAAACTTTGCGGTATTAGCCAAGCCTTTGTATGAGGTCACAAAGGTGGTGGGGGGACGGGGAAACTTTTGAATGGGGATCTCAACAACAGCAAGCCTTTCATGAGTTTAAGGAAAAACTTATGTCAGCCCCAGCCCTGGGGCTACCCGATCTGACAAAGCCTTTTACGTTGTATGTGTCAGAGAGAAAAGATGGCAGTTGGAGTTTTAACGCAAACTATGGGGCCCTGGCCGAGGCTGGTGGCCTACCTCTCTAAACAACTAAACAGGGTTTCTAAAGGATGGCCCCCCATGTTTGAGGGCCTTGGCAGCAACTGTTCTGCTAGTACAAGAAGCAAATAAGCTGACTCTTGGGCAAAACCTGAGCATAAAGGCCCCCCATGCTGTGGTGATTTTAATGAATACTAAAGGACATCATTGGCTAGTGAATGCTAGACTCACCAAGTACCAAAGTTTGCTCTGAAAATCCCTGTATAACCATTGAAGTTTGTACAAGTTTGTACCCTGAACCCTGCCACCTTGCTCCCTGTATCAGAGAGCCCTGTCAAGCATGATTGTGTAGAAGTGTTAGACTCAGTTTACTCTAGCAGACCTGACTTCTGGGACCAGACTTGGGCATCAGTAGACTGGAAACTATACGTGGGCAGGAACAGCTTCATCAACCCACAAGGAGAGAGATGTGCAGGGTATGCAGTTACAACCCTGGACACTGTTGTCGAAGCCAGATCGTTGCCCCAGGGCACTTCAGCCCAGAAATCTGAACTCATTGCTTTAATTCCAGCCTTAGAACTCAGTGAAGGTAAGACTGTAAACACTTACACTGATTCTCAGTATGCCTTCCTTCAAGTGCATGGAGCATTATATAAAGAAAAGGGCCGATTGAACTCTGGGGGAAAAGACATAAAATTTCAACAAGAAATCTTGCAATTATTAGAAGTGGTATGGAAGCCCCACAAGGTGGCAGTTATGCATTGCAGAGGACACCAGTGAGCTTCCACCTTGGTGGGTTTGGGGAATTCCCACGCTGACTCAGAGGCTCAAGAAGCAGCATCTGCCCCCTTCCAGGCATCAGTCACAGCCCCTCTGCTCCCTCAGGCTCCTGATCTTGTACCTATTTATTCTAAAGAAAAGGACTTTCTCCAGGTAGGGGGAGGACAAGTGATGGAGGAAAGGATGGATTCAGTTACCAGATGGGAGAGTAGCTGTACCACAGCTGCTGGGAGCTGCAGTTGTACTGGCTGTGCATGAAACCACCCATCTAGGTCAGGAGTCACTTGAAAAGTTGTTAGGCCCATGTTTCTACATCTCGCATTTGCCCGCCCTTGCCAAAACGGTGACACAGTGGTGTGTTACCTGCCGACAGCATAATGAAAGGCAAGGTCCAGCCATTCCGCCTGGCATACAAGCTTATGGAGCAGCCCCCTTTTAAGATCTCCAGGTAGACCTCACAGAGATGCTGAAGTGTGGAGGTAACAAGTATTTACTAGTTCTCGTGTGTACCTACTCCGGGTGGGTGGAGGCTTATCCAACATGAACTGAGCAAGCTCGTGAAATAACCCGTGTGCTTCTTTGAGATCTTATTCCTAGATTTGGACTGCCCTTACGGATTGGGGCTCAGATAACAGGCTGGCATTTGTGGCTGACTTGGTACAGAAGATGGCAAAGGTATTGGGGATCACGTGGAAACTGCATGCCGCCTACCAGCCTCAGTGTTCCGGAAAGATGGAGCAGATGAATCGGCCTATCAAAAATAGTTTAGGGAACATATGTCAGGAAACAGGAATAAAATGGATACAGGTTCTCCCTATAGTATTATTTAAAATTAGATGTGCCCCTTCTAAAAAAACAGGATATTCCCCTTATGAAATATTATATCATAGGCCCCCTCCCATATTGTGGGGACTTCCAGGCACTCAGAGTTAGGTGAAATTGAGTTACAGTGACAGCAACAGGCTTTAGGAAAAATTACACAAACAATCTCAGCCTGGGTAAAAGAGATGCCCTGTTATTCTCCCCAGTTCACCATTTCTCCCTAGGTGATTGAGTGTGGATCAAGGACTGGAACGTAGCTTTTTTGTGACCACAGTGGAAAGGACCCCAGATTGTCATCCTGACCACTCCTACCGCTGTGAAGGTAGAGGGAATCCCAGCCTGGATCCACCACAGCCGTGTAAAACCCACAGTGCCTGAAACCTGGGAGGCAAGACCAAGCCCGGACAGCCCTTGCAGAGTGACCCTGAAGACAACAAGCCCTGCTCCAGTCACACCCAGAAGCTGACTGGTCCATGCATGGCCGAAGCAGGAGGAAACTCATCGTGGAACTCACTTTTCTTAAATTTTGGACTTGTACAATAAGGACTTCAACTGACATTCCTCAGACTGAGGTAGGGCAAAAAGTTAAAACAGTCTTTTTGTTTAAAAGGGACTTGTGTGTATAATGCCACCCAGCACAAGGTATGCATCCCAGGAAGTGACCAATCCCCATTGGAAAACAGGAGAGTATGTAACTCTAGGAGTCAATGGAACTGGACTGGCAGGAAGACCTGGGTAATGTAGATGAGAGTGAGAACTCCCAATAGTGAGTGAGGTTCTCAAAGGGGGGAAGGAGGCGAGAAGCCATTTCTCTTACCGTCTGTCTCTGAAGAGGAGGAAGAAGTAAAATTTGAAAAACAGGAATGAAGTCAGTGGCAAGACCAGCCGGTGCCACTGATGACCCACCTTGAGGTTAAAAGGTTAACGCCCCCCCCAAACTCTAACCACATGTGATCTCAATCCATCATGACCCTTTCACGTGGAACTTCTTAGAGTTGTAAGCCCTTAAAAAGGGCCAGGAACTCTGTCTTTGGGGAGCTCAGCTCTTAAGACGCTAGTCTGCTGACACTCCCGACTGAATTAAAAAAACCCTCTTCCTTCTTTAATCCGGTGTCTGAGGAGTTTTGTCTGTAGCTTGTCCTGCTACAGTTCCTAGAATTCTTGTAGAATTTCTCCCCCACCCTACCCTCTGAGGTCCAGGTTTTTTATGCCAAGGCCTCCCCCATGCTGACCCCCCTCTTGCTCATCTTTCACAATCAGCATATTGTTAAAGTAATGGACTACTGTGACATTCTACAGGATTCTCAGACAATTCAGTCTTCTTGAACTATGATAGAGCAGGGACACTTATACAGTCTTGGAACAAAACAACGCATATTGTTGAATGTTCTATGTGAATGCAAGCAATTCTGTTTACCCCCGTACTGAGACTTCAAGTAGTGCATTTGGCAAGTCAGCATGTGCATAGCATGTACCCGATACTGCACAGCACCAATCTGTGCTAGCAACAATGCTATGTCTGGCACAGCAGCTAGGATCATTTCTACTTTCTTGAGCTCATGGTGGCCCACAGTCCTTTTGCAGGCTCTTTCCAGTTTCTGTGGAGGAAAGACAGGTAGCAAAAATGGAGATGTGGGAAGGATAGCCACACCCACACATCCTTTATCACCCTCAAGAGTGGGGTAAATCTTTGCTGTCACTGTGCCCCTCGCCCCAGCATACAATCTGTTTTTGATTTGTTATCCTGTTGAAAAAGGGGGCAGTTTAAGCAGCTTCCACTTGACCTTGACTACAATGACAGCTCTTACTCTACAGGCCAAGGACCCAAATGTGAAGGTCTCTCCGACTCAAGGATATCATCCTCAGTCATATTTTACAGGGACTAGGGAAGGAACCACAAGTTGTGTCTGAAGATGCACTAGACCCAGTGGAAGCTGGACCTTATCCAAGTGGCCACTTGGGAACTGGTCACAAATGCTTCCATCTAACCAAGTGTCATGATGATGGTAGCAGTTTTGGGTAACACCACATCTCTCATGTTTAAGTAATCCTTGAAATGGCTGGGTTTTCTCTTTCCTCAGGGTACAGCCCCATAAAATGGTCAGTTTCTTTGGAAAACAACTAGTAAAATCAATATAATTTTGGTCTTGCTGATTCTTTGGAAATCTGTTACCTCGTCAGTTGATGGGTTCTGGGTCTTAAGAGTTGTCATAGGTCCAGGAATTGGGTAAGGAATCAGGACTATTTTAGTACTCCTCTCAACTTCCTGTTCTTCCTTCTTGCTTTCTTTTGATTACATCCTTGGGGCAAAACAGGTCAGCCAAGTACTACTTCTTAGTATGACATTTTCTAATGATTGTCTTTGTTTTCCCCACGTCATGGCCCCTTGGCTACAGCAGTCACCTTGCTAGTCATGAGATGTCTAGCTGTGGCTGCCTGACTTCTGTTGCTTAGATGGGAGTAGCGTATGGAAGAGTCCCCATTGCTAACAGCGGGACAAATTCCATGGACTCCTCTCCTACCACCAGCCTTGGTCTACACAGGAGATGCCACTGCACTTCTCAGTGATGCTGTGCCCCTCACTGGTGCATTGCTGGTGGTCTTCGTGAAGCACATGTCGTCTGGGCCATTGCATAATCTCCTACTTGTCTTCTGAACTCACATTGTACACCACCCTGGCATGCCCACTATCCTGAGCACCATCTTTTCCTCTGCTGTCTGCCACAGGGACTCTGGCACTTCAACTTTGCTCACAATGGGCTTCCCCAGGCTTCTAGTTGACACCTGGCAGCGAGTTCACACCATCCTATGGTGTCCTTGCCAGAGTGTTAGATTCTGTATCTCAAGAAAGTGTCAAGTCGACAAGCTCATCTAATTCCAGCCCTGCTGATCAAGCATCTTTGAGTACTGCCCTGGCACCTGTGGGCATACACTGGCCAATTTTTGCTGTGATCAACTCTGGTTCCCTTGTCTCACCTGCTTCTGGGCCCACGTGGTGGGAACTTGACCACTGCATCAGCAGTGCAGGCTGTGTGATGAGCACTCCCTGGCTTCTGTTGTGAAGCCAGAGGAGACTTCTCTGTCTCGATTCACAGCCAAGGCAGGTAGGAGTGTTGTGTTCCAGGAAGGCCCATGGCAAATCTTCCAGGAGACACTGGCCTCTTGCATATTAAGGCCAAATGATTCCCAGAGTGAGAACTAAAGACCCATAGGTCTGCTCTACCAGGGAAGAGGCCATCTCTTGGGAGGAGCACTAGATGTAGCCAGTGGGGAGCTTCAGGGTTCTTCTGGCCTGAGGAGGGACTTTGGCCTTTGTAGCCACAGGGAGACTTGGTCAGCTGACATGGAGTGTGGGCAGAGGGGAGGGTCCAGGAACCTCAGGCCGTGGAACCCCCAAGCCAGGTTGGCCCTTCCCAATGTTCCTCCTTCCCACCTGGCCCAGGGGCTGATACAGGTTCATCTCCTCTTCCTGCAACTGAGCTTTGGGCTCAGTCTAATCTTGGCTGTGTGGGTGGTGGGGGCAGAGCCTATGGCTCTGCCTAGAAGGCCATTTCCTGTTCTTGGGTTAACATCCAACCACTCAGCCCTAGTACATGCTACAGAACCAGAGGTCCTTCGTTTTGTGTTTCCCAGCCCCAGCCCTTACCAGGAATATGGAATTGTGCAGTGGGCATTTCAGAAGCCCCACCAGGACCATTTAATTAGGACTGAACATGAACTTGGAGATGAATTTAATGAGGACTGAACATGAACTTGGAGATGAGCTGTCTTGGACCTGCCTCCTCCTCCACTTGCTCTGTGGCTCTCAGGCCCTCTGGAGGCCCCATGGATGTCTCTCCCTGCCAGTGGCTGGGGTACAGTTCCCCAGATCCTGGGGGAAGGGGACAGGGACGGGAGGAAAAGATGTTAATCAAGAAGAACAAATTTTCTGTTAGGTGGGAGGGACAACTCTTAGTCTACTGTACTACATAGATGAACAGTTACCATACTGTATATTTCAAGATTTTTCATAGATTTAACATTTTTGTTGCAAAAATGAGTTAGTGAAGTGACATTGGTTAGCTTGAAACTTTCTGCAATGTATATGTAGATCAAAACATCACATCGTTCCCCATAAATATACGATGAAAAAGCAGGTGCCCAGAGGTTCAACTGCCCCTCTCACACAACTCACTGTTGCATGTGGACTAGCTTCCAACACTATCAAGAACAGTAGAGGGAAAAAGTCCACAGGCACAGAGGCCCTGTTAAGATCTAGAAGCTTAGGTAGCAGTGTCTGGTAGCAGCAGCCACAGCAGCAGAGAGAGGCCCTTAGGCAAGCCAAGCCCCTGCCCTGGGTCTGGGTCCCACTGCCCTGGGGCTTGGCACAGTCCTGGCCATACCTGCTGGCCCCTGGCTTCCACCTCCAGGCCACTGCGTTGCTCCGTTTTCTTGGCAACTTAGAATTTCCTTTGTCATGATATGTACCGATTTCCACTGGAATGTATGCAGCTCTATTTGCTTTGAGCCAAGGTTTTCCTGTCACTACAAGTTAGCATGGTTATATTTGCTAAATTATTTACACAAAAGTGATGCTACACTAATGTAAAGCTACAGGAATTTCCCATATTCCAGCTATAAGGTACCTATAAATTAACATTTCTATTTTATGACAACCCACCACAATACTTTGAAATTGAGTTCACAGAATAATATTGTAAGTTATGAAGAGTTTTCTGAGCAAAAAGTACTTGATGAACTTAATCTCATACCAAGGCAAGATTATACCTGGCTCCAGACTGCCCTAGTAAATGAATCCTACAGACTGATTTTTAGCTTGATGCATGTTTCTTAGTTTACTTAAATTAAGACTTAAATTACTGAAGTTTCCACATAAATGGAGTTTGAGAGTAGCCACCTAGGAGGTCTGTTGTGAGAATTAGAAGACAATGTTTGGTAGAGTACTTACTAATTAAATGGCTTCTATTTTCATTTTACTGTTACCCATAATGTCTATGGTGATTGATGATGATTATAATCTCTCCACACAAACTGCAACTCCTTATTTCAGCAATGCAGTAGTGATTTATGGCTTAATACAATCAGCTCGAAGAGAGGAACTATAGAATTCCTTGCAACATCATGCTTTTCTCTACAAGTGAATAAATGCTGAAGTGTTAAGCTGTTAGCTTTGACTTCCAGGTACTTTTCTTTGGTTGCAATTTGTTTCCTCTAACATTAAGGAGAAAACAGAAAAGCTGAAATAACTTTATAGTTATCTACCATTTAATTGCCACAGTTTACATTTTCTAAGCAACATTTGCTTTATTGTGTATGTATCCAAAAATTTCATTTTTGATAAATTTTGAAATGAGTTATCGGCATTGGCTCTTGCCCCTAAATACCTGTTATTCAATAATTGAGCTCAAGTTCAATATTTATTACTTTTAAGAAGTCACATGAAATGTACAGATCTGCAGTGTGCCATTCAATGGGTCTTGGTAAATGCAAGTACCAGTAACCCAATCCCCACAAGATTACTTCTATTCCAGAAGCTTCCCTGAAGACCTTTTCCAATCACCCCCCCCCCCTTTACATCTCCTTAAAGGCAACCATTAGTTTGGACTTCCCACCTCCCCACCCTGTTCCCTACTATAGATTAGCTTTACATGTTGTAGAACTTCATGTTAATAGAATTATATAATATATTCACTGTATAAAAAGCTTCCTTCTACAGCTTTTGCTTTGTGGGTTTATAAACCTAGAGATTTCATATAAAAATCCAGATTCCTAGTTTTTTTAAGGGAATGATCCAACAACGCTGGGCCTGAATTCACATACGGTAAAAGTAACTGAATTGAGAAGCAATTTTTTTCACTAGGTCCTGACCTGCTTAGTTCACCACAGGCTGCCCAGGTGCTCTGCCCTTATCTAAACCCCATGCCTGGCTTCAGAGGCATTCAAGTTTGTAACCTCTGCATTGAGGAAAGGAAGATAGACACCCCAGGACATATACTTCATGCTCTGTTTCTCAGGTCATAGGTCTGTATAAGCCAATTCAAAGGTGTGCACCGAGATGAAGGTGGCAGGATGGGGGTCTTGGTAGGGTACCTACATCATCTATTGCTCAGCACAGTGTAGGATGCAATTCTCAGTGTCTACTTCAACTAAGATTTTTAGAATCCAAAAGAGTTGACTAGACTCTCAAGATTAAGACTGGCTAAGCTACTTACAGACAAATAAACTATCACTTGGGTTGACAATTTATAAACTTTCAACAGGACATATGTTTTCAGAAAACAAACAAACAAAAAAAACACATGTCTATCCTTTTCACTCCAGCAAGGACAGCCCTTTTTCAATATACCAAAATACAAGGCAGATGCCTTTACCCCTTATTTAGTACCTTCTTGATGTGAACTGTGGTCACCAGTTCCTTCATTATACCAAAGATGATATTGGCCGAGACCCCTAAGCAGAGGAGAGAATCAGCTATGACCAACATAGGGGTTGTTAGAGGGGGTAAGGATGACCCATTCTGCTCATTGTTCAATAGTGCCTCAGCCTTCTCAAGGGCACTTGAGGATACGCCCAGACTCCACAATGTATTCTATACTAGCTTCACCCCAGTTGATGCAAATGGAAACTCATTGTTGAGGGAACTGAGCTCCCAAATACCAAGCTTCCTTTATCCCAGGCTCAGTGGTACTATTGCGCTATGATTGGAATCATCCTGAAACACACTGATCTCAGGATACATGGCCACTGTGAGTCATTGATTAGAAAATGTCTGTTTTCCACTGAGAAAAGTGATCAGCACCCTATTTGGCCAAATCTATGTTTCATGTGTCCAAGGCATGTGGCTGGCATAGGGGCAAGAAGTGCAGCTAATGAGAGAGTCTTGTGGCAGTTCTCACACTGGGCAGGCAACGGATGTCCTAGTGGGTACTGATACCTGGAAATTTAACCATCTCAATGGGAGAAACACTTTGGAAACATTGGAAAGAAGAGGAGTTCAAGAAAAGGCTCTCTTCTTGGTTGAGTTCTTAAATTTAACTCTCAGCCTCTTACAAGAAGGTGTACCATGAAGAAAATTGCATCTCTGGACATCCTTTTTTCTCCCAGTTCTATTACTTTGAAAGCTTGCATAACAAGGAGAAGAAAAAAAGTATAGGTTATTTAATGCCTCCATATTCCTACTATTATGGGCAACAGAAAAGAACTGCTTTTAAGAACCAAACTTCTCAACTCAGAAAACATGTTTGTTAAAGCCAATTATTATCCTTGCAGAAAATGCAGTTTGTATAGATTGTAAGTTTCATATTCTTGCTATTTTAGTTACTAATAAGCACTACTTCAATTTAGCACACAATCTAATTCCATTTAAAAGCCTTTTGATTTTTTTCAAGCCATGAAATAGTTTGCCTTGCTCTAGACAATCTTCCCACATTAGTTATGGCAATGTAGGGGGGCTCTATGTATAAATAACTTGGCAGCAGGGTTAGGAAGAGCTTTCTACACCATCAACAAGCCTACATGTGAGTATTCACAATTCTTAGAGAATTTCCAAAGTAATGATTTAAAATAAAAGCTTATTAACAGATATCCAGTGTAGCTCATTTTGAGACTTCTTTTGCTTTTTCACAAAAAAAGTCCTTCCCATCTAGCTCTCCAGATAACAGTAGAGGCAGCATACATCCTTAGGATAGTCAATTTATGAAGAGAATAGGGAGCTGCATCTGATCACGTAACTTTGTTACAGTCATGAACTACAACAAGGTCAAAACTTTCAGGGAACAGAACATCTCCACGAGGACAATAGACCTGTAGAGCTAGTCATGCACCTCAAACCATGGCTCCTAATGGCACTTCAATAAGAACCTGTTTATCAGAACCTCTATAGGTGGACATGATATTCCAAGAGGCTAAAATATGGACACCTTGTTGGCTGGGAGCATGGTACACAGGATGGGAGAAATATAGGTCTAGGTGCTTCATGTTACTTTGGATGTTACTCTTAGCTTAATCCTCTAGCAGGAGAGTGGGGACATTCCTAGTTTTATCACCTTACTGGGGTTGTTCTTATTCTCAGATAAATAAAAACGTATAGCCAACAAAATCAGTTTTTAAGTCCTCTATAAGTGGGCTTATCCACTAGCCACTTTATTTAGCTGGAACATAAGTAGAGATTATAGAGAGTTTTATGAACCTTAGTAACTTACTGCTGCTCCAAAGAAAGCAAAACCCATCCCAGCTCCTGTGTAATGCCATGTGGCCTGCTCATCTTGGATAGCGAATACCCACATTCTCATGAGCTTCAAGTCCTCATGCAAGCCTGAGGAGTGAATTAGTGACCAACAACCTAAGGTTCTAGAGTTCTTCCTTCAGACTGGTTTTGTCCTCAGCAATTGGCTCCCCTAAATATATGTTGGGGATCACCCTATCTCAACTTTTCCATGTCATTATCAAGAGCCAGAAACATTTCAGCTTGAATAAGACAGGATCCTGACCCATGGAAACTGAGATAAATGTGTTATTTTAAGCCAAAACAAAGACAAGGACAATCAGATATGAACACTAAAAAAGATAGAAAAATGTTTAAGAGACTCCAATGAGCAGTTTAACACTCTTGAAACAAGTAAAATAGAAAGTCTCAAAGAAAACAAGTGAAAGTTTTAGAACTGAAACATATAACAAAGGTAAAAACTCACTGGATGGACTCAGTAGCAGAATACAAGTAACAAGTGTCACGAACTTGAAGTCAGGGCAATAGAAATGATAAAGTCTGAACATAGAGTTTAAACAATTAAGTGGGTCTGTAGAACCAGAGCTCACCTTGAAATGATCAACGTGCTACTTCACTAAGAGGTCAGAGTCTGGGTCAGCCTTGAATGTCTAGATTCTGGTCTTAAACTCAGGTCTTCTAAAATATTTACGAAGCAGGTGAGCTAGAGAGAACTTCCTTCAGGACACTGTGAAATCATCTCGAGAAAAGTCTGGTCAGGATCAGGGAGAAAGATCTTATTGGGTATAACATCTGCACAGAGCTCTGGCATTCCATGTCAGTTTTGGCCAAAGCCCCAAGTAGATGGACTCCTTCCTAGTACCCTATAGTCCCTCCTCTACTCTCAGGGGACCATGGAGCAGTGCCAGGAAGAACAGCCACCTCCTCAGATGCTCTGAGGAGGCCACATGGCAACCTGATCACACATCTCCAGGCACATGCTTGTTCCAAGTGGCTCCTGCTCATGGGACCGATTTCCCTGGGTAGCGAGAACAGCTCTGTCAACATACAAGCTGAGCAGGTCAGAAACACACTACTGCTGGGCATAGGTTGTCTTCTCTGGTCAGAGTTCTGCTTTGTCCATGTTGAGAAGCCAGGAGAACATCCCGATTCTACGGGTCAGAAAGGCCAAAAAGCTGGCAATGTTTCAAACACACGCAATGAAGATTTTCCAGGGAGACGCATGCCCCTGAGTCACTGCTATATTAACTTGGGACTCATCAGGATAGCCTCAAAAGAGGCACAAGTTGCTTCATCTGCAGTAACTAACTTTAGAGACAATGCTTGATAGGCCTCTTGAAATTTGGAGGACCTATAGCACAATTTGGGGCTGGTGCTCAGATGCACTAACCAGGTCATTCTTAAAGCTTCTGTTGAGTTGGACACAGCAAGAGAAGGCATTGCTTCATGTCCAGACTAAGACAAGGGCCATGCCTATGGCCTTTGTCTCAATAGATATAGTAGTATGAGTTCCTATGGCAGACTTGCTACCTGACACCACTGGAAAGCCCAAATTGAATGTCAGATTCTAGGAAAAGAGCTATACCTACTTCTGCTAGCAATTATTCTACATTTGAAAACCAACTCTGGCTTGTTCCTGGGTCCTGGTAGCACCAAGTACCTAGAAGATGGTCCACTAAATACCTGAGAATTCCCATTGGCTGAACTTTGTGCCATGAGCTGGGTACAGTCTACTGGATCAAAATTGTGCTGTACAGAATGCCAGTATAATGTGGAAATATTATTTAAAAGACTGCTGGCTCAATTCTGGAAGGCTCAAGGAGATTTCAATAGCAGGAAGTTCATATGTCCATGACACCTGCTCCCAGCACTGAGATTATCTGCCTCAACTCATCCATGGCTCCATGGTGGGAGGGGTAGCCTGAAGGACAGTTTTAAGTTTATCTTTAAGAAACATTTTCTAGAAAGCCAGTAACTCTGACCCCACAAGTTTAGGGAATGACCAAGCCAAACTTCTTGCATTTTCTGATGCAAGGTGACTCAGAGTTTTTCCCTTCTCACCAAGTTGAGGCCAAGGTAACCAAGATGGGTGGGTTTATAGCTTCAACCTTGAGGCCAAAGGTAACTTTTGTAACTGCAATAATGTATCAATAGAAGGTGCCAAATGTCACAGGCTCCCAAGTATCTGTATGCAGTGAGTCTTGGGCTCAAGTATCCAGATTGAAATTTTACTGGGAATTCCAAGTTGGGAACTCATAGGCTCTTCATTCTAAATGATCTCAAAGTAATGGAGCTGGAAGCCAGCTTCTCTAGACTATAGTTTGGAATTTTTGCAACTTTACAGTATGAAGCTACCCAGCTCTAAACAGAAGATCTTGACTCTAATTCTAACCAGGGCCTTCGTGGCAATGAGGCTGTCTTCTGACACCATTATCTCCTCACTAATACTGTAACTTGGGCTAAATTGCCTTGTGGGGCATGCAGGAATAGGATACCCCTTCTGGAAATAATGCCTTCAAAATTTATCTCCAAAGCTTAAAGTTTGTCCTTCCCTGCCACCCACAGCATGAAAAAATGATCAATAGCCACAATAGAACTCAATATAAACTAAAGCTTCATGGCATTATTGAGGCAGAGGCGATCAGACAGGAAACTGATGGCACCCTGAACTCAATGACTCAAGGAGGGAAGATGCAGAATGAAGGGAGAACCTTGGAACCACAGGGGAATGCAACCCAGGGGCTTTGTCACCCAGAGCAGGGGCGATCTACTTTAGTGGCATGGGGACCTCCCTAGAGTGTTTGCTAAAACAGATTGCTAGATCCACCCCTGGGGCTTCTGCTCTGGTAGGCTGGGTTCTGTATATAAAAGTTCACATTTCTAATAAGTTCCCAGATAGGTGGTCATCTAGGAATTGCTTGAGAACAAATAAGTATCAGGCCAGAGAATTAAGGAACATGAGCTGTTACTAAAACTGGAGCATTAGAGGACAGGCAAACTAATAGAACTACCTTGGCATGGCAGCCACCTTCAGTCGAGGAATACAGGCTGCTCAAGATGACCTTTGAGGGAGGGGGCAAAGACACTACTGATGTCACTGTGTCCTTCCTACCAGTCTTGTGTGGAGCTTCTCATTGGGGAAACCCAAGAGGCCAGAGACTATGGGAAAGTTTTGAGATCAGGCTCCAGGAACTACAGATGTATGTATGGAAGTATGATGGAGAGATCCGGGAGACAGAAGGAAGATGTCTGCCCCCAAGGAGATTGGTCTTAGCGGGACTTTCCAGCTGCCAGTTTGTTTTTCGTTTTAAGTCTTATTATTCTTCTTTAATTGATGAAAAATTTGCAGTTTCAAAACAGCTCCATCAACCCAAGAATGTTTAGGAAAGAGTTCATGCTGCTTTCTAATACATTAGAAGTGGCCATATTTATTTTAATAGTCTTGCATCTTCACAATTGAGCTTTCATAGGAAAGTAGATATTAAATTATCGGACAGAAGATATCATGGTTCTCAATCTAGAAAGCTTAGCAAGAGTTGAAAATCTCTGGTTTCCTGTCAATTTAAGCTACTGAAGTAGCACAAACCTGGGGCTATCAGGTGGAGCCAGTTTGAGCAAGATATGGAGGGACGCAGGTTTCAACCCTGTCTTCCTCCTTCCCTATTGGTCTATGTGGCTCTTAGTAGTAGAAGTGGCTCAGGAAATAGAGCCAGAGCTGCGTCTGGGCTTTGGGTACTTGTTGACAAGGTCCCATCCAATGGCTGCCCTTCTTAAAAGGGGGAGTTAAGTAGGAAAGTCCTCTTACCTGATGTATCCCATTGGCAGGGCTGAGTGACTTGTGTTTCTCCCCTACTCACTTTAGGGGTTCTAGTAGCTGAGGCCCTCCAGCTACTATAGGACCCACAGCCCAGTATGCTCTTATGTAGAAAAGAGATGCCTCTGTGGTATGAACAACCGCTGAAATGCCTGCACTCCAAGACACCTGGCTCCATTGCTTAGATAGCCACCAGAAGCATGGGTACCACTGTGGAAGCTTGGACTACTCTACCATCAGCTCCACCATGGACAATTCTATGGTGGAAACTTGGAAGTCCTTAAGGCCATGCTGTGTTCTTTACACCCTCACCTTTGATAGCAAGACAGGAGTCTTCCCCCCTACCCCCCAGGCAGGTCTTAGGGAGGTCATGTTGGCCAGACAGGCCCCACTCCTCATCTAGGAGTCCTAGGAGCCAGCTCCCCGCTTCCACTCATGTTATGAGTACCTGGCTTTTAGCTGGGCTGATAAGGCAGGGCTACTGTATAAGGTTTGGCTTAGACCTGCACCTGCTCAGGCAACAATTGACAGGGGGCAAGAAGAGGCATCTCTTGCTCCTAGGAATGTCTGTTAATTGCTAAACTGAAGTTCAGGATACACCACCTTTGATCTGATACACTAGCCCCCAACTCAATATCTCCAAGTAAACCTCAATATATGACATTAACTTCCTAACACTTGAGACCTTTGGAATATTCACCCAGATTCACCCAAGTAGTTTCAAATCTCAAGTAGATTCATAGAATTAGCTACAAGAAACTGTAAGGTGACCCCTATATACTGCCTCTAGTTATGCTATTTTCTTGAGCCTGATGATGTAAATTCAGTTTCCTGGTTTCAAACTTCTCCTGCCTATTCAACCTAATCTGATTTGAACCCTCACCACATGGATAGCAACATCTCTGGTGTATCTGTGCACAGGCGTCAGGACTAAGCCAACAAGAACCCAGCAGGAATTAAAACTTGAGTTACTGCTGGGCTTGTAATTCTTCTAGCTTATTGTGCTGGGAAAGCTGGCTAGGCTGGCTAGAGAGACTCCACCGCTGTCCCCCCCAGGCCAAAGTGAGGGGCTTCTCAAGCAAAGATGCTTTCCTGTAAATCGGACACACATTTGTCCTTCTTGTGTTGGTTTGAAGTATAGGCAGCTTTAGATCCATCTCGGGGCACAGCTCGAGTCCCGCTTCACTCTAAACCAGGATTAGTTTTAAATTCACCTGAAATGCTAAGTGTTCTCCAGTTTGATGTCAGACTGCCCGGTGTTGGTGCTCGCTCTAAGCCCCCTGTCCTGAGGTCAGCCTGGCCATAACCCTGGAGGGGGTGATCTTTGTCCTTGTTAAAGGGCACTCCACTCCACTCTTCCCTCAACTTACTTCTGGCCCTGGGCTTTCCTCCTTCCATATTTCTAAGTTTCTCCGATACGGCAAATCCCACCTGTCTCCTAGGCAGCCTGCTTCCCTTCCCCCCTTGCCAGGGGTATAGAAGCAGTCTCTGACAGTGAGCCAGCAGGGCCACGGTTATTAACCCCATCAGCTCAGCCTCCGACTCCTTCCCAATGCCACCTCTCACCAGGAAACCCAGTTCCTGCATCACTTTCCCTTTCCTTAGTTCTCTGAAGAACATGTCAGTGATTGTTGTTACGCTATACTTATTCAGAGTTCTGTTACTTTCAAAACTCGGATCAAACCATCTGAGAAGCTCCAAGGCTTTGTCATGCTGTTAGCCCCTTAAAGACAAGCTTAGAGGCACAATCCCTTTTGTCCTTGCCGAGGACACCAGGGCTTTCTCTAGGAAGATAGGACCTTCCCAAATAGGAAGCTAGAATCGAGTGGACAAAGTTTGTAGAACAGTCTCCTTGGCATTGGCAGTGAGGGTGGCACAAGGGCCAGGTAGGATATCATAGGCCTAGAGGGGGATTTTCCTGATCAGACTTGTGAAAAGGAGATGGCCCCAAGCTCAGCTCCCTGTATTTCCTGAGTCTTGTTATACTTGATTCTGGCATGGAAACCTGATCAACATTTAGGTCCAGAATTTGTTCCCAACTGGAAATTAGCCTCATATTGATTTATCATGGATATGAATTTCTCTGCTTTTTGGACTACAGTGTTGATACTTAAACCTTGACTAAGGATAAAGAGGAAAGAAAGGGAAAAGCCCTGTCTCCATGGCATGGATCAATTCAGGTTAGGGGTTTTGGTGTAAAAGTCATCTTTTCTGGAAGAGATACACAGATTCCTAGATTAACATTCCCAGTGGCTATTACGCACTCATAAGTTGGGACATCAAAAAGTTCAAGTCAAGATAATAAAAGCCTCAGGTAAGCAGAGTCAGAAGGCCACGAGGTGTCAAGCAGTGAACATCAGAAAAGTATTTTCAAGTGTGGTCAAGAAAATAGAGAATCAAAAGAGAAAAGTCTAAGATGCCAGATCTTGATTACTTATATGTCTGAACTGTCATTCCACTGTAAGACACACTCCTTTGAAATGGTTTGGAACATTTCACTGAATTCTTTGGGGATATTGGCAACTCTGCCAAAGACCAGAGTCCCAAACTTTTGGCGGCTCCTTATTGGTGTGGTGAAATAGTAACTTGCCTGCTCCTTGAGGGCACTGCATCTGCTCATGAGGGTTACAGAAAATAACTTATTCCCATATTTCCAACATTACAGGGAGTAGAGCAGGAGAATGTTTTCCTAACTTCTACAGAACATTCCTCACTCCAACTCCACAGCACTTTCCAAGTCCAAGGCATGGAGTTTTCTCTTCAACTTGTTACAAGCGTGTCCTGGCCACCTGGCGGCTCCCTCTCATTCCTTGGCTGTGGTAGCACCTTGCTCTCCCCACTCAGCAGTGCCACCTGTCATGCTCATGTCATCTTCATGCATGCTGAAGGAACCAAAGAGTGAACCTCGTTCTGACCTCACTTCCACAGACTTACTCCATCAAGAAAGTTGATTCCTGTGGTTACCTGTAGATGCCTGATCTCTAGAGGAACTCTTCATATTGTGAGTCATCCTACTCTGGCATTTTGTCATTCTATACCACTTAATCTTTCATCCTCATAAGGACTGTTGTAGTAGTGGAGGCCAATTCAGCTATGGATCCTGTTTTTTTTTTTTTTTTTTTTTTTTTTTAAATACAGTTAAGTAGGCCTCCAACCGGCTTCCCCTCCCTTCCCAATTTAGCATTGATGATCCATCCCCATAGCCATTTCATTGCAGACTCTCATCCTCCTTTCTCCTTCTCCACCTTAGTTTGACATGAAAACATCCATTTCTTGCTGCTGTCAGGATAGAATATGGACAGAATTTGAGATGACAAAATTAGTAGCAGTTTGCTTTCAACAGCTTTGCTTTTACGTATATCAAACTTACCACTCCCAAGTTTTGCCTTCCCTGCAAAACTTTCCCCATGTAACCTTCTTACCTCAAGTATCCAGAAGTTGTCAATTCTTCCTGCATGGGCTCATATCTGACCAATTCATGCCTCTACAACCGTGCACCTAGACTAAGCTGCCACTGTACACCTAGACTTCTACATGTTGCTTCGAACTGGTCTCTTTCCCCCTATAACCTATGGTCCACAGAGCCAGTGAGGATCCTTCAAACAGAAGGCTGGGCATTCAAAACTCATGAATCCATTCCCATTTCACCCAAAGCAAAAGCCAAACCCTTTATATAAAGGCCTACAAGCTCTTGCTTTTATATCTCTTGGCTATAGACACATGGGCATGGTCACATACCACAATGACATTTCAGTCAACCATGGACTGCTTATACAACAGTAGACAGGACAATAAGCTATTCCATACAGCCTAGGTGTACAATGGGTTATACCATCTAGGTCTCTAAGTACACTATGTTTTTCATACGATGACAAAGAAAATCACCTAACATTTCTCAGAGCGTCCCCATCGTTAAGCAATTCATAACTGTAGGTGTGTTCTGTCCTAGTCACTAGGGTATAACTTGCTGTCTGGCAGGGGCACGCTTGTTCCTTAGCAGCACTACACGTGGTAGGTATTCAGTATTTTAGTATCCATTTGCTATAGGTCACATTGTCACTCAGGGGTATGTAGTATAAAATCTGTTGAGTTAATTTCAGTGAATAACCTGTTGAGATGAGGGGGAAATACGAGGAAGTAGGCACATTAAAGATACTGGTGGCTTTCACTTGCTAGTTTACTGAATAGCATGCTTTCTTAGCTTGACATCAAATCCGGAGAGTAACCCACACCAGTGTGACTATGGGGACCAGCAAGCTGGTTGAGAAACTGGCTTTGTGTGGGCAAGCGGAGCCATACACTCCTATGGAGTATCAGTAAGAGCCCAAGGCCTTGCTACCCAGTGACAAGCCTGGGGTAGATTCAACCTCCTTGTCAGGATTCCTGGAGTTCCAATGCTGTCACCAAGGATAGGAGTTATCACTTGGCTCAGGGGCTGGCTGCCCAGCTTAGAAAGTCTTCCAGTGTGTGGTACCTTCTGTGAGACACCCACTATCCAGGCTGGGGTGGGTGCTGATGGGGCTTGGAGCCAGTGTCTTTTCCTATCTTCCTGTTTTCTTCACCAGGTTGAGTTCCTGGGAGGTGTGTTGGTTGTACCTATCCCTGTGCACTTCCAAACCCATTTCCCAGGGACATCTACTGCTACCCAGAAGTTGCCATCAGCTCTAGGAGGTGGAAATTAGCTAAGGCAGAGCACTGCAGAAGTTCTCTGAAACTTTATGCAGCTCCAAATACACCCAGAGAGCCAATGCTGCATTTTCCTCTCTAATGTGTTACATGAAGGTAGCAGAGTCTTGCTCAGGAGACAGGGAAGATAAGCTTGAGTTCCTTCAACAGGGAGAGGGTCACACTGCAACCATGTTTCTCCACTGCATCTATTAGGACATCACCAATGAGCTTTTCAGTCTCAACACACTTTGTACCTGTCCCACCAGGGTGACAACTTGCCCTGGTCTTGTTCTGTGTAGCACAAGTATTGTTCTAACCCTGCCATTGTAGTGAATGACTGCCACCCCCCTCAATGATTCCTTGGCATTCATCCTGTCCTTAGAAGACTTGAGGACACACTGGGCTGGGAAGGAATGCTAGTTTCATCTCTAAGCATCCTGGGATGCCCCTTCCCTGCCATTTCTTAGTGTGAAGTTTCCATAGAAAACGGCTACCTCACCAAGTCCAGTTACATAGCTTATAGGTATCAGTTTTTGTGTCTTGCAAGGAACAGGAGCTTCCCTGTCCCCACTAGTTTGTCTGCTATGGCAGATTTAGTCAAATGCCAAGATGCCCTAAGTATTCAACTAGCTCATGGAAGTCTATGGCCCTTGGTTTTTCACCCAAGTTTCTGAGAACAGAAACTGGCATGTAAGCCAAGGACTAATACACCAGAAGTTCTTCCCAGCTTCACGGGGTCAAGGACTGAGCAGATCACTTTTCCACTTCATATAGAATGAGACACTAGAAGATTCAGGCTTTTCCTCTAACACTCAAAGGAGTCTTTAAGTGACCTGTTAGAAACTAAACTCCTAACTCAAAATAGAAAGCAGGCAGCAAGACAAGCGGTCTCTCCTCTCACTTCTGGGCCTGAGTTGTTTCTGCAAGGCAGAGTGACTGGACTCCAGCACTTTAGTGGAGAATTTCCAAGAAAAAAGCTAAAGGAGACAAATATTGTAGAATGTGCTACCAATTCCATTTCACATTTTAGTTTTAGGTAAGGTATTGACAGGTAAGGTAGCAGGTTCACCAGGCATCAAGTTCAGAGTAAATCTTTTAAGAAAGACAAAAGTCAGAAAAAGAGTAGGCCAGGTGATTAGCTGATCAGCACTGCCTCCTTTCCCATTCAGGTCCATGCAGGGGGACCACCATGCCCTGCCAACCCCCCAACAGAAGTGACCCTGGAAACAGGGGTCAGGACCAGCAGTGGCCCTACCAAGGAGATCGGTAGGACCCACACAGTTCCTGCTGATGCTCTGCAAGCATTGCCTTATGACATGGAACTAAGATTCTCTTAGGAATTTTCCTTCTACCATTTAAAAATAACTTGGAGCCCACTTAGGAAGCCCAGGTGGCTAAATGCTCCAGATGGAGGAAGCCTTTCACTCCAGGTATGCGACCAACCTCAGGCTGCTCAAGGCCATCAAGACCACACTAAGCACCTGAACCGAGACAGAGGCTGGAGAGAGGAGAGGCACTCAATGACCAGGCAACCAGCAATGACTTCTTGGGATAGGCAGAACATTTCTGTATCTGAGTGAGTGGAAAATCCTTTTTGACCCAAACCTGTGTTTATAGGACTGTGGCCCACAAAAAGGGAGGACAAGGACCACAGAATTCTTTGAATTGGGGGTAAAGATTCTCCTTTAATCTTGCAGGGAGACTATCAAATACTCAGGACCTGTTTATTACTCATCCATGTTCTAGAATAAAGTTATAGAAACAGGTTTCAGATGATCTGATGTGCCACCATTTCCCACTCACCCTCTCCCTGATAGACATATATAAATTGTTGCTATAGTGACCACTCTTCGGCCTATTCCACCAAACAAAGTAGCAACAGATCACGAATCTGATCATGAGGTCAACATGTGTATTGTGTTGACAAGAATACCTTATACCAACAAGATATAATTACACCTGGATAAAATTAAGAATTCAAAAGCTACCATAAGACCCAGCTGCCAGAAGTGCTGAAACTAAATATCCCTGGCACTGGCAAGTATGTACAGCAACTGCAACTCACACAGTGACAATGTTAAGTGACACATCATTTTTGGAAGACTGGGGTGTCCACAGAGAGTCAACCATATGAAGCCCAGAACCCACAGATTTCAAACAGCGTACACAACCAAAAGGCATACATACTTAGGGTTTTCATATCCAAACTTGTGAAAATGTTAAGTGCGATACTTCCCAAGCCACCACTTGAATGGTAGGATGGATGAGCTGGAGTACGTTCAAATACTAGACATCAACAGAAGTTAGACATCTGTATGCAATGTACACAAATTTCAGATGAGGTCACGAAGAGAAATTGAATCAGGTACAGCTCAAAAATGCAACTATTTTGCCATGTCTATCCCTGTGGACTAGTTTATCATCTTCAGTGATGATGACTAGCAGAGGTGAGGAAAGGCATCTAGTTTGTGGGAAGTTTCCATATCTTCTTGGAATGTAGTTTTGTGTGTGTTCACATTAGTAGTCCCCCCAGTCTAACTTCACTCCTAAGTGAAATACACAGCAAGAAGGACAAATAGGTTCATGGGCTGCTCAGCTCTCAAGCAGTCCGAAGTTGGCAAGTCTGCCTCATCTCCAGTAAACCAAGGTCTTTCAAGCTGGGTCCCATAGAGCACAGCTGTAACACAGATTGCCCCAATGAATTTCTTGGTCACTGAGAGCATGACCTGAGCTTGCCTGACTGGGAGAAATTGAGGTAGACTTCCTAAGTCTTCCAGATTAGACTAAGCCTTTCCCAGACTACCACACTTGGGGTTTTGTTTGTTTTTTGGCTTAAAGTAACTCTAGGATCTCAGTCTTCTGGGAACTACAGTCTTGACCACTGGCTATTTTTGCTCCAAACTTAATGCAGTTTTTTGGAAGTTTTGTGAGCTCAAGTTGTTGCCTGTTGAAATAAGCAGACACTTCTTATATAACCACACACATAGCCAGCCAGTCACCTCTAGTCAATAGAACAGTGTGTCTCTTGGGATCAACCTGCCTCAGGCATCCAAACTTACACACAGGAATGGGAACAAATGAAGACCTGGGATCCGTGGGTCTGATCAGCCCTTGAGATATTTTCAGTGCATGGTTTGGTGTTATGAGGCATCGTTGCAAGCTGTAGCTCAGGAAGAGCTAAGTTGTCTTATCTTCAAATTCTTGAAGTCTGACTAGTGCTGCATAGCCTATTTCCTGTCTCCTAGCAGTGGCTGTAATCCTGCATAGTTGAAACGCCCTTCAGGGTCACCTCCCTGCTTTTCCTTTTGTGGTGAGCCCACTGTAGCTGTCCTTGCTCCCCGACCATGCAGACCCAGCCCCTGCCAACCGTATCACACATCTAATGCCCTGCAGGAACAGCCACTGCACCTAAGAGGGACCCACAGCAGTGGCAGCATTAGCCAGATTAAAACCTACCTTGAAGGGATCACCATCTCTCCCTAATCACCCCCTTCCTATTTGCCTTGTATATCTGCTTAAGTTCCCGAGACCACCACCAACAAAAATCAATGGAATAATTGGAAACTAAGAAGAAATAGTCTACTTACAAACGGCCATGAGATGGGGAATTGCAGAGATGCAGCTGGTGCAGTAGAGTTGATGAACTCCACTTAGAACCACCTGCCATTTTAAGAACCTACAAGAGACCCCAATAGGGACAGATAGTAGGTAGTGGAGGATGAAGTTAAGAACTCCACAAAAGGTATAGATGGGAAGAGGGGAACACGAACACACATATTAGGTGAAGCCCCATGGAACAGGTAACACCAAAACATAGCCCCAGCTGGGATAATGAGGTCCAGCCAAAGAACAGCTCACAAAAGAGATAAGATAACCAGACATGTGTGGACCATTGGACCAAGCAGCATTGAGCTAAATCCTCAGACCAAATTCACATGGCAGGGCTGAGATAAAGATTTGAGACTCACTTATTCAGGAGGACATGCAGACGACATGAGTTTAGCCCCATATGTCTGGTGCAACTCTCCATGTAAGATATGTCACCCCTACTATTAGGGGAACAATTGAAGTTGAGACCCTAGTCTTGAAAGATCAGGACCTGTTAGGAGGCAAAATATTCCCAAGAAAAAGGGAGAGGATACTGTAGAACATATAGGGATATTTATCTAGGGCAGAAAACATCCCAGTGAGTGATGTAGACCTCAAAATGACTTCTAAAATAGAAAATCCACCCTTGAGAGATATACCAGAACAACAGATGCTGGCAAAAAGAGATGGTGTGGCCTGACAGGATTCCTGGAACCCCCCCAGGTATGGGAGCCAGTGGGCTATATGTTCATTCAACCCAGAGAGCACCCTTAAGGGCCCCACTTTGGGAAGATATCCAAGCACCCCATGACCCAAGAGACCAGAAGTTCCATGCACACCAGGAGGTTGCAAAGCATAAAGGCACACTGAAGCCAGCATCTCCCTAGACTGAGGAAGGAGAATCCAGGCAAGTACTAGAAAAGAAAGGCAGAAAATCCTGTAATAGAATGAAGACTTACGTGGGTCCCTGGGACTTCAGGCTACACCATTCCTTTCTCCTCATCTCCGAGTGTTGGGGAGTGGGAGAAGGGGAGAAACCATGGCTCCTTTGAGAGCCATCCAGGACCACAGTGCCTAGCAACCTCAGGGCCTTGGAATCCTCATTGCATACAGCAGAGACTCATCCAAGTTTCATCTCTGGAGAGATGGTAAAGCCCATGCAGGAAGAAGGGTTCCCCTTTTGGGTAAGGGAAATGGAATCTAGGACTTGAGCCTGGGGAAAAAGGTGACAGTCCTGTTCTGCCAGTTTTACCCAAACCCCTACTATAGGCAGATTATATTGTATTCCTGGTCTTGATTATTTTAAGTCAAGATATAAAGCCCTCCATTTCAAGAGAGAAAAGAGATACATTCAACATGTATATAAGGGGCCATGTTCCTTGGGAGAGACTAAACCACATGGTTAGGACAGGGATATTTGAGACCTCCTTCCTCCTCATACAGAGCTATAGAATTTTAAAGCTGTCATGTGACTAATAGACACACAGCATTGCCCATGGCTTCTTTCGGTTGTCTAACATCATTTGACATCAACATCAACATTAGTTTTGCTTTTTTAGGGGGAAAGGGAATTAAAGTCTATCACTAACGTCTCTAGGCAGTTGCTTTTTCTAAGGCAGCTCCTGCTTGTGGAGCTGGTGCTTCCAGGTACTGAGAACTCTGGTCTCAGGCAAGACCATGGCTGAGCAGGATAGAACACCCCATTTGGGGAGTAGGTTGTCTTTCCTGGTCAGAGGTCTGTCCTGGCTTCTCAATATGGACAATGTACCCCACTTCTAGGGATCAAGAAGCAGAAGTGGCTGTGTGTCAAACACAGGTGATGAGTATTCTCTAGGCCGGGGTGAGCCCCAGAGTCACTGCTGTGTACTGCAATCTGGAACTTGACAGGATGTCCTTGTAAAGATGAGGGGCAAGTTGCTGCATTTCTGCTAACATTAGGACACTGCTTGGTAGGCCTCTCAAGAATTGGAGGGATTGTAACATTTAGGATTACCTCTCAGATCCATTAAGCAGATCATTCTTATAGTTGCAATTATTGAATTAGTTGCAGAGCAAGAGAAGGTTTTGTTTCATGTCCAGACTAAGATAAGCTGCCATGCCACATGGTCTTTGTCTCTGAATAGTGGAAGTGCCTATGGCAGAGAGATTACTATATGGAGCCCCTAGAGAGCCCAACTGGATGATTTAACACATTCAAGAAGAGAAGAGCTGCGGCCTATTTCTACCAGCAAATACTCTGCATTTGCAAACCAACTCCTAGCCCATTCCTGGGTCCTTGTAGCAACAAATTCCTAAAGACCTGTTACCAAAGGCCTGAAAATTCCTAGTGGCTAAACTTTGACCCACAAATTGGGTGCCATCTGATATACTGGATAAAGTACTGCACAGCAGAATGCCAGTACAATGTGGAAATATTTAAAATGTGGATCTAGAAGGCCAAAGGAAACTTCAACAGTAGGAAGGCATTCATGGTACTTGCTCCCAGCATTGTGTTTCATTGCCCTTAACTCATACCCATGGCTTCATGATGGGGAGTGGCATCCTGACAGCTTTCCCCCTAAAGTTTTTATCTTGCTTATTTCAAACTCATGAACTCTGGGGGAAGCTCTAACTATGATCCCACAATTCTGTGGAATGATCAAATCTAATCTCTTTCCATTTTCTAATGAGATTTCACTGTTAAATATTGTCCCTTTTCATGTACTTGATTTGAAAACCAATTATGCCCTAAGATGGCTGGGTTTGTATTCTGAAATAAGGGGCCACGAAAGGTAGCTTTTGTAACCCCAATGATCTCTTACCAACTGAATGTGCCAATGTCTGAGGAAGCTCAAGGAATTCCAAGTATATTCAAACTAAACAGGTCTGAGTTAGATTTAAGTTGTCAAAAGTGAAAATTCTAGAAGCAGCAAAAGAAAAGCATCAAGTCACATTTAAGGGAATCCCCAATTAGGCTTCAAGCAGATTTTTCAGCAGAAGCTTTCCAGGTCGGGGGAGGGGGCAGGGGTTGTGGAAAAATGAATATGTTGAAAGTGCTGAAAGGAAGAATATTATACCCAGAAATGCTGTTCTTCAGAAATGGAGAAATATTTCACTGAGAGGCAAAGAGTAAGGAAATTCATCACCACTAGACTAGCCTTACATAAAATGTTTGAGAGTTTATCCAGAAGTGAAAATACAGTAATAACCACCATGAAAATATGTGAAACTATGAAACTCACTGGTAGAGCCAAAACACGAAGAGAAAGGAGTCAAGACTTATTACTATAGAAAAGCTATTTAACCACAAGAACAAATTCAGAACAAAGGATACATAAAACCACCAGAAAACATTACAGCAGAAGTCCTTACCCATCAATAATAGCAATATAAACAAATTCTCCATTTAAAACCTCCATTCAGCCAGTCTATTAGAGACCCAATTATATGCTGCTTAAGAGAAACTCACTTTATCAGAAAGGCCCACAAAAGACTGAAAGTGAGAAGAGGTTTCATGCAAATAGAAACCCAAAAGGTAGACAATACTAACTACACTTGTGTCAGACAAAACACTTTAGCAGCTATAAAGAGACATTATATAATAAACATCAATTCATCAGTAAGATATAACAATTGTAAATCCATATGCACCCCCACAGGAGCATCCAGATATATGTAACTAATATTAGATCTAAAAGGAGCACTAGACCCCAATAATAGTCGGAGACTTCAGCATCCCACTTAGCACTAGGCACATCATCTAGGCAGGAAAATAAAGGAAACAGATTTGAACTGTATCACAGACCAAATGGACCTAACAGACATTTACAGAACATTTTACTCAACAGCTGCAGGATATCTATCAGCATATAAAACGTTCTCCAGGAGTGACATGTTAGGACTCAAAACAAATCATGATTTTTTTAAAGAGAATATTTTATTGATATTTAGTTTTATTCCATTGAGGTCACAACAAGAACATTCGAAACTATACAGATACATTGGTTGGATAACATGCTCCTGACTGACCCATGGGTGAAGGTGAGAATTAAAAAGGAAGTTAAATTCCTTGGAACTAGTAAAAATGGAAACCCAACAATACCAAAACCTATGTGTCACAGCCAAAGCAGGATTGAGAGGCAAGTTTATAAGCAATAGATGCCTATAGTCAAAAAAACTAGAGATTTCAAATAATCAACTTACTGATGTACTTCTAGGAACTAGAGGAGAAAGAACAAACCAACCAAAAATTAGAAGGAAAGAAGTAGATCAGAGCAGAAATAAATGAAATTGAGACTAAATAAGAGATGAAACCAAAAATTGTTTAGAAGATTTAAAAGTTGACAAACCATTAACTAGATTAAGACGACCCAAATGAATATCAAAAAAAGAGGGAGCTGTCACAAGATATTACAGAAATACAACAATCATTAGATACTACTATGAACAACTATGTCCCAATAAATTTGAAAGTGTAAAGGAAATGGATAAATTCCTAGACATGTACAACTTACCAAAATTAAACTAAGACTAGAAAAATTCTGAACAGAAACAAGTAACAAGTTTGAATCAGTAATAAGTCTCCAACAACGAAGGGTCCAGGACTGGAAGCCTTTACTGCTGAATTGTATTGAACATTTAAAGAATACTGGCACCAGATCTTCTCAAAGTATTCAAAAAAAAAAAAAAATGGAATCTGAATTCTCCCCAACTCATTCTAGAAGGCCAGCCTAACCCTGACACCAAAAAGCAAAGACATGAGAAAAAGAACCTCAACCCAATACCCATAATGAACATAGACACAAAACTCCTCAAAAGTACCAAACAAGCCAAATCTTTGAAACATATCAAGAATATACCATAATCAAGTGGGATTTGTCTCAGGGATGCAAAGTTTGTTCAACATACACAAATCAACAGACATGATCCATCAACAGAAAAAACCATGATCTGAATAGATGCAGAAACAGCTTGATAAAAATTCAATGCCCCTTCATGATAAAACCCTTAAAAAAATTAGGTATAGAGAAAAGTACACTTCAATAAGGGCAATATGTTTTTGCAAAGGCAGTTTCAATATAACAAAGTTATGAAAATGAAGGATCTGATCTAACCAACTCCTGTCTTTATCCTCCAAAACTGCTCTTGTTTCCTGGGCCTTTAGGCCAAGCTCACTTTGGAAAATGTTTAGTTTATAGTCTAAATGAAAATAGCCCTTCCCCAAATTCAGCTACCTTTGTAAAGCTAGAGAGATCCCACCAGGTTGGAAGGATAAGAGGAGCCTAAAAACTCTGCTAAAGTGTAGGCAAACAATTATCAGCCATTATTCTAGAGGTCACAAGATTTGCAACTTCCAGTTACTCCTGCAGATAATATCACTACTAAAGAACTTAAGATTGGCAAAGATGTTTTTTTTTCCCCCATTTTTGACAACTGATGGTTCCACCCAGACCCACCAACCACTCGTGGCCCCATCCAGAAGCAACTCAGCATACACAAGGACCATTTCCCACACCCCTGTGATTGCACTCCCAACCAATCAGCAGCATCCACTGCTTAGCCACCCCTATTCCCCAAACTGTCTTTGAAAAATTCTAGCCTCAATTCTTGGGGAGGCTGATTTGAGCAATAATAAAATTCTAGTCTCTCATTTAGCTGGCTCTGCGTGTGTAAAACCCCACTGCAATTCCCCTGTCTTATTAAATTGGCTCTATCTGGGCAGTAGGAAAGAGCCTGTTGCACATGTGATAACCCTATAGTTAACATCCTAGAATGGGCAAAAGCTAAGAGCTTTTCCTCTAAGCATTGGAACAAGACAAGGATGCCTATTGTCACCACTCTTATTCAACATAGTACTGGAAGTCCTTGCCAGAACAATTATGCAAAAGAAATACAGGGCATCCAAATTGAAAAGGAGTAAGTCAAATTGTCAGCATTTTCAAGTGACATCTTATATAGAAAAACCTAAAGATGCTACCAAAAAACTCCTCACTGATAAACAGATTAAGTTACAATATACAAAGCACGTAAAAGTCAGTAGCATTTCTACATGTGAACAACGAACTAGCTGAAAGAGAAAGACAATCTCAAGAACCTACCAAAAATACCTATAAATAAAATGTAACCAAGAAGGTAATAAAACCTCTACAAGGAAAACTTACAAACTGAGAAAACAGAATACAAACAGATGGAAAGGCATCCCACACTTAGACTGAGATCAAAAGTGTCCTTATTACCCCAAAGTAATCTATAGAGTCAACACAATCCCTAATCAAAGTACTAATGACATTCTTCACAAAAATATAAAACAAATTTCCTGAAGTTTTTAATGGAACCAAAGACCCCAGAAAGCCAAAAACTTCTGAGCAAAAAACACTGAAGGTATCATAGTACCAGACATCAAGATGTACTACAAACCTGTAGTAGCTAGAATAACATGGTAATAGCATAAAAACCATATACAGACCAATAAAACAAGTCACATGTCTATAGCCAAGTCACTTTTGACAAAAGGTGCCAAGAACGCTCATTGGGGAAAGTATAGTCTCTTCAATAAATGGTACTGTGAGAACTAGATACCCAAATGCAGAAGAGTAGAACTAGACACCAACCCTCCCCTTTCTCTCACCCTATACAAAGATTAACTCAAAATATGAATCAGAGACCTAAATGTTAGATCCAAAACAGAACTACTAGAAGACATAGGGGAAACACTTCAGGACTACGAGTCTGGGAAAAGGTTATGGGTAAGACCTCAAAAAGCACAGGAAGCAAAAGGAAAAATAAAAGGGATTATACCAAACTAAAGCTTCTGCACAGCATAGGAAACACTGAAGAGACAGCTTACAGAATGGGAGAAATATACCTGCGAATTACTTGTCTGTTAAGGGGAATTTATATCCAGAATATACAAAGAACTCAAATATCAAGAGAAAATTCCAGTTTTTAAAAAGGCCAAATCAGAGTGGACATTTCTTAAAGGAAGACACACAAATGGCCAAGTATGAAAAAATATTTAACATTACTTGTCATTGGGAAATGCGAATCAAAGCAACAATGAGGTATCATCTCACCTCAGTGAGGATGGCTCTTATCAAAAGACAAAAAAATAAGCACTGGCAAGGATGCAGAAAAGAGGATTTATACACTGTTGGTGGGAATATAAACTAGTACAGACACTGGGGAACAGTATGGAGGTCGTCCCTTCTAAAAACTCCAAGTAGAACTACACCATGTGATCCAGCAATCCTGCTACCAGAAACTTATGTTAATTTCCTTTCCTTGGGATGTTAAGGAGACATCTGTACCCCCATGTTCATTGCAGAACTATTCACAATAGCCAAGATATGGAATCAACCTAAGTGTCCAACAGAAATGGGTAAAGAAAGTGTGGTATGTATTACTCAGCCATAAAAAAGAAGAAAATCCTGTCATTCACAGCAACATGGATGGAACTGGAGGACATGAAGTGAAATAAGTCGGGAACAAAGTTAACACCACATGTTCTCGCTTATATGTGAAAACTAAAAAAGTTGATCTGATAAGTAGGACAATGCTGGAGGCTGGAAAGGGTAGCGGGGGCGGGGCAGGGAGAGACTTGTTAAAGGATACAGAGTTACAGCTAGATAGGAATGAGGTTCTCATGTTCTATAGCACTGTAGGATGACTATAGTTACCTGGTTTCAAATAGCTAGGAGGAGGATATTGAATGTTTGAGATGATGGATATGCTAATTACCCTATTATCACTATAATTATGTATCAAAAGATGGCTACGCATCCCGTGGATATGCAGTTGTTTGCCAATTAGTAAGATTTAAGAAGTAAAGCAAGTTTGAAAGTTAAGAAATTAGCAGTTTTTATCCCTATCAAACTTATGCCAAACTTGCGACTTTCTCAGAATTTTCCATATATAGTATTCCCACCTCAAGTATCCAGAAATTGTCAGTTCTTCCTGCCACATGGGCTCATATCTGACCAATTCTCACCTCCATGCCCATGCACACCTGGACTAAGCTACCACTTTACACCTGTTTTTTTTTTGTTTTTTTTGTTTTTTTTGTTTTTTAAAAAAAGATAGTCTTGTTCAGTCACCCAGGCTGGAGTACAATGGCACGATCTTGGCTCACTAACAACCTCCACTTCCCGGATTCAGGTGATTCTCCTGCCTCAGCCTCCAGAGTAGCTGAGATTACAGGTGCCCACCACCATGCCCAGCTAATTTTTTGTATTTCTAGTAGAGAAGGGGTTTCACCATGTTGGCCAGGCTAATCTCGAACTCCTGACCCTCAGGTGATCCACCTGCCTCGGCCTCCTAAAGTGCTGGGATTATAGGCGTGAGCCACTGTACCTGGCCCACACCTGGACTTCTGCATAGTGCTTCTAACCGGTCTTTTTTCCCTTAAAATCTGTTTTCCACACAGAGCCAGTGAGATTCTTAAAATACAAGGCCTACCATTCAAAGCTCACCCATCCATTCCTATTTCAGTTAAAGCAAAAGCCAAGAAGTCTTTATGAAGGTTTGCAAAGCCTTGCCTTATCTCTACTCTTGTGACTTTATGATACACCTACTCCTACATTTGAGGACTGGCCACTTCCTCGAGATTGAGGATCCTTAGAGTGTCATGGCCACATGGTCTCCACATGCTCATGACCTATCATGATGATGGCCAAGGTCTTGAGTTTTGGATTTCCATGGACACTGTTGTGCTCATTGTACTGTACAGGAGCCCACATTTAGAAAGGCTTCCCGTCACAACCATGTTAGAAGATTGGACAATGTCCTCCTTTAGTAAGGAACTTTATAGAATGATAGTTGATTGTACCTCAGTAAAAGGCAAGTTGGTCCTCAACTTCACACACTCCAAAGCCATACCTGGGATCCTTTTCCAGAAACCTGTCGCAAAGATCATATTTTACCTTCATTTTGACATCAGTTGTCTTTCATCCACTTCAGAGGCCTTACAAACTATCTTGTGCTCTCTACTAGGAAATATATTGATAGGTAAGGTAGAAGGTCCCTCAGACACCAAGTTCAAAGCAAATCCTTCAATTTCATTTAGAAAGTAGTGAGAATACAACAGGTGATTAGTATCTACCTTCCTCAGGGTCAGGTCTCGGGCTGGGGTGTTACCACCACCCCCAGCAGCAGTTACTCTGGAAACAGAACACAGCTAAGACCTGCAGCGACCATGCAGGGGAGATTGGGAGGACTCACAAAACTGCTGATGACCCCAAAAATTGCCAACTTATGATGTGGAACAGGGATTTTCTTATGTTTTTTTTGAATGCAAGGAAAATTCCTAAGTCAGAGCCCACTTAGGAGGGAAGCATCGTTGGCTGAATACCCCAGTACTTGAAGACCAGATGCAGGAAGCCTTTCCCCATAGGTATGTGGTCAGCCGCAAGCTGCCCAAAGCCACATCGAGTACATGAACCCAGGCAGAGGCTGGAAAGGGAGGGGAACTCGGTGACCTGATAAATCAATGATTTCTGGAGTAAGAACAGAAGTCAGCTCTAGATCCGAGTGAGTGGAAAACACTTTCTGATCCAAATCTATTGTTATAGGACTGAGGCCCCCCAGGAAGGGGGAAGAACCACAGAATTTCCAGGGCTGAGGAAAAAGGTGGTTCTTCTATCTTGCAGCCAGACCTTTGTAATTGGGACCTGTTTACTCACTGGATCCCAGGTTATAGAATGAAGTTGCAAAAGAAGTTTCAGATGTTCAGATGATATAGGATACCCCACCCCCACCCCCACTCACCCCATCCCCCATAGAAATACCCAGATCAGTGCCATGATGACCACTCCCTTGTGCTGTCCTGGCAAATTCGTAAGAAGTCTGGTCATTATGACAGGTATCATGTTGACAAGAACACCTTGTGTGTTTTATAATCAGATAGCAAGTGTAATTGTGAAGAAATAAAACTTCAGGAACTCAACTACCACTTCAAGATTCTGCTACCAAGCCACCAGCAGGGCTGAGTTTAAAGACTGACATTCCCAAGTGCTGGCAGGTATGTAGACCAGCGACTTTCATACACTGAGCAAAGAAAGCAGCATTTGAGACAGTCTTGCTCTGTCACCCACCCTGGAGTGCAGTGATGTGATCTTGGCTTACTGCAACCTCCACCTCCCGGGTTCAAGCGATTCTTCTGCCTCAGCCTCTTCAGTAGCTGGGATTACAGACATGCACCACCATGCCCGGCTAATTTTTGTATTTTTTAGTAGAGATAGTGTTTCACCATGTTGGCCAGCCTGGTCTCGAACTCCCAACCTCAGGTGATCTATCCACCTCGGCCTCCCAAAGCACTGGGATTACAGGTGTGAGCCACCACGCCTGACCACATGTTCTTTTGAAAGGACATTTGAAATGCTCCCGAAGCCAATCATACAAAGCCTGTAACTCGGGGCTTTCACAGCAAGGTGTACAGACAACAGAAGAGGAAAGATGTGATTACCAGTTTCCACATCCAGTACTATGTGAGCACTAACCATGACAGTCTGTGATACCACATGTGTGTTATCTCAATAGAACAGACAAGCTCGGTGTATATTCATAGATTAGACAGCAACAGAAATAAGTAGGCAGCTGTATACAGTCTCAGAAGATGCAAGTATCTAAATGGAATCAAAGATAAAAATATGGCCATTTTTGTCACACCTGTCACTGTTGATTTGTTTTGCCTTCAGCAAGTGACTGGCAAAGGCACGGAAATGTGTCTAGTCTGCTAGTAAAATTCCATCTTTCTGGGTTTATGAGTGTTCACTTTAACATTCCCTCCATCTAACTGCATTCTGTTAGTGAAATATCCAGCAGGACCAAGTTCGTAGGTTGCTCAACTTTCAAAATAGTCCAAATCGGCAGGTCTGCCCTATTCCCACCACCTGGGGGCCTGCAGCCTGGGCCCTACAGAACAGACTGCAGACCTGGATCTCCCTCAAGGACTCAGTCATGAACATGACATAACCGCACCTGCTTTTCAGGAAGTGAGGTAGAATTCCTAAGACTCCCAAGATCTGCCCAAGTGTTTCCAAGCAGACTTCTTAACATCACACATTGCTGTTTGTTGGCTTAAAGTAATTCCGGCATTTCAGTCTTCTGGGAACTATAGACTTGTCCGCTGGCTATTTTTGCCAGAAACTGAGTGCAGATCTTTGGCAGTTTCACCATCTCAAGAAGCCATTGCCCATTGAAAGGCAAGAGTGAACATCTCTTGTGTTCATCACCCACATAGCCAGTCACCTCTGATTAACAGAACAGCATTGCTTGGGCTCAATCCTCTTTGGGCACCCTGACTATAACCAGAGGCAGAAACAAATGAGGCCCCGGACTCTGGATCCGATTAGGTCTCAAGGATGTTTTCGGTATTTGGTTCAGTTTCATCAGATGTCCCTCCAAGCTGTAGCTCAGGAAGAAATTTGTCCCTAGATTCTCAAAAGCCTTATTAGTGCTGTAAGAACAGAAAGCGCTATGCATTGGCCTGACTTCTTCCTGCCTCCTAACAGTGGCTGTGATCCTGCTGACATAAGGGAGTCGACTTCAGCCAGAACCACCCGTTTTTGTGGACCCTATGAGATCCCTGAATAGGGATGGGTAGGTGTTAGAGGATGTCAGGTGGAGCTTAGAGCTATACTATAGGTGCAGATGTAGAGAGGGGACCAGAATGCAGAGCCTTTTGGTGAAGCTGTGGGGTAGAGGTGCCGCCACCAACAACCCAAACTGGGACAATGAGGACCAGCCAATAAGTAGCTGGGAAATGACATGAAATTAAGCTAAGCATGTGTGTGGATTACCAGACCAGACAGTATTCATACCAAACCCATCAGACCCCATCCTCCCAGCAGGTCTGGGAGAGACTGAAATCTACTTGTTCAGGGGGGATTCAGATTACAAGAGTTTAGCCCCATACATCAGTAGCAATTTAATGAACAAACCATGTCACAACTACTAGTAAGAGAATAGCAGTCTGGATTGAGACCCTGGTTTTGGGAAAAGGTCAGAGCCTGTTAGGAGGTAAGATATTTTCCAAGAAGGTGGCAGGGGATCCTGCAGAACAGATAGTAGATGATGTTCTCCAGGGCAGAGATCACCCTAG
Organism: Homo sapiens; assembly: GCF_000001405.40. Taxonomy (NCBI): domain Eukaryota; kingdom Metazoa; phylum Chordata; class Mammalia; order Primates; family Hominidae; genus Homo; species Homo sapiens. The sequence goes on along the minus strand of NC_000008.11, from coordinate 139,514,842 downwards.
GGAGCAGTGTGGACCCCAACATGCTTTCTGCCATAGAGGATCCACCCTTGATGGACATGAGGGAAGTGCAACAGATGCTGGCAAGAATAGAGATGGTGTGGCCTGGCAGGATTCCTGGAGCTTGCAAGTATCCTGGGGCTATGTGTTCATCCAGTCCAGAGAGCCAGCCCTTCAGGGCCCAGCTACAAGATCCCCAGGCATATCATGACCTGATAGGCAGAAATCCCACATGTGCAAGGAGGCTGTAAATCTCAAAGGAACACAGAGGCCAGGCTGAGGGTGGAGAATCCAAGCCAGTACCAGGAAGGAGAGAGGCAGCAAAGCCTGGTATTGAGTGGAGACCTGTATGAGCCCCCTGGGATTTCAGGCTGCATGCGACTCCTTTCTCCTCAGCTCCTAGGGCTGGAGATTGGGGAGCAGAAGAAACCATGGCCCCTCTGGGAGTCAACTCAGAACCCCAGAGCCTCGTGACTTCAAAGCCTTGAGGATCCTGTGACTGTATGTAACAGGGACTCAACTTGAGTGTTGTCTCTGGAGAGGATCATGAGAGCCCGTGCAGACAGAAGTGGTCACCTTTTGCGTAAAGGAAAGGGAACTTATGACTTGAGGCATGAGTACAAGGCAACCGCCTCGTTCTGCCAGTTTTACTCCAAACCCTCAACTACATAGAGGTCACTGGTGGGAGGCTCGTTTCTCCACACTTCTGGTGTTTCTGAGCACTTCAGATCAGGACAGAGTCCTCCATCCTGAGAGGGCAAAAAGGCATTCCATTTGTGTGGAGTGAGATGGGGTCAGCACTCTTTGGAAGGACGGAATCCCAGGTTATGGTCACACGGACATTGGGGACCTTGTGTCTCCCTTCACTGCTACAGGGTTTTTAAGACTTGAGTATCCATATACACCTCTTTTGGCTTCTTTGAGTTGTCCATAATTTCACATTATCAATCCCCTTTCTCTATTAAAAAGACCCAAAAGCCATCAACGAGCCTCAAAAGATTAGAATCTGTGCTGTTGCCAAGCAAGCAGGCATGAATTGAGAGTGGTATGATGCAGCAGAGCTCGTGGGAAGAACCTTCTCTCTCACCCCCTGCAGTAATGAGGGGCTGCCCACCTCTTGCTCAAGCCTGCGAGAAGGGTGCAGATTTCCACCACACTTCCCTCCTGCGGTAACGAGGCACCCAGCAGCCCTATACACTCTGGTGCTGAGGAGACCCAGGGTGGCGTCTCCTCATCTGGGTGGGGAGGGAGATTGGTCAGAGGTGTACCACAGGAGTTTATGTTCAGATGCACAGCACTTTCACAGGTCGCTGGCCAAGTGTCAATTAGGTTAACAGGTGGACTGCATGCAAAGACAGGACCTATTAGTAAAACCCAAAGTTTTATAATATTCATCCTAGGTTTACCCATGGTACCAAGATCCAGAAAACATTTCAGTTTGAATAAGAATCAGATGTGAGCACTGAGAAGACACTAATATCAGGATTAAAGGATTTAGAAAATAATCCAACAAGCAATTGTGAATACTTCCAACAAGTGGAATATTAAAAAGAAATAAACAATGGAAATTTCAGGATTGAGTTATACATGTAAGGTTTAAAACTCGCTGGATGCGCAAGGTAGCGGGAAGGCGATGATAGAGGAGAAAGTCAAGGAATTTGAAGGTATATTCATGAAAGTGACAAGATCTGGAGAGAAAATAGACTAGCAGAACTGTGGAACCAGGACCCACTCCCGAATGATCAGTGTGCTCCCAATTCCAGAAACAGGAAATTGAGCCAGCCTTGGGCTTCTAGGTGGTTTTCGGTACTATTTTCACAGTAAATTCAGGCCTCCCAGAGATATTCGTGGAGCAGACCACCTGGAAGACTTCCTTCAGGACACTCCACGAGACTGGTCAAGGTCAGGGAGAAAAATCTCAGGGGATACGATGTATGTAAGGAGCTCTGGCATCCCATGGAAGCTCTGTAACTCCAAAGCTTTGAAGTAGACGGACCTAAATGGACCTCCTAGCCACTGTCCTGCCTCTACCCTGAGGGAGATAGGAGCAGTGCCAGGCAGAACAGCCACCTCCTTGGAAGCTGAGGGAGTCAGGGGAGGCCTCCAGAGGTCGACCTGATCACTAACATCTCCAGGCAAGTGCTTGTTCCAAGCAGCTCTTGCTCATGGAGCCAATTCCCCTGGGTAATGAGAACAGTTTTTACCCCAGGCCAGGACACACCATTGCTGGGGACATGTTCTTTCTGGTCAGAGCTCTGTCCTGCTGGCTTCTTAACATAGACAAAGCATCCTGCCTTTAGTATCAGGCATGTGCTTCAGACATGCAACGAGGGTTCTGAGGTAGGAGCGTACCCAGGGTCACTGCTAGGTACTGTGATCTGGAACTTGTCAGGACAGCCTATTAAGAATGAGAGGTGAGCTGCTGCTTTTGCACTAAATGTTGAGACATTTCTTGGTAGGCTGAGACTTGGAGGGCATCTAACACTTGGGGAGTCCACTCAGATCCACTAACCAGGTTATTCTTACAACTGCTATTATGGGTTTGACACAGCAAGAGAAACGCTTTGCCATGTCCAGACTGCCATTCCTCAAGTCCTGTGTCTCAGCAGGTATGCCAGTGGGAGTCTGTGGCAGAGGCTACATGCAGCTACTGGTAAGCCCAGATTGAATGACAACATGGGTTCCAGGAAATGGGTGAGCTGTGCTTGTTTCTGCCAGTAAGTGCTCTACATTTAGAAATTAACTCCTGGTTTCTTTCAGGGTCTTGGTAGCAATAAACACCTAAAAGACTATCAGATGCTGAAGAGTCCCAGTGGCTGAACTTTGGCCCACAAGCTGGATGCCACCTGATGTACCAGGCCAAAAAAAATCGTATTGCACAGTAAAATGCTAATACAGTACAGAGCTGGCTCAGGTCTGGAAGGCTCCAGGAAACTTCAACAGCAGGAAGTTCAGGCATCCTTGGTGCCTGCTCCCAAGACTGAGCTTCACCCTCACCCTCAACTCATGCCACACACAGCTGATGTGAAGGGAGTATCCTGCCAGACAACATTGCTTTAGGTTTATTCATTTCATATTCACATGCTGTTTGTGTCTAGGGGTAGCTATAACATTGATCTGTTTGGGGGAACAACAGAGCATCTTTGTTTTCTAAAGATAAGTCACTGTTAAGGCATCTTTCCTTCCATGTACCCTGGGTTTGCTTGTGAACCACTACTTAAGGCCCAAGATGAGAGGTTTATAGCCTCAAAATAAGAGGCCAGGAGAGGTAATTTTGTAACCTCAGTGATATCCCAACCAACAGGATGTGCCCAATGTCACAGGCACCCAGGTCTTGATCCCCCCCAAATATCAAGTCCTGAGCCCACATATCCAGACTGGGATCCTACCGGGAATTTGAAGTTGGGATATCACAACCTCTGCAGTGACGGAATTGGGAGTCAGCCATGGCTTCCCTATCTAGTTTGGTATTAGGGGATGGTGACTTTGTAGGCATCAGTGAGAAGCTAAACAGTTTGAGACAACACAGTCTGCCTTCATTATTCCAAACAGGGCCTCCGTGACAACGAGGCTGTTTGATGCCATCATCTCCCCAGTATAGTAACTTGGGCTGAGCTACCTAAGCCTCTTTAGTATGGGAGGAAAATAAGACACTCATCCTGGAAACACCACCCTAAGGATTATCCAGAAACCTAAGGCATCTGTCCTTCCTTGCAGCCACATCACTGCAGTGATCAATAGTCACAATGCAAGTGTAGCTTCACAACATTGAGGCATCAAAGGAGATCTGACAGGAAACACGTGGCCCCCTTGAACTCAGTGATTCAAGGAGAGACCATGCAGAATGGGAATCTCCTTTGGCAACATCCTCGAAGACACACCCAGAAACAATAATTTACATCCTTCAATCCAAGCTGACAGGATGTGAGCCTGTCAGGCCCACAAGGGAATGCAGCCTAGGCGGCTTTGTGATCCTGAGCAGGAGAGCTCAGACTTTAGTGGGCATCAGACTCTTCTGGAGGAGCTTGTTCAGGCACCGGTTGCTAGGTTACCCCCTGGAATTTCTGCTCTCGTAGTTGGTGGCGGGGGTGGGTAGAGGGGGTGGTAGGAGAAACAAGAACTCATGTTTCCAGTAAGTTTCCAGGTAATTGATGGTCCAGGAAACATACTGAGGACTGCTGGCATACAGGTTAGCAATCCCAGGACAAACAACAGGAGCTATTTACAGACTTTGGGTGTTAGAAGAGATGCTTGGAGATGGATTTTGGGATACTAAGAGACAACCACCTTGACACCGCAGCCACCTTCAGTTGAACACAGGCAGCTCAAGATGACCTTTGATGGGGGCTGTCATGCACACTGCTGTCTTTGTCCCTCCTTTGTCTCACGTGGAGCTTCTCATTGTCCAAACACAATGAGAGGCTGTGACGGTTAATGTTGTCAACTTGATTGAAGGATGGAAAGTATTGTTTCTGGGTGTGTCTGCGGGTGTTGCCAAAGGAGATTAAACATTTCAGTCAGTAGGCTGGGAGAGGCAGACCCACCCTCAACCGGGGTGGGCACCATCTAATCAGTTACCAGCATGGCTAGGATAAAAGCAGGCAGAGGAACGTGGAAGGACTAGACAGGCTGAGCCCTCCAGCCTTCATCTTTCTCCTGTGCTGGATGCTTCCTGCCCTTGAACATCTGACTCCAAGTTCTTCAGCTTTTAGACTCTTGGATTTACACCAGTAGCTTGCCAGGGGCTCTGAAGCCTTGGGCTACAGACTGAAGGGAGCATTGTTAGCTTCCCCCGTTTTGAGGTTTTGGGACTCAGACTGACATCCTTGCTCCTCAGCTTGCAGCAGATGGCCTATTGTGGGACTTTACCTTGTGATCATGGGAGTCAGTTCTAATAAGGTTCCTGTTATATGTACATCTATCCTATTAATCCTGTCCCTCTACAGAACCCTAATACAGAGGCCAAAGAACATGGAAGAGTGAGGTGTTCAGCCTTTAGGGACCGCAGATGTGTGTGTGGTCGGGTGGCCATGGAGACAGCAGGCAAAGAAAAGTTACCTGCCCAAGGAGATTGATCTCAGGGGTGGTTTCCAGCTACCAGTTTTAGATGAGCTGCTGCCCTCTGTGTTCAAGTTCCCACACTTATTCTCCATGTCCAAGCCCATCTCACAGAAAGCCTCATGTATTCTTGGTGCAAGATCTCTGTACCAGGAGGTTGGTCCCCAGGGGAGGTCTCCATCCCTCAGAGTACCTTCAAGGAAGTAGGAGTGAGTGGCTCTAGGGCATTTTCTCCTGGCTCACTTTAGGGGCTCTCACAGCTTAGGCCTTATAGCTACTATAGGTCCCCAGTTGACCACAAGACAAACCCCACCTGCTACCCTTTGTCAAGGGCTCTTGAACTTGAAGGCCTTTACTTCACTCACATGATGTATGTTGACTTTTGTCAGGCTGCTAAGGCTGGGTTACTGTGTGGTCACAAAGGCTGTGCTTGGACCCATACCTATCCTGGTGACAATCCAGAGGGTGATAAATACCCTTTGCTTCCTGGAAGGTCCTATGGACTTGCCCAGGCTGAAGTTCAAGAACCTCATCTTTTGATCTGACCACCCTATTCCTTCTGTGTCCTCAAAAGTGGGCCTCGATATGTTACCGGTTTTTATTCCTGCCTTAAGGCCTCTAGAGCTTCCCTTGGTGTCTCAAGTTCACTCACACAGGCTTTAACGAGTACATTCACAATATGAGCTACAAGCAGCAGCATGGTAATGTATGTGGCTTTTATTTTCTCATGGCTGTGGATTTCAATCCACTTCTATGGTTTCAAACTTTTGCATGTTCAACAATCTCTGGTCTGATTTGAACTGAGATCTCCGAAAGCTGGGAAAGACTGGACTAGTCCATGGGCTTGCACCCCAGGACTCTGGGAAACATGTCCAGATTGCTCTGTGCTGCAGCACAGAGCACTTGTTCCGAGAGACAAGAACAGCACCATCACCAGCAGGGTGAGGGGCTAGAGAAGTTGTGGGAGCAGCTCCAGGATGAGGCCCCCAGGTCAGTGGTCAGTGGCCAGCTGCTGCAGGAGCAGAGGCAGCATGAGACACAGGAGGCGCTGGCCCTGAGACTGGAGAAGAATCCTGCTGCTGCGGACCCTAAGTCCCGTTTCATGATTTCAGACTTCTGCTTATTCAACAGTGTCCGGCTAGATTTGAATCCTAATCATGTGGGCAACAGATCTCTGTTGAATCTGTGCACAGGCAATAGGACTCAACCAGCTTGAACCTGACAAGAGTGAGTTCAAGGAGCTTCCTGCTGGACTTGTGTGCATGCTGTGTGGGGATACGTCATCTGGGGAGGCCCCTCAATGCCCCTCAGGTGAGGTGGGGGCTGGTAGGGGGCTTTTTAGATTTCAGCCTTTGACTTAGGTTCAGATTCAAATGAAACATAGATTTGACCCTCTCATGTCAACTTGGAACATAGGCAGCTTTAGACTCCCACCCCAGGGCACACCCAGAGCACGGCTTCACCCTAAACAGGGGCTGGATCTTGAGGTGAACTGAAATGCCACATGCCATTTAGTTTGATCTTGACTGCCCAGTGCTGGTGCTCTGAAGCCCCAGGAACAGAGACTAGCCCAGCTGCAACACCAGAGTGGGTAGGCCTTTGTCCTTGGTCAATGACACTTCTCACTAAGTGTGGTTACTAACACCGAATTTCCCTTTCAATTTTTCTGAGTTTTCTATGGGCCTCTGATATGGCACGTTCTACCCCACCTTCCAGGCAGTCTGTTGCCTCCCTCCCTCCCAAGGTTATACAGTCTCCCCCCAGGACAAAGACCCTTCAGAGTTCCTCTAGTTCTCTCAGCTCAGCTTCCCTAGAGTCCTTGCCAGTGCCACTTGTCACCATGAAGCCATACTCCATAGGTATGTTTCTGTAGTCTCTGGAGAACCGTGTCCGTTTCTGGTCTGTATGCACCAAGTCTTTTCTGAAACTCAAGATCTAACCATCTTGGAAATTCTAAGGCCTCCACCATGCTGTTAGCTCTAGATTGTCATTAAGGAGCTAAGAGGCACAATCCCTGTGACCTTGCCAAAGATATCCATGGTTCTTACAAATAGGACCTTCCCAAGTAGGATGCTAGAATGTAGAAGACACAGTAACACCAAAACCCTCTCAGCAAACACAGGGTGGGGTCAAAGGCCAAATACGACACAATAGGTCCAAAGGAGGCTTTCCCAGATTAGACATGACTGGGAGGGGTCCAAGCTCAGGGATCCCGATTTGAGTCTTGTTATATTTGATTCTGGCATAAAAACTCTGGTTATCTTTTGGGTTCAGACTTCTGTTCAACTGAAAGTTAGCCTCATAGCAACTTTGTCTCCAGTATTAATTGTTTTCCTTCATTTGGAGTTAGGACAGTGTTGGTATTTAACAGGACTTGAATACCTAAGCCCTGTTAGAAGTGAGGAAAGGAGAAACCCCACTTCCATGTCGTGAACCAGCTCAGATGAGGAATTCTGGCATAAGAACCATCTTTTCTAGATGTGTTGCCCATTTCTAGATTCTTATCTTCAGCACCTGTTATACTTTAATTGGGGAGATCAGAGTTCATTCAAGTCAACTGGCTTTAAAAATAAAGTCTGGTAAGCAGAAGAGTCACATTTTTATGATGACCAAGAACAAATTTTGTGTAAAGAAAATGGATCTAGAGCTCCAGGGTCTACTCTAACCACAGAAGTCAGTAGACGAGAAAGGTGGAAAATAATCCTATGAAGTGTCATACCGAAGAGTAGGAATCAGACAAATGTTAAGATGCCTGGCCTTGATACTTCCTGCCTGGCCTCTTATCGCCTAGGACACACATCTGAGATGCCCCAAGACACTTTACTGAGTTCTTTGGGACTCTGGGCTTCCTTTTGGCAGAGTTGCCAAACTCTCAAACTCCTGGGAGCTCCCAGGATTCGGGGAAAGAGAAACTTGGCTGCTACTCTAGGGCATGGCATCTGCTCATGGCCAGCCTCTTCTGTAGTATTTCTTCCCATGCTCCCAATGTCACAGGAATGAGAACTTTATCTTCTTAACCACCTTTTGCATGTATGCTCCAAACTCCTGGGTCATCCTTCGTTCCTGGACTACACATTAGCACCTCATTCTCTCCTCTCCTCAGCACTGTCTGTCACAATTAGGTCAACACATATGTTAATGTGGCCAGAAGTCTGCCTCATTATCCTGACTTTACTTCCAAAACCTTTCCTTCCATTCCACACAAGAGCCCAAGTCAATTCCCGTGGTTACTGGCAGGTCCCATTCTTGACCTTTTAGATGAACTACCTTCAAAGTTTTGACTTCAGTCATCCAGTGAGTGTCATTCCATACCACTTAACTCTTGGTCAGTGAGGACCCTCATTCAGGGTGAAGGCTAATTTTCACTTATTTTATAGCTAATTACCACTCCCCAACCCACCTCTCCCCACTCCTTCTCAACTCAGTGTGGCGGCTATCCTTCCCATCACTATTTACTTGAAGACTCAACTTTTTTTTCTCTCCATTAGTTTAGTTGGCATAAGAAATTCATTCTTTACTGCTGTCTGGAGTGGAATTTGTATACAGTTTGAAATAGAATTTTAAAAGCCAGCAACAGCAGTTCGACCATTTCCTTTTATGCATGTCAAACTTACACCTATACGTTCTCCCCAAACCTCTCCCATACAGGCTTCCTACTTCAAGTATACAGAAGTTTCCATCCTTCAACATGGGCTCAGACCTGATCAGTTGTCACCTCCACATCCACACACACCTAGTCTAAGCTGTCACTTGACTTTTTGCATGATGCTCCCAAGTGGTTTCTCTTCCCCTACAAGCTGTTTTCCGTGCAGAGCCAATGAGATCCTTAAGAAAATAAGGACTACAATTCAAAGCTCACCAGTACATTTCCATTTCACTCAAAGTAGAAGCCCAAGTCTTATGAAGGTCTATGAAGCCTTGCCTTCTCCCCATTCTTTGGCCTCACGACACACCTACTTTGGTATCTATGCAGTCTATCGCTGTTCTCTAGGATAAATTCTGCTGGCTGGCAGGGACGTGCTTGTTTTGCTAGCCACACTACAGCTGCAGATATTTCAATATTTAGAGTAGCATCCATATGCTGTAGGTCAACATCACCTCATTCAGTTGTATGTTCAGCAGAATTCTATTGCATTAGGGTTCAATGAACAACAACTTACCACTCAGATAAAGGAAGAAAATAAGTAGGTCAAAGGGAGACTCTGGTAGCTTTAATTTGCTCATTTACTGAACAGCATGTTTCTGTGGTGCAGCATCACATCCAGGAAGTAACACATCCAGGAAGTAACCCACCCCAGTATGGCTATAGGAGTATTGAGCTGAGACCCACAAACCACACCAGAACCAGCTTGGGGAGGTAGGCAGAGCCACATACTCCCAGTTATCAGGAGGCCCTGGCTCCTGCTTCCCAGGGACAAGCCTGTGGAAGGTTCCACCTCATCAGGCTTCCCGGAGCTCCAGTGCTGGCACCTAGGACAGGAGTCATCTTACTTCTTGGCACAGGGGCTGGCCACCAGGCTTAGGAGGCAGCTTTGAATGTGTTATCTTCTGTGCAGTACCCACTCTCCAAGACCAAGATGGCACCAACAGGCTTGGAGCCAGGATCTCGTCCCATTTCACTGGGGCTCCTTTACCAGGCCAAGTTCCCATGAGATGCGCTGGTGCACCCATCTCTGCACTTCCAAGCCCATTTCCTGGGGACATATAGACTGTGGCCCAAGTGGTCTGCAGGCTTTATGAGGTGGTTATTTTTCATTTCTGCAGCTCTCTGCCCTGGCTTTCTTAAGGAGCACACAGCTTCAGGTAACCAGAGAGCCACAAATGCAGTTTCCTTGCCCATGTAGAACACAGGGGGTCAGTTCTGCTCAGGAGATAGGGGCAAGATTAGAAGTCATTTTCTGGGGTTCTTCCGTGGTAAGATAGAAAGTTACACTGCAACCCAGTATGTTAGGGCATCACCAAGGAGTCCTTTGCTTTCCATCTCAACATTGCTTTGCATCCTTGTCTTAACACGTTGGGAAGGACATGAGAACAGGGTTTGCCATTACCTTGTTCTACAGGGAGCAATCATTGTTCTATCTCTGGTGTTCTTAGTGAGTGACTGTCACCCCCCGATACCTTCCCACTCATTCTTAGAGGGCCTGGGGAGATGCTCAGGCAGGGGTGCTGTCACCACCCTTGGCAACAGTTACCCTGGAAATAGGTGACATGACCACCACTACCAGCAGCCATGCCGAGGAGCCTGGGGGGACCCCCCAAAGTTCCTGATGCTCTGCAAGTGTTACCTTATGTGGGATGAGGATTTTCTTAGGGATTGTCTAAGAAGTCAGTCAGAGCCCACCTTAGGAAGGGAGCCTCATCTGCCAGTTGCTTCCACTCTAGAACATTGGATGATGGAAGACTTCCAACCCAGCTGTGTTGTCAGCCTCAAGGTGCCCAAGGCCACACCAAGCATGTGGAACCACACAGGGACAGGGAAGAGGGGCCCTCAATGACCCAGCAACAAATATGGCTTCCTGGGAAGGGACAAAAATTTGCTATAGATACAAGTGAGTGAAGAACCCCCGTTGTAACCTAAGTCTACAGTTATACAACCAAGACCTGTGGGAATAGGTAAGAACAAACCCACAGCATTTTGAGCTGGGGGAAGATGTTCTTCCATCTTGCAGCCAGAATGGAAGTCTTTATTTACTCATTTACCCTCTGGGTCCCAGGTTCTAGAAGGAAGAGGGAACACGTTTATGAACTGATGTGCCACCATTCCCTACGTACCCCATCCCTCATAAATGATTGTTGCCATAGTGACCACTCCTTGTACTGTCCTAGCAAACAGTCACAGAATGTATTGGTCGGTGCAAAAGTAATTGGTTTTTGGCACTGAGTGATGTCAAAACCTGCGATTAACTTTTGCAGCAATCTAATAAGTCTGATCATGAGATGTTGTCTCATGTCAATACTGTGCATATTTGATATGCAGCAGGATAACTTAATACATTTAGTAATTCAGAAGGCTACTATGAGAAGCTGCTCCTGAGCCACCACCAGGGCTGAAGTTAGTGACTGAATTATGAAGCACTGAATATGAACAGCAACTGCAACTCTCATACCAGGAACATAGTATGACATTGTGGATGACTGCTTGGTGTGTGCCCCAAAGCCAACTGTGGTCTGACCCAGAGATTTCACTGCAGAGCATATACACAGCAGGAAAACATATGTATGTGTGCTAGTTCACATCCAGAGTTATGAGAGCACCAACTGTAACAGTCAAAGCTACCACCTAAATATAGTTCAACAGTAGGATCAGCTGGAGTATATGCAGATAGGATACTAAATAGGGAGAAACTACTGCTACATACAACATACAAAAGTCAGGAGAGTTAATAGAAATACACAGAATGAGGAGGTACAGATCAGAGCCATTTGTCATTGTCATTACATTTGGCCATAGTGACTTGAAGAGAAAGCATGTAGTTTTTGCTGGTAGAACTCATTTTCCTGGGTCGTGGTGTCACGGATATGTTCATTGTGACATTCCTTCAATCTACCTTCTTAGTAAAATAACTAAGGATAGACAGGCTGGTGAATTTTCTGAACAGTCCAAGTTGGCAAGTCTGCCCCATTCTCAGTAGTTGGAGTCTTAAAGGCTAGGTCCTAGAGACTGTGGCTGCAGATTTTCCCAAAACCCCCTTGATCACCATGCACATGACCCTTGACTTGGCCTGCTTCTAGGAAGCGTGGTAGAATTCCTAAGTATCCCAGATTTGCCAGAATGACTGTATTAAGGACTCATAACAGAATGAGGGTGCCACCAGAGAGGGCACAGCCATTAGCAGTCTTGGGGTTTAGGGCTTCATAGCTATCAGAGGATGCCAAGATAATCGTTTTCCAACACAAGATCCTGGATTCTACTCCAGTCTGACCCCTCACTGTTTTCTGGAAGGCTTCCATTTAGTGCCCCCCAGCTTTATGAAAGTACATACTATTAAAAAGCTGGCAGATCAAACTTTTGCCATCCCAATCAGTCACATATACCAGTGTTACTTGCCAAGCATACACAGGCTAAGTTCCTACACTGGGCCTTGCTCCCCACAGTCCCCCTGGTTTGGGGAGAGGCTTAGGGCAGGCTGATGTGCTGTGGGTCCTGCTCTTCTCAGCAGCTCATTCACTATGTTGAGAGCCCTGCAAAGCTTTGTCTGACCCCTTGGAACATGATCCCTTAACTCAGGGCTGCCTCAGTCACCAGGCATAGATTTCAGATCTGATGAAAAGGGTGGTAGGGTTGGGGCCTGAAGGGGATAATGCCCTGAAGGAGTGGCCACTGTACCCAAGAGGGACTCACAGCAGTGCAGCATTGCCTGATTAAAGCCCAACAGGAAGGGGTCACCATCTTTGCCCTCAAGCCCCTCCTTACCATTAGCTTTGCATAGTTGCTTAAGTCCCTGAGGCATCAATAAGTCAGCGGAACAATGGGAAACTAAAAAGTAATGCCTTACTCTCATTCTAAACAGCAGAGTGAGATGGAATCGCAGACATGCAGATGGTGTAGGGGAGTTGAACTCCATTTAGAATCACCTGCATTTGAAACACCTATGAGACTCCCAATAGGGACAGGTAGCAGGTATTGGAGGATGCCCAGTTGAAGTTTAGAAGCTCTACTAGAGGTGCAGACAGGAAGAGGGAACAGGAGCACAGATACCAGATGAAGCCGTGGGGTACAGGTGTCCCCAAAGCAGCCTCAGCTGGGGCGATGAGGACCAGCCAAGGAACAGCTCGCAAGGGAGACAAGATAACCAGGTGCATGTGGACCACCAGACCCTGGAATGTTCAGACCAGAGCCTTCTCAGACCACATCCTCATGGCAGAGAGACTTAGAATCTACTTTCCTCAGGAGGCGTTCAGATGAACTACGAGTTTTCAGATCCCAGCAGGGCAGAGAGATCCGATGAGCACTCCATATCATCACAACTACTAGCAAGGGATCATTTTCGGTACTGAGGTCCTGATCTTGGAAGATCAGGGCCTGTCAGGAGGTAGCAGAGTTCCCAGAGCGAGACAAGGGATGCTATAGAACAGAGAAGATGCTTTTCTCCAGGATGGAGAGAGCCCCAAGAGTGATGTGGACTCCAACGTACCTTCAAACTAAGAAGCCCTGGAGGGCCCACGAGGGAAGAGTAAGTGATGCTGGCCAAAGGAAAGATGGTGTGGCCTGGCAGGATTCCAGACACTCCCAGGTGTGGGGACAGGCACTGTGTGTTCACCCAACCCAGGGAGCCAGCCTTGAGGGGCCCAGACATGGGAAGACTTCCCTGAATATCGTGACATGTGTGACCTGGGACCTTATTGACAACACCAGGCAGTTTTTCCCCTAGGCTGATGGGGAGCTTTCAGGCAAGAGGCAGAGAGAAGCCGAGTCTTCAAGCACTAACATCCTCTGGGTCTCTTGGGTCTCAAGCTGTGAGTCTTGTCTCCTCATCCCCTGATGTCCTGGGGCTAGAAACTGCAGCTCCTGCAAGAGCCACTCAGGAGCTTTGTGGGCCGAGATCAAGCCTTGTGGATCCTGACAGCATTTGGCAAAGACTCATCCAAGTTCTACCTCTGGAGGTGGTGAGGATCATGCAGGCAGTGGTCCCCTCCTTTTGTGCCAGGGGATGATCTAGGACCCAAGGCTTGAGCACGAGGCTGCAGTCCTGTTCTGCCATGGGTTTATTCCCAAGTCATCAGCACAGACAGGTCACCCACCCCTGGAAACGATATCTTCATACCCCTGGGTCTGATTTAGATCAGGACCCAGACCTCAATCCTGGAAGGGGGAAAACATTGTATTGAGTGACATGGGGTCAGCATCATTTGCAAAGACAAAGCTACTGGGTCATAGTAGGAATGAGACCTTCCTCCTCCTCCATTCACAACCATGGAATTTAAGGACTCTTGAGATGAATATATGCAAACACTAATTTTGGCTTCTTCAGGTGGTCTAGTAATTTAAGTCAATATTGGCCACCTCTTCTCCAAAAAACCATCTATGATTCCTGATGGGAACCCCAAGCTATACTTGTTATGCTAGGGATAGAGGAATCAGAGATGGCAGATCCACTTTCCCTTTTAATGTTCTCAGTCTCACTCCCTAGACCTCTGGGTTTTTAGAACTTATTAGTGTTGATAACACAAAGCTCTGGAGACAGTATATTTGACCACGTTAGCCTGGCCACTTTCCTGGGAGTTCTCTTCCGTTGATATCCATTCTTTGGCTCAGAATTCACAGGAGTATAAGCTAGTTCGATGAGCTTGTTTATACTCCAACCATTTGGCCATAAGCAGTTTGGTTTTGGTACGGTCTTAACAATTGGATACTTTAATCTTAATTCGCAGCTCTCAAGGGGGCTCCAGAAGTCAGGAACCTGAGGGAGGACTAAACAGTCAAAGATTGCTTTCAGGGTTATTTCACTGCCCATCCCAGAGGTGCATCCCAATACTACATAGGAAGATGCACCCATGATAGAGCCTTGTTTTCAAAGCTGTCCTGTGAGCACACCAGAGATCTACTGGGGAGATGATTACTTTTGATACCTTGAAAGTGAGCCTTCAAGGGAGGGCACCATCACATTATTCCCAAAGTCAGTGATCTTCTGTCACTAGAGAAGACAGAGAAGCTGAGGTACCACTTTGTAGTTCAGATGACATAGGCATGCTTCCTGGTTGTTAGAGGAAAGAATCAGGAGATACCAGTGTACTATTTAGGTCAAGAGGTGATAGCTCTTTTGGCAGCCCACCTGACAAGTAGAGAGACCATCTATCTGGCATGTTAATACATAAGCCACCAGGCCCTGCAGCTCATTTCTAGAAGCTACAAGCAGAGACAAGTGTTTCAGTGACCCCCTAACCTTCAGGCACAACCAGAACCGATGATGCCATCAGACCTGTTCCTAACTTCACTAGGAACAGTGAAAACCTCCTAGCCATGTTTTTGAAGTTTATGTGACTGCGATTCTGTGGTTCTTGTTCCACACACAGTAATCTCACACTAACTTCAAGTTTACTGGAGTAAAGGAAGGGGGAGCACTGGAGACCAGGACTTCTAGGGCCCCCCTCTGGGTCCCCCACATTTTGCAGTTGTATGCCAGCCATAACATTTGCACACAAAAGGTGCCCGACATTTAGGGCAGCACCTGGATGTCCCACTTCACTACAAGAAGTGAGATGCTGATCCATCCACAGGAATGCTCTCAGCTGGATGCCATGTCATCCAAGAC
Source organism: Homo sapiens (assembly GCF_000001405.40). NCBI lineage: Eukaryota > Metazoa > Chordata > Mammalia > Primates > Hominidae > Homo > Homo sapiens. Next base: position 139,499,534 of record NC_000008.11, on the reverse strand, counting down.
CCAGGTTAAATGCCCATGAGAATCCCGTCATCCTAACCCTCCGTCACTGAGATTCACAGCTGGTATACACATTTCAAATGGCCTGGTTTCTAGACTTTGACATCAGGATTTTGTGCTACAGAAAAGGCCATTGGTCCAGGCCCAGATACCCCTGGCATTCTGTCTCTCTAGCTCAGCAAGGCAACACTCCGGATTTAGAGTTTGTTTACTTCAAGGCAGTTGCCTTCCTGGGCTAGGTGCCAAGCACCAAAGTGCAATTAACCTGAAGTTCAGTTTCCTTAGTCAACTTCTATGGTTTTATACCAGTGTTATGTTTAGCTGTGAACACTACAGGGATACTTGTTCTTGGATCAGAAATATGGGAAAGATCCCACCCACACAAGAACAGCGAGTGTGGAAGGTGAAAGCCAGCTATCACCTGCATGTGTTATGAGCCCCAGTCAGCTTCACTGGGCAGGGAACGAGGCAGCAGGATCTGGCTGCCTGTCACAGCCACTCAGGTTCCATGGCTCACCAAGTGGAGTTAGGACCAGCAAGGAGAAACTTAGAAGCTCCAGGTTCGGTGGCCTCCTTTAGACTTCAGTTAAGCTTCCAATTCTCTGACTACACACACAGATGGGGCAAGGATACCCATATTTGGGAGCTTCAGCACAAACCCTTGCTTTCCGATAGGCCCCCCGCTTCTTACAAGGCTAACCCCCTATGATCAGCAGCTGGCAACCTCTTTGCAGACCAATGGCTCACTTCATTATCTCATGCATCTTACTCCCAAGCCCATCGCCAATGTTTGGTAGTGTTTAGTCCAATTTTCGATAGCTCTTGTGAGCTTAATACAAGTGAAATCCATCCTAGCTGCTGGGCTAGGCTCAAGCTCAGGGTCATAAGGCATGAAGCAGCAACTCTGAAGGTTTGGAGAATGTCTTAGGATAGCCTCCCAATGCATCTAAGTCATCACCAAAACCAGATGTGGGGCATGGTCAAGAGAAAGTAAAACAGTTCAGCATGAACTTGAGGTAAACCCAAACCCACGGTGATCCAAGCCAATTCTAAGGGGGCCTGCTTGAAGTGCGAGGATTGCTCAGTGTAGTCCATTTAGCTTCTGGCTTGGACCTTAGTTTTGGAGGACAAGATCCTCCCAAGCAGCATGGTTTAGGCATGTTTTAGTTCCCCTAATGCCCGACATCAGAATGATTCCCAACTCGAGAGCAACAGCTGCCCCTAGAAGAGTGGATTCTAGTTCAGGGCAGAAACTGCTGTTATGCTGCCCTTAACAAAGCTGTGTACCTCCCCCAGCTCCGATCCTTTCACTCAAGACTCTTAGAAGCCCTGAGTCAAGGTACTCTAAATATGCTTATAAGTCTGACAAGACCCACTGTTTAGATGACAGATGTTTAAGAACAGTTAATTCTTACATCCTCAAGAGTCCCTCACTAAGGGAGAGGCACAGAAGGCTCATGGAGATGGTAGCCTCAGGAGTTTCTCCCCACCTGAACCCACAGGTGCAGGCTTTTAAACCAGGAGTTATGAGCTTCGTCTCCCAGGAAGTGAGATGAGTCTGTCCTCCGAGAACCTAGCACCTCCAAATGCAAACACAGGACCATCCAGAGCTACCAGGATGACATCCTGGTGTTATGAGCCCCAGATGTTAGGAGGACACCAGAGCCAGAACCCTGCAGGGATGACATCCAAGTGGCCCAAGCCCAGACATCACAAGGTGATGCAGAGCTCACTAGTGAGGTTGGCCTCCTGGCTACACACTCGGTGAGTTTACTGACATTTACACATTTGATTGCGGCAAGATTTGGGGCACAAGATGGCCAAGATCATAAGGCTATGGACTTTGATATAAGAGGGTTAACCCAAATACTTTCTACTCAACATCCCATAAGGGACTATAGATGTGCCAAGTTAAAAGGAGAAGCAGCTACAGATCTGCATGTTTTTACATGTATCCCAGAATTGCAGAAAAAAGAGGCCGCTTAGACTGTTGTAGTCTTCATGTCATTACTTCACTGGAGGAATTGTCACCCACTGACATAGGGCCTCATACTGTATTTTGCCCAGAAAAAAATCCCTAAAGGAGATTCTTTCCAGCATAGAGGGGATGGCAGACTGCAGAAGGCAGACCAGAAAGACAGGCTTGTGACTAATAGAGGGATTTTTAGTGGCTTCTTGTCGTTAAGCACATACGCATTGACTTGCAGCGTTTTCTGCACCTTAAGGTGACTTCAGAATGTATCAATGTTTATGGCAAATTGCAAAGGCTAGGCAACACCCCACATTGTTAATCTGCACTCTAGGATGAATGCTTAGAAGCCATTTTCTAGTCTGCGTTTCCAAGTTCTCCAGAAGGAGCACTAGCTCCATCTGCATTCAGAATGGGCTGCATCTGTTGGCTGTTTGCAGTAGCGTTTGGGAGCTGCCCCAAGCAGTCCAGTTAGCACCTCACTTCCAGGTTCAGGGTCCATTCCTGTGTCTGCAGAAGTCATTCAGCTCGTATCCCCCAACATCAGGCATACTTCAATGGAGCTGGGAAAGCCTCAAATGATTCTCAGATGAGGGCAACTTAACATCAGTGTAGTTAAGCCCAGGTTTGGGGTTAGAAGTCAAGCTACAGCTGAAGTCACTTAGCTCCCATCAGGGAATAAGTCAGTGGGCTTAACAAAACTGGCTCCAAATCCCTTACCTACCAGTAAATAGTTTTGGGAAAGTTTCAACAGATAGGATACTTCCCTTTTAAGGTATGGGTAACATGTACTCTTAACCTCATTTGTGTGAGAATAAGTATGGAAATATGTCACAATGAAATCGTGAAACATCAGGGTTACTTCTACCTTGTTGACTCAAGTGTTGGCCACAGATGCATCGCGATTGTTAGAGCACATTAAACCCCTCCTGGGCTGGGGGGAGGGGAAGTCCCGGTATTCTAAGACAGTCTTCATGGAAGATTGACTTCTACCAAGCCTACAAGTTCTGTGGCTCATTTTGTAAGGTCTCGTACCCAGACAGCACCCCACGCAACAGAAAGAAGCATAGCCACGCTTTGCAAGTTAGGGTTTCCTAGCAGCCAGGAGTGGCCACTCCGTTCTGGCTCTTCATTCCAGGAGTATGTGGTTTAATCTAATTATCAGAGGCCTAAGGAGAGGAACCTGTTTTTAGTCACTCGCTGCTGGAGAAACAGCCAGTATCCTGAACCCCAGGCAGAGTTTGTGAAGACTTCTTTGGACATCTCAGTACTACTGGGCACTATCTCGCTCTAGGGTCTTATGGGCCAAGTGACTAAGCTGCTGGCTTAGAGAATGAGGCTGGATGTTCTTGACTGGACAATTCAGGTCTACATGAGGATTCTGTCTAGGTAGCCACGTGAACCACCACCAAGAGAGGTGCTGGATGAAGTGGCACCTAGAAGACAGCACCCAGTTCTCAGGGACCCTGGAACGACAGCTGCTACCCTTATTTTTCAAGAGAGGCAAGAGTAGTTTCATAGTTTTGGATCTCCAGCTAGCCTTTTTAGTAACCCCATCACTCTCCCTCTGATGAGGTGTTAGCAGGGTCGGGCTGGCCCTGATTCTCACGGAAGGCAGGCAATAACTTAACTTTACTGCAGGGCCGGCCCGTCATCCGCCCGAGCCTCAGTTCCCCTACATCTCCCAGCCTCTGGTTCATATGCTTTGCACAGCCCTGCCCATGGCTCTCCCCCAACATGTATTGTCCTGGGGACAAGACCTGCTGGAATTTTCATCTCGTTTTGCCCTAAGGGTAGGTCACTGGGGTCTGGCACTCCTTCCCAGCTTGTTCTTTTAGAGTAACTGATGCTGCTTCTCCAGTCTGAACTAAGGATGTGCTGTTCCTAATTACTTTTTCGGAGAAAAGAAAGGCCATAGAGCAGAGAACAAGAGAGAAAGAAAAAGAGAGCTAAAGCATCTTCAGAAAGGACCCTAAGCAAAAAACCCAACCTCGCCAGCTTAAAAACAAGTGAATCCCAATGCATAACGACCGCACCACCCCACCCGACCCAGCAGCTAGTAAGGCGAGTGAGGCTGTAGCTGCCCTCTTTATACTCCTTTCTTTGCTCCACCCTCCCAGTTAGCTGGAACTACAACCATCTGGGCCCGCAGCCCATTACCTGCCCTTGCCCCTTTAGCATCCTGTTGGTTTTCCAGGCTGAGGGGGGCAGTGGCTGTGCACCTTGCTGAGCAGGCTGGAGGGGAGAGGCTTGCCAGGAGTTCGGAGGCTCCGCAGCTTATCAGAACAAGAAAACATGGAAGGTGCTTGCTGACCATTAGGGGAAGTCCCAAGGGAAGGGTCATCCTTGGAGAGGCTGCTGATTCAGGAACGGTGACCAACTTGTCCCCATTGGTCCTGGACTTCTCTGGGGCAGCGGACTCAGCACAGGCCTCACACAATCATTCGGGCTGGGACAGGCAGCTGTCAGGCATTCTGCAGCAATGAAGTGTTCTGGAGTTTTCCTAAACTACTTAGTGTTATGAGCGACCTTACATATATCCCAACTTTGCCTGTTTAAAGATAGTAAGCATTTCCTATTACTCTCCATTCAAATTGTTTCAATTTCTGGTAGAAACACTAAGAGTTTTATGAGATTTGTTAAATGTGTACCTCTGAGCAATTGTTATGAATAAACCCATCAATTGTGTTCATAGAGATTATTTTTTTGAAGATTATCCCCGTTTTGAGGAGTTAAATGTCAGATTTTCAGTGTTAGGTTTCTGTCTGCATAAAAGAAAGATGATTCTACAAATGGCTAGAGTTAAGAATTTGGAATTTAACTGCAATATTTGTGGGCTTCTTTATTTAATTTTATTTGTTCTCAGGACTGGGAAATCCAGAGTTCAGTGAATTAAGTTTTTGTTTCAGTTGCCAACTTGGATGTTAAAGCATCTTGAAATGTCTTCCATTTGCAAAGGAAGTTTCACTTTGATGTATGTGATTTTAACTAACAAACTTCAAACTTAATATGTAAGGACATTTGTTACCTTTCTTTGTATAATAAATAAAAATGTTTCAGTATAAACCGTGTAACATGTTTATATACCTTCATACCCTAGGGGCCTTTTGTTAACATCAGCAGCAACTTAATGAGATTCTCAAGAGGAGAGTGCTAAGCACTTTAAATACCTTCATCTGTTTCTAAGGGACACTGGAAGTAATTTAATTTCTCTTTGGCACAATGTGCAGTGGCCAAGCCTGGCGGCTGGCTTGAGAGATTGTCTGATGCCACTACCCTTGAGTGAACAAGGTCTAAGAACCCAGCCGCCTGGCAGCCCCCAACTTCCTGGATGTACACTGTCTCCAGTGCAGTCAGCCCTGCATTCTCCCTTCCCAGCCCTCAGGCCTTCATGGAGAACTCAGATCCCCTGAGGAGATGAACGTTTGGCCAGTTCTGCCCAGAGGACATCTTTCTAATTGTCTCAGTGAAATATTCACCCTGTTTTTGGAGTGCCTGAGACCAGAGTGTAGGAGCTTTTCTGATTTATAAAAATAACATATAGGACTGTTTGGGACTTGATTACTCATGAAATATATATTTTTTAAATTATTTTTTTAGACAGAGTCTTGCTCTGTCACCCAGGCTGGAGTGCAGTGGCGCGATCTTGGCTCACTGCAAGCTCCACCTCCCGGGTTCACACCATTCTCTTGCCTCAGCCTCCCGAGTAGCTGGGACTGCAGGCACCCGCGACCACGCCCAGCTATTTTTTTGGTTGTTTTTTTTTTTTTGTATTTTTAGTAGAGATGGGGTTTCACCGTGTTAGCCAGGATGGTCTCAATCTCCTGACCTAGTGATCCGCCCACCTCTGCCTCCCAAAGTGCTGGGATTACAGGTGCGAGCCACCGTGCCCGGCCTACTCGTGAATTCTTGTACATTTCTCAGAATGGGCTCTAATAGTTTGTGGCAATCATTTCACAATGTATGCATATATCAAAATTCACATTGTATGAGGTAAATATATTCAATTTTTATTTGTCAATTATACCCCAGTAAAACTGGGAGAAAAATGGGCTGTTAATCTTAGCTGGAATATACTGTCTGCTAGTAGGGGCATAGGACCGGGGACATTCCTTCCTGACCATTGCTTGACCACAAATTTTTAAAAACAAAAATATTCACAACACACACAGACACCCCAATTGCTGAATGGTCCAAACTGCCTTAAGTCATTTTGTAATAGCATTTTTTAAAGCCCTAATATCTCCCCCCTGCCCTTGGATAACTTCAGTTTATCCATTTACAAAGGAGATCTATTTTGCAAATGGTTCTTCATGCTTGTATGCAGGTGGCTTGACGCCAGGCTTCACAGAATGAATGAATGGCAGGCCCTGCAGTCTCAGATAAGGGCATCTCCTTGTCTTTAAATATTTATTCCACACATTTTTGAGCACCTCTCATGTATGGAGAATGATATCACCACTGTGAATAGCAGTGAATATAATAAACACAAATCTCTGTGTTCATAGAACTTAAATTTTAGTGGAGAGAAGTAGACAATAAGCAAATGATATGTTTTCTCGCTTGACAGATGGAGACAGAGCTGCAGAGAGAATGCAGAGCAGAACGATGAGTGTGGGACTATGCATGGGGTGCCATTTAAAACAGGGCGAAAGAGCAGGGGCTGAAAAGCAAAGGTTGATGGGGGGGAAAGGACTGCCCCCTGTATCTGTTTAGGAGAGAATCATGTAATCAGGGGAACCAATCTGTGCAAAGGCCCTTGGGCTGGATTGTGCCTGGTTTGTTCCGGAAAACAGCTATGGAGCCAGCATTTCTTGACAGTGGTGAAGGAAGAATAGGGGCATTTAGGGAAGAGGCAAGAGAGGTGACTCCAAAGCCGGGTCATGTGAACCTTGAACGCTATTGTCAGGACTTTGAGTTTTCTTTTAAGGGGCTTGGAAAACCTTACAAAATTTTGAGCAGCACAGTCTGGCCTATTTTTCCAGGATATACTACAACGGTGGTTTGCAATGTGTGTGTTCCCCAAATCATCTAATCACAGAAACTTGTTAAGAGGGCAGGGCACATTCAGAGACCCCATCCAGGCCTAATGAATCAGAAATAACAGCATCTGTTCCAACAAGCCCTGCAGGGAGAAGATAAGTTACAGGACACTCTGTTATATTTGAATTTCAGATAAACCATGAATAATTTTTTAGAGTAAGTAGGTCCCATGCAATAGCGAATGCTTAGACTAAAAACAATTGTTTATCTGAAATCCAAATGTATCAGGCATCCTGAGTTTCTATTTGCTAACCCTGGCAGCCCCACCTCCAGGTGATTCTGATGCATGCTGAACTTTGAGAACAGCTATTCTAGGAGTTGCTGTGGTCTAACATTAGATGCCCTTCACGTGGCCAGGGTCACCACCGCTGGCCTTCTGTGAGCACTGAGTGCTAATGGCTCCCAGCTGCCTCCTTCTCTGGGAAAAATCACTCGCAGTTGACCAGAACCACCAGTGGTCCACAGCCAATGACTGATGGGGGTTACAAATGCCTGGACCTCTTGCTTCAAGGGGTCACAACTGCCATATGGTTCATGCTTCAGAGTCCTCCCCCAGGGATCAAGCCAAAGCTAGACTTTGCTTGAGACTTCATCCTTGCTCTGCTCCTTCACCTTTTCCTTTTTCTTTTCTTTTTTTTTGAGAGATGGAGTCTCACTTTGTCACCCAGGCTGGAGTGCAGTGGCGTGATCTTGGCTCACTGCAACCTCCGCCTCCCTGGTTCAAGCGATTCTCCTGCCTCAGCCTCCCAAGTAGCTGGGATTACAGGTGCATGCCACCACGCCCAGCTAATTTTTGTATTTTTAGTAGAGATGGGGTTTCACCATGTTGGCCAGGCTGGTCTCGAACTCCTGACCTCAGGTGATCCACCCACCTCAGCCTCCCGAAGTGCTGGGATTACAGGCATGAGCCACTGCACCTGGCCTCCTTCTCCTTTTCCATCCTGCTTCTTCCCTGAATCTCTTACAGATTACTCTCCCCCGAGAGCTCCCTCAGATATCACACGCACCCAGAATCTCCTTCTTGGGCTCCACTTGTAGGGAACCTGACTGAAGGCAAGGGGTTACTTGGTGTTTTCAGGATAGATTCTTGGCGGCCAGCATAGAAGCAGGGAAATAATTTCGGTGTTTTTTTTGTTGTTTTTTTGAACAAACCTGGTGGTTTGGACAGGGTGGGAACAGTGGAGACGCTGGATTTTGGATGAGTTTGATGGTACAGAAGAGCTGTGCGAAAAGGGAGTTGGGGATAACTCCAGGGTTGCTTCATTTACTAAGATGGATAAGACTAGGAGAGGAGATGATTCTATGGGGAAGGATCCAGACTTTGGCTTTGGACATGGTAAGTCTCAAATGCCTTTTGCCATCCAAGCAGAGGAGTTAGGTGGATGCAGCCTGCTGAAGCTCTGGATAAATTTGAGAGCTGTCAATGTGCAGATGGTAGCTAAGGCCATGTTAGGGGCCAAGGTCACCCATGCACAAAGTTGTTGGGGATTGCAGAGAGGGAGTGCTCCCCGGGTGTGCTCATGAGGATCAAGGAGCTAAGGAGACACTGAAAGAAGTAGAGGGGGATCTGAGAGGGAGCGGGAGGAAACCAGGAAAGCGTGTGACTCTGCTGCAGTGCAGGTGAAGGAACCTCTGCCGTGATGAGAGGAAAATATCTTCATATGGAGACAGCACTTGTTGAAGTCTGAAAATTCATTTTACAACCAAGATGCTGCCTCCATGAACACATACACATGCACTCACATGCATAGACTCGCATGCATAAGCATACACATAAAACATACATGAACTCATCCACACATCAACTCTCATATAGACTTACACAAACTCACACAAATATAAACTCACACGCATATACTCACATACACAGAAACACACGTGTAAACTCATACACAGAAACAAACCCACAAACATACATAAACTCACACATACACACAGATACAAACACACAAACACATACTCACACATAAATGCAAACACACAAACTCACACCCACAAACACCACATGCACACACATAAACACATATACACTCACATATACTCAAACACACATTTAAACATATACACACAAACTCACACGTCACACACATAAACTCACACATACATAAACTCATATATAGACTCACAATCTCCCCACAGAAACCCACATACGTAAGCCCACACATATACAAACTCACACACACACAATAAACTCACACAAAAACACACAGACATGAAAATACACATACACATACACGTAAATTCAGACATTAAACCCACACACATTCACACATACTCATATGTGTACACACACACAGATGCCCACACATTGACCACCACACCCACAACCAAGACCATCTCCTTGGGTGGCAGTGGGAGAACAGAATGAATGGGGGAAGACGGATGAAAGGAGAGGAGAAAGGGAAGATTCCTCATGTGAAACCCTCAGACTGGATGTGCTATGCAGCTGTAAGAGCATGAACTTGTATGTTTTTAAGCCACTAAATTTGGAGCAATTTGCTTTAGTGGCAATAGGTAGCCAATGGAGGGGTAATAAGACCTCACAGAGTGTAAGTCCATCTGAGGGCACAGCTTCCAAGACAGGGATACTAACTTGGCCTCCTGGCTTGTTCCCCAGGGGCTTTGTCAGGGGGAAGGTTCTGTGCACCCTCTTTTCATCTCAGAGGCTGCTTCTCCCAGCCCTGAGGATGGTGAGCTGTCCTTGCCTGGCCCAGGAGCCATCCTGGATTCCCCAGTTTCATGGGGTCCTGTTTCCTTCTGCAGGGGCTGGGATTGCCGCTTTGCCCTGTTGCCTCAATGGGCTGATCTAAATCTCCAAGTGGATACCTTTTGGTGGTGCTTGGCTATTCCCTGTGCTCATGACAAGTTATTTCAGTTTTGGGTATTGCAGAGGTGAATTGTTTCACCTTAGATGGACTCTTCCTTAGAAAAACAGCCAGAATACTAATTATCACAATTTCTGAGAAGGGTAGTCTGCAAAATAACCCAGGAGGACGTTGCCTTCATGAACACATCATTTCCTCACATGTCCTGTATTTCCACAACACAAAGAGGAATGTTGTCAGGGGCAGACCTGATTTCTTACCATTATGTGACAATGTGATAAGCCTTGATTTGGAGTCCAGCATAATAGAAAGGAAACGAAGGGAATGAAGACTTGGGAACCAAGAGGATCAAGGTTAGAATTGTGCATCCTCAAGACTTTCTAGTTTGGGGCTGAGTGTAGTGAATGTGTCCAAGCCACTTTTCTCATCCATAAATTAGGAGTAATACTAAATCCCAAATGCTCTTTCCCCATCCCACCATGACAATGATGGGGAGTGGGACTCTCAGCTCTCGCCTCAAGGGAGAACCTACCACAAAGGGTCTATTAGCAGCCATCCCTAGCCTCTGCACCTCTGGGATCAGCCGAGATTTTCATGGCAATGCCCTGTTCCTCACAGCTGCTCCCAGCTGATGACTGAGTGCAATGGGAACATGAGAGCCAGAACATTTTTGCCCAATGTAGATACCTCTACTGAGTGTCTTTGCTCTGAGCCACCCCGCTGGCCTGAGTGAGACTTTTCCAGAGCGGCACTGTGGTCTCTTTCCCTCTGATCTCTTTTCCTTCCTCCTCTCCTTTCATGGTTGTCAAACCTGAAAGCCCTCCATACCTACTCACAGACATTTCCACCAATAAATCTCTTGCATGCTTAAATTCCTTCTAGTGTCTGCTTCTGACAAGACCTCAACAGTCACACCTACATATGGAAAAGTGCAAATTTCCTTGGTGTACAAACCAATAAATTTTCTCAATTTTAAAAGAATGTTCTTTATATTTTATTGATACATATTAGGTGTACATATTTTTGGGGCACATGTGATAATTTGATACATTCATATAATCAAATCAAGGGGGTTGGGATATTCATCACCTTACATATTTATCTTTATGCTAGGAACACTCTAATTATCCTCTAGCTATTTTGAAATGTACAATGAGTTAGTGTTAACTATTGTCTCCTACTGATCTATCGAACACCAGTCTTATTTTTTCTACCTTCAGACAAAGTGTATATTCATACCCATTAATTTAAACTCTCTTCATTACCCCTCTCCTCCCTACCCTCCTGGCCTCTGGAACCACCAGTCTACTCTCTGTCTTCATGAGGTCCATTTTTTTTAAGCTCCCATTTGAACGCACCCACATTGGCATCTCACAGATCCAGAGAAAATGTCACTAGTGTCAGAAAAGTCCTTTGGTTTACCTTCCAGTCTATGCCCTCCCCTAAGGCTCACCTCATCCTGACTTTTATTATAACAGCATATTTTTGATATTGAAATCTGAGAAAAAGTATAATAAAAGAAAATTAGAGATCACTGTATCTCATGAAAATAGATGCAAACATCCTTAACAGTTAGCAAATTGGATCCAGCAAGATAGCCACAGATGTCCAAAGATGCACCTGGAACTTCAGTGTCTCTTGAAACAGCTCTTCCATTGCAGATAAAACTTGAAAATCTTATCATGAACTTCACCAATAATTATTTCTTTCCATGTCCAACTTTCCACTCATCCGGAAATTTGGCCAATAGATATCCATGATTGTTGCAATAGCTTCTTGATATATAAACTTGGATAGGCTGAACAATAGTCATTGGTTACCCAATAAAACACTAGTCTAGATGCTGCCATGAATAAATTTGGCAGATGTAGTTAAACTTCATAATCAGTTTGAATTAGATTATCCTGAGTGAGCCTGACTTAATCAGTTGAGGGGCCTTAAAAGAGGGCTTACACTTTTACTGGGGAGGGAGACCTCTGCCAGTGGACAACATGCTTGCTGGGCTCCAACTGCTTGTGAGCCACCCTTCTTGATGGCCTCCCCTGCCCTGCAGACTTCAGACTTGATTGGTCAGTCCTCACTCCTAGCTGTGTAATCCAAACCCTTATAATAAATCCATTGTAGTCTCTTTCTCTCCACAGACACATAGCGGGCTTGTTCTATTTCTCTGATTGAACCTTGATTGATACAATTACTCTGTTGCCAAGGCAATTATTCTACCTGCAATCTTCCAAAAGTCTTTAGATACTTTCATTTTAGATAATATTAAACCTTGAGTTGCTAGTTTAACAATGTGGGGTTGTGGAGTGGCCAGCAATTCTGCATGTCCTGTGTTCCCAGCTCACCAAATTTGCCAACTGAGTGTACGATCATGGGAAGTCACTTAAATTCTCTGGGTCTGTCTTTCCTCATGGGCAGACATTCCCTTGGGCTCCACTGAGTCTGGCTGGAGCCTGCAAGTGGACAGAGGTGCAAAGAGAGATGCAGTTTTCCAATTTCACTTGCTTAGTTCAAGGTTGCTCTTTTATCAATGACCTCTTTCATTCATCATGTCATTTTAGATGTTTGGTTTTTAGCCCAAGTGAAGAAAAAAATGTATTCTTGAAAAGGTGAGTATTATAGGGACTGGTATGAGGGTGGTGACTGCATGTCAATGGATGGTGATGAATAGTACATTCAATACAATCGATGACAAAGTTATGGATCTTATTATTTCATACCTTGCATTCACTTCACTTTCTCAGAGTCTCCAGAATATGAATAATGACCCTTTTATGGGTTTAAGGGTCTAACCTTTACTTGGCAAATGAGATTGCATACAGAATATTAGGGATAATTTAAGAGATAAAATAGAGACATTTTTGACTAGAGTTGGTGACCCAGGAAGGTGACTAGCTTGTCACCTTTATCAACCATTCCACATTCTCAGACCAGCTCGACTATGTAGGTTTCCAGGAACTTTTTCCACCTGGGATTTGGCTCAAACTGTTTCTTCAGGCAGTGCATTCTTTCCTTCCAACCCACTGATTGTGACTTTGGGTAAGTAACTTAAAATCTCTCAGCCTCACATTCCTTCTCTGTAAGAGACAGGGCTAGGATAGATGATTCCTATGATACTTCATTCAAGTTGGGGAATTCTCTGAGCATGAAATTTGAGTATGGAATTTCAGTATCACCTTTCTTTGAAAAATAGAAAACAGAGTAATGAGAAAATGGCTTTGGCTCATTATTTGAAAAATGAGGGAGTGGAAAGATTGATGTGTTTTTTCAGAAGAAAAATAAGCTTGGATATAGGGTCTATAAAGTATACCCTTTATGAAATTATAAATTTTTCAAGAGGAAGAAGTTACATACTTTCAAGGTTGCTGCTTGACCCGGCGCTTCTAAGTTATTTTCAGCCCATTCCAGAATAATAAAAGCAATGAGACAGAGTGGCCAGCAATTCTGCATGTCCTGTGTTCTTGCTTATGTTCTACTCTCCCCTCCTCCAAGCTCTTGCTGTGATGGTCATCTTGTTCTTTCTCTCTGCCATCTGGGTCAGCCTGCTCTTTCCTGCATAGGACTCTACATCCCCACAGTTATACCCTTTGTCCTGTTGGCTCACATTCTTTTTGTTCAGGCCAAGAGAATGCTGTCTTTTTCCAGAATCCCCAGAAGGAATGGCATAGGGAGTGAGTAAAGTGCCAGCTGAGGCTGCAAAGACGTATAAATAAATTTAGCTTCAACCAATATTTATCACATGCCTACTGGTGCCAGTCCTTTGCTGGAGTTTTAAATACACTGTCTTATGACATCTCTGTGGCACAGTGGAGTGAATGGTCGAATGGTCACTCACTCTCTGCCAAAAAACAAAAAAAGTCCACACTCTAATCCCCAGAACTTGTGAATGTTATCTTGTTTGGAAAAGGGTATTTGCAGATATAGTTAAGAATCTTAGGATGAGATCATCCTGGATTATCTGAGTGGGCCCTAAATCCAATCTTTTTAGAGTGAGGCCAAGGGAGATTTGATAGAGGAGGAAGAGGCAATGTGACCAACACGGTAGAGATGGAAGTGATGCAGCCAAAGGCCCAGGAATGCTTGGAGCTGCCAGAAACTGGAAGAGACAAGGAACAGATTCTCCCTTCGAGCTGCCATAACATAGTGCTGCCAACACCTTGGTTTCTGATTTTGGCTCTAGAACTGTAAGGTAAGCATTTATACAGGTATCAGACGGGGGAGAACCCAGAAGGACTTTTGATGTTCTTGGGATCAGTGCTCTCTTAATATTTATTTGAAATGGGATCTCTTTTTGTCAAGTCCCACTTCTTCCTTGCTAATGGAAACCTGTTTCTGAGGATCTCTGTCTTCTGTGCAGCAATGTGCCTCAGGGAAAGCTGACCCCATCCAGCATCAGGACACGCATTCACTTCTCATGAATAAACACATGGTCTCGCCCTGGTTGTGTGTTATCAGTTAAAGTCTGATGAACCTTTTAGAACACATTCTTTAATCCTAATAGAGAAGCAGGAGGTGACACTCTTTTCTTCCACAAGATACCAGTGGATCATATGTGAAGTTTGTAAGGTTGCAAGCAATCTTCCTCCGGCCTGACAGTGAAATAAGCACTTAGGATGGCAAAATGGAAAAAGAAAAGAAAAACAACAAACAAACAAAAACCCCAAACTTGGACATTGTGGTTATCCTTAAGAAACTGAAACCTACGTTACCTCTGTACTTACCATTATGTGAGTTGATTAAGTTTCTTTTTTTTAATGCCATCTTGACCAGCAGCCAGAATCTTTCTGGGGGTTTAAGATTCCTCATTGGTCTCTTGTCTCCCGTTCTGCTGCAGCCGCAATGAAAACCATGCAACTGAAACCGTGGATTGAATACAACTCTTCTTTCAGAGATGCAACAAGATGGAAAATAACTTATTCTCTAGATTCAGAAAACTGTGTAAAAGTCACCTAACTACATTTTTGGAAAAATTTTAAAGAAAGTGTATTGCATTTCACTTTGAGGAAGGATCAGTCTCTGTATCTAATGATAGGAAATTTTAATTTGAGACTGTTTATGTACCAGGCATCATACAGAAACCTTTAATCCTCACAAAAGTCCCTCACAAAAGTCCAACAGGACATTACCCATTTTATATATGAGAAGATTTAGGTTCAGAAAGTAAGTATCTTTTATAAGTTCACATGGCTAATAACTTGTGAGGGGTCAGATTCAAACCCAGGTTTTTCAGATTCCAAAGACTGTTCATTAGCTGAATTAAATAAGGCCTGTGTTCTTTCACATCAAACATTTTCAATTTATCAAATGTTTATATTGTTTTGAGTAGCACTTTAAGGAAAAACATTTCAAAAGAATGGAAAGATTTTGATCATATTCAATATTCTGCTGAAGTAAATCCATGAAGACTAATTTAATATCTGGTTCAGGTTGTTCTCTTAAAATAGTGGCCAATAAATTTTGGAAAAAGGATATCTAACAAGGAGCAGGGTGACATCTGGGACATGGCAGATCTGGTTCTGGCTGAGCCACTTACTAGAGGATTACTTTGAGAAATTCAGGCTTTGTGAATCTTAGTTTTCTCACCTGTATAATGGGGAACTACCCACAGGACTTCTCAGAATTATTCTTAGCATCACATGTGACAATACCTGAAAAACTCCCTTGTGAATGATACTAGGAGCTACCATGTTAGGAGCTGTGAGTCCTTTATCAGTCTGGGGCCAGAGAGAGAACCCACACCAGTTATCTGAACAGAAAGAATTTAATATAAAGAATTGTGAACTAGGTAAAAGTCAACAAGGCAATCAAAAGGACAGAAAGGCCACTGAAGGACATCACAGAGGTGGGAACTGCAGGGCTCAGGGACAGAAGGGAAATGGTTAGAGGAACAGATGTTGGAATTTAGACATTGAAAGTGGGGTCAGGGAGCCATGTGACTGCCTGTTGGGGACTGCCTGATCAGTTGATGCTGATGTGTCTGATGGGTCCTGAAAAAGCTGGTTCTGTGAGTGATGGTGAAAATGCAAACTGGATTCAGTGGCTCTTACGGGAAGAAAAGAGCCACTGCTATCATGGAGAAGACTTGCAGGTGATGATGAGAGAAACAGGAAATAGACAGGAAGTGCGTGGAGAGGGAACAGGAAGGAGCAAGTCCCTTCTTCCTCCTTCTCTCAGCCCTGCTCTAGTGCCCCCTACTGGCCGAGCTTAACATGGAGCTGACAAAGATTATTTGCTTCCCAAACTTTCCTCCAGCTTCTGAATATTCAGTTGGGCCCATCTGTGCCCTTCCTTATAAAATCCCATTTTAGCAAAGAACCTTGCTTAGTTTAGCAAGAACCCCCATCCTTGATGTCTGCTCTTCCTTAATATCTGATCAGTTTGCTCATTCTCCACCATCCCTCAAGGGAAGTCTAATCACCCTGTCCCATCTTCAGCAGGAATCCTATTAGGTTGGTTTAGGTTTAGCCAGAATCTTCCTTATCTGTGATATTTCCTCTCAGTAATTTTTTCTCTGCTACCCCCCACCCTGCTCCTTGGCTATAAATTCTTAATGTGCCCATGCTGTATTCATAGTTGAGCCTAATCTCCCTTCCACATTGCCAGACCTTGTTGCAGTGCTCTTAGGATGGGCTTGAATAGTCTTCCTTACCGTGCTTTATATCAGCGTCATTGAATCATTTTTCTTTAACAGAACCAGCTGCTTTGTGGTCCTAGCCTTAGTATCACAGAACAGAGTAGAGAAGGGTGGGTGCAGAACAAATACACAATAATTTAATAGTTGATAGATGGTCATCAACTATTAAATGCACAATAATTTAACAGTTAATAGATGGATCTTTCCTGTAAGATCCTTGAAAAGTAGCTTCTGTCATTTTCATTTTGTGTCATAGAAAATAGTAGCTGAGAGACAATAAACCTTCCCAGATTTCAGCCATAGTGTTCCAGAACCAGGATCATAATCCAGTTCTGTTTTACTCTGAAAAATTCTCTGAGGGTTAACTTCTGACTCAGTTGACATCATATATGCAACTACAATATTCAATAAATACTTATCACTCTCCTAGATGCCAGGCACTTTTATATGGAATGAGGATGTGGTAGTGAATAAAACACAATTCATCTCGTCCTGGAATGTATAGCCTCGATTAAGCATTACAAACACATGCACATAGGCACACTGTTTAGTTATTAGTCTCACAATTTTAATGAACTTAAGATAATTTTGAATGTATGTGTAACAAGTAAATGTTGCAATATTTTACAATTGAGAGGAACTAGGAGGAGAATCTTAGAAGTAAATATTATATTAGTGGACTGTGAATTTTCAATAAACTTCTATTCTTTACTCCATTCCTTTACTCTTTTTTTTTTCTAATTTGCAAACACTGAACTCATTTATATTTACTCATTCTTGTTTTTTTTTCTCTGTGATTTTGAAGTGCACATTTTTTTTTCTGTTCTGTTTTACGTCTTTTTTACATTGGTTTCTAATTTAATTACTATATGGCAAAAGATTGGGAAAAACCTTCCAATCACTGAAACATTTCTATGAGATTTGTGAGAGGAAGAATGTGTGTATGTGTGTTGCTTTGTTCAGTTGTATTACTTCTGTTCTAATCTTTTACGTTAAAATAAACATAATTGTAGATTTGTCCATTTTTTCTTTAATTTGTATCAATTGCCTATAATTCGAGGCCATGTTTTGTGCACATAGGTGTAAACAAGGTCCTGAGTGTGATAATTTATTCTTTTGTTGGTTGATCCTTTTATTCTTTTAGTATTTTCTCCTTTGATTCTTTTTTTATTTTTTGATCTGCTACTAAATATTACTAAAATAACTTTCTTGGTTACAAGACTGGAAGGTTTTTTTTTTGTATTAATTGTCAAACTAGATTTCTTGAATTTGTAACCCTTAAATAGTGCCACCGTGTGCTGAGCACTGTTCTGAGTGTGATTACAAACACACATTCATATAATTATCACAACCCCTTAATAAGGTGGCTGTCTTTATGTTACAGGTCAGAAAATGGACGCAAACTCCACCCAAGACCACAGAAACCATAAATAACAGAGCTGGGTTAAGTATCCATGTGGTCTGGCTTCAGAGTTAGGCATTCAACCACTAATTTTCATTGCACATAAATTATGGCTTGGTTATGATTAGAATTTTGGGTTGACAGTTATTTCCCTTTGGCACTTAGAAGATATTATTCCATTTCCATCTGCAACTGTTTTCTTGCTGATGAGAAATCTGCTCTTAAACAGATTTCTTTGTAGGTAATCTATTCTCTCTGGAAGGCTTCTAGGATTTTCTCATTTTTCTTTACATTTTAAAGCTTTTAGACATCCATGCCTATTGCCTAGAACTCAGAATATCCTCTTCTAATGTGAAAGCCCACATCTTTTTTAAAGTTCTTCACTTCTGGAACATTCTTTGTTATTATCCCCCTTGTCAACATCCATTTATTTTCTTCTGGCATTTTTATTACATGGATGCTGGAGGTTCCCAATGTAGCCTCAGTACTTCTTGCCAGGTATTTCATTTCATTTTTTGTTTATTTATCACTCTATATTACATTCTAGGCAGTTTCATCAGTGCTGTCTTCCTATGCACCATCTCTTCTGCTGGATCTAGTAAAGGTTTTAATGTGATTTTAAAAATTTTTATTAAGATATAATTCGCATACTATAAACTTTATTCCCATAAAGGAAACATTTCCATATCTTTGAGTATATTCATAGAGTTGCAAAACTGTATTAGTCGGTTCTCGCACTGCTAATAAAGGCATAACTGACACTGGGTAATTTATAAAGGAAAGAGGTTTAATTGACTCACAGTTCAGCATGCCTGGGGAAGCCTCAGGAAACTTACAATGATGGTGGAAGGGGAAGCAGGCATGTCTTACATGGCAGCAGAGAGATAAATGCAAAGGAGGAACTTCCAAACACTTATAAAACCATCAGATCTCATGAGAACTCACTAGTATGAGAACAGCATGAGGGTAACTGCCCCCATGATTAAATTACATACTATTGGGTCCCTCCCATGACACATGGTGATTATGAGAACTTCAATTTCAAGTGAGATTTGGGTAGGGGCACAGCCAAACTATATCCATAACTATCACTACAACTTAATTTTCAAACATTTTCATCACCCTCAAAAAACCCAAAAAACCCCATACCCATTAGCAGTTACTCCCTGCTCCTCCCGTCTCCTCAGCCCTGGACAACCACTCATCTACCTTCTATCTATGTAGCTTGCCTATTCTGGACATTTGACATAAATGGACTCAGAAAATATGTGGATTTTTGTTTCTGGCTTCTTTTACTTAGCATAATGTTTCAAGATGCATTTCTATCATAGCATGAATTAGTATTTTATTCTTTTAATGGTAGAATAATGTTCTATTGTACAGATATATATTGTTTATTCATTCATCAGTGGATAGACATTTGGGTTGCTTTCAGTTTTTTTGTTATTATGCATAATGCTGCAATGAACTGTGAACATTCATGTGTAAATGTTTGTATGGATATATGTTTTCATTTATCATGGGTATGTACCTAGGAGTGGAATTGCTGGATCATATGGTAATGCTATGTTTAACTTTCTGAGGAACTGCCAATATGTTCTCCAAAGTGGCTGCACTATGTTATATTCCCACCAGCTATGTATGAGGGTTCCAGTTTCTCCACATCTTTTCCAACACTTATTATTATCTATCTTTTTGATTAAAGCTGTCTTAGTAGATGTGATGTGGTATCTCATAGTTTTCATTTGCATTTCTGCAATGTCTAATTATATTGAGCATCATTTCACATGGTTATTGGCCATTTGTATATATTCTTTGGAAAAATGTCTATTCAAATCCTTTGTTCATTTCAAATACTTTTTTCTCCTTATATAGTTGTAAAGATTATTTTTATATACTCTAGATAAAAGTCTCTCATCTGATAAATGACTGGCAAATGTTATCTCCCATTCCACGGGTTGTATTTTCACTTTCTTGATGGTGTTATTTCAGCACAAAAGTTTTTAATTTTTTTAAAGTCCAGTTTGTTTATTTTTTTCTCTTGATGCTTTTCTTTTGTGTCGTACCTAAGAAACCATTGTCTAATCCAAGGTCATGAAGATTTATGTCAAGCTTTTCTTCTAAGAGTTTTATAGTTTGATTTTCTATTTAGATGTCTGAAAAACTTTGAATTAGTTTTGGAGTGTGTGTGCAGTACAAAGGAGGGATCCACCTTCATTATTTTGTATTTGAATATCCAGTTGTTCTATTTGTTGAAAATACTATTTTTTTCTCATTGTATTGTTCTGCCACCCTTGTTGAAAATCAATTGCTATAAGTGTAAGAGTTTATTTCTTTACTTTCAATTTTATTTCATTAATTGATACCACACTGTCTTGATTACTCTTCCTTTGTAGTAGTTTTAAAACTGAGAAGTGTGAACCCTCCAACTTTGTTAGTTTTCAACGTTGTTTTGGCTATTCTGGGCCTTGTCAATGTTAACAGATTTTAGAGTCATCTTGTCAATTTATGGAAAAAAAGCCAGCTGACTTTTAAAAAGGATTAGATAGAATCTGTGGATCAAGTTGGGGATTATTGTCATTTAACAATACTAAGTCTGCTGATCCATGAACATGGGTTTCTTTACATTTATTTAGATCTTCTTTAATTTTTATCCATAATAGCTTATGCTTTTCAGTGTATAAGCATTGTATTTCTTTTACTAAATTTGTTGCTTTATTCTTTTGATGCTTTTGTAAATGGAATCATTTTCTAATTTCATTTTTGGTTTGTTAATCGCTACTGTATAGAATCGCAACTGATTTTGTATGTTGATCTTGTATTTGTGCAATTGCTGAAACTGTTTATTAGCTAAAGTAGTTTTTTAGTAGATTTCTTTATATTTCATATATGCAGGATCATGTCATCTGCAAATAGAAATAGTTTCACTTCTTTCTTTCTATGACTTTTATTTGTTTTTCCTGCCTAACAACCCCGGCTAGAACCTCCACCAAAACGTTGTATAGAAGTGGCAAAGACAGACACCAAAAGCTGCTCCAGGCAGGGAATGTGCTTCCTGCCTTCCTAGGGAACTTGGGAAACTCAACTTTTTTTTCTTCTCTGTGTTTCCTAGGAACAGAGTGCATCTGTCACAATACTTAATCCAAGAGAGCAAGATATTTGTCCTTTGTTCAAAGATGTATTCTAATTGCACAGAATGGTAAGTGAATGATCAAACAAATAAATGAAACATTGAAATTGGGAAAGATTATTTAATGAAGGCCAGTGACCCCTGCCTCTGGTCACTCGGCCTCTCTTACCCTCAGGGTTTGGCATTCTCTGAGTGGAGGAACATCCTTATACATGCACCAGCTCCATCTGTGTGAGTGGTGTTTCTCTGATCCATAGCAGATCTTCTATTACTCCACCCTGGGCTCACGTGGACTAAAGGCTACAAAATGCTGGGTGTCCGTACGCCTTAGACACTGAGGAGCCATGGAGAGTTTATATATGCAGAGGAGAAGTGATCATCTTGGCAGTCTTAATGAAGGACAGAAATTCTCAGACTCACAGCCACAGCCTCCACTGGGAACTTGCTAGAGATGCATATTCCTGGGTCCCACCCCAGCCTACTGAATCAGAAGCTCTGGGGTGAGGGCCAGAGATCTGTGTCTTAAAGAGCCCTCTTGGTACCTCTCATGCTTACACAAGTTTGAGTACTACTGGAAACATGAAGAGAGTACTGGGTAAGGCCAGTGAACTATTAGAGGTTGGGCTTTATTTAAATCAGGGGAGGTGAAAAACAGAAGAAAGAAATGTAGGAAATACAGAAGACAGGTTTAGGGGACTGTGGTTGTGGGTGGGAAAGAGGGAGAGATGAAGGGAGGACGGTTCTGGTTTTGGCGATGCCATGCACAATGGGGAATAAATAAAGGAGGAGGAACAGCCTCAGGGCAGGAAGAGGATGGGCTCTGTACCTGACTCACCTCTGTATTTTGGAGTCAGAAGGCCTTGTTGCAAATCCCTGACAAGCCACTTGCAAGCTGTATGACTTTGAAGTGAATCACTTTAAGCTCTCTGAGCCTCAGTTACTTTGGCTCCAAGAAGAGACTATTAGTAGAAACATCCTTGTGTTATCTTGAAAAAAAAACAAGGCACAAACAACAAATTGCTGCTTGTGACAGTGGTTTGTCAGGTCTGAGATACTATACACACTCACAACATCTTCAGAGTCAGAAGGAACTGACGTCCATTCCCTGTCTTGCTTCTTGTTATTTGGGAGACTCTGGGTAAACTGGCCAACCACTTCTCATCTTAGTTTTCTTGCATGTTAAATGAGGATCCTGGAATTTACCTCAATGATTGTTGTAAGAATTAAATAAGGTAGCATGTATGAATCATGAAGCACAGACCCTGGCACTAGTAAAGGATTAAATACTAATCCTTTATTTTATTTAGATATCAGTAAATACCACCCACTGTTATTATTACTGAAAACAATATTGAAGACAATTAGCTTCATTTCATGTTTACCATGTAAATTTCTAAAGCCTAAGTTCTCACCGAAGACCCAAGCTTAAGCGACAGTTGGCTGGCACAACATTGGTGGATTTCTTTTGAGTGTCACAGACTGGCACACATGGGAAGAGCTTCAGAGCCCCAGCTGCAGCCTTTGCTAATTATCTAAGTCTTCCCTTTTGAGGTGAGTGTGTTTTTGGATCCTATGAAATGGGAATGGCAGTGCAAATACACAGGTTCTATTTTGAGGGGATCCAAAAGATGACCCTAAAATTAATTATAATTATTTTTGCCAGAAACAGGTGCAAGAGGAATGTTGAATCAAGCAAAATCTTCAGATCTGTGCTGTTGTGGTGGAGTGTGCTTTCTCTGGATCTCTGCCCTCTAGGACTCCTCCGGAAATCATGCCACACCAGTGACATCCATCATTGAAAGACCCCATGTCTTTCCCCTTCACCAACACTGGTTATGTCACTAAAAACCTCCCAGAGAACCAAGCTGGAGCCTCTTGTGCTGTGCTTTTAATGATACTCACTCAGAATTGAGCCTCCAGCCCTGAAATTTTCATTTAAGCACATTGTGAAAATGCTCATTCTAATTGACATCATCAACATAACACTTCATCTATTATTCACAGGCTCCAGCCTGTCTCCTGATTCAGAAGGTGCAGATGACAAGGGCTTCGTGTTGCCCAGTAGGTGAACATTGAGTTCTGTTGATTTTCTCTGCCATGTCTCTTCTCTTGTCTGTTTCCCTCCTGCTGTGGCCCTGATACAGGCTTTTCTTATCTGGACCCTCTCAGCAGCTTCCTCACTGTGTTCGCTGCCTCCAGTTCCTATTCTCCTAATGAAATGCACAAAGAGCTACAGGCATTTGCTTCAAATCGAGTTCTAATTGGGCCACTTCTGTACTGCAATCCCCTGCAGGGATCTATATTCCCTTGGGAGTCAAATTTAAACTGCCTTGAGAGCATTCTGGGCCCCAGCAAACTACTTTTCCAACCCACCTCCCTCTCTGTTCATCAGTCCTCTGCTTCCCCCGTCACGGGCTCATCACCCCACCAACAGCCACCGCCATGGTTAACTCCCTGTCCCTCCCCAAGCTCTTCCCACCACGCAGATTCCCCCTTCTCTTTCCTCTGAGGGAGATTACAATCCTATCAGCCTTTAAGACCTGCCTCAAATGTAACCTCATTCATTAGGACCCTCTCTATCCCCCCTCCGCATCATGGGATTTAAGCGCTATTCTCTGTGTTACTTTGTCCTTTAGGATGCAAGGAAGAAAGCAGACATGCCATGAAATAGTTATTTATATTCACGGAATTTCGGCCACTTGCTGAAGTACCATATTTGCTTCAACCTGATATTATTCATAGCTTTGGTGACATAGAACCTGTTTATCCCGCACAGGTGAGTTTATATGCATAATATCAGCTTTTTGTTCATTATAACATTTGTCCCCATTTAGCCTTTTTAAGGAAGTAGCATTAATATTAGAAGTAGCAGTAAAACAGGCTGGAAATCTTTATTCTATGCAGTTTAAGAACCACCATCTCAGCTGTTCTTATGTTGAGGGGCAGGGTTCTGATGTGGTACAAGGCTCTGGCAGGAAAGTCTGCCCTTGCCTGGTAGACCTGGCCCAGAGTTTGCTCTGAGAACATAGACTGAATTTGTGAATATGAACTAACTGGCTCAGAGTTGCAGGGCCAGGGTCCAGGCTAGCATCAGAGAGGGTGAGACCATCATTTTTAGATGAACCACCCACGCCTGTGCTGCTGGACCAGAACAGTGAGGGCATCAAGGAAGCAGTGTGAACAGAAGAGGGCTTGGCACCGCTGGGGTAACTCCTTAACACCATGTGCAGGAACAGAAGCAGCACAACTAAAAAGGAGGTTCGGGCATGAAGTGGGTGTGTCTCTCTATTTTCTTCCTGCCTTGTATTTAGAAGCAGGACTGACTCCATTGGATCAAGGAAAACTCTGGATAAGAAGCAGCTCTGTGGCTCTCTTGAGCTCGGCCTTGTCATCTGCTGGTCCCCCAAGCTGTTGAAGTGGTCGCACTACTCACCCGCTTCACTTGATTTAACACATGACATAACAAACAATGCCATAAAGCAAGGACTGCTGGACTCCAATTCCTTTCTAAATCCAGCCCTAGACTCTTCCCAAATTCTAGCTCCATCTTCAGGCGATGATGAAGGGTTAAAGGCTGAAAACTCAGGTATAAATTAAACAATAGGCAGCTTTCTTGTCTTAACAAATATAAAATATTCAGAGAAGAGTAGGCCTGACTCTACTTGAAATGCAAGTAATTAAGTAGAGGCCTGAAAATCCGCGATTTGTTCACTGCGGTCAGGGCTGGGGAGGGCTCTTCCTGCTCTTCAGAAGCCGACTCCGGTGTGGCACTTGTCAGGCGAGTCAGCCAACTGCAGACGCACCAGAAGGGCTGCAATCTGTCCGGGTGCTGGAGAGAAAACTTTGGCACTTAAGTCTGACGTTTGCCACTGGCAATGAGGTCTGTATTTGCATGCAAGGGATCCCTTTGCCAACCACCCAATACTTTTCAAAGTCATTTCTCCATCAGTCATCTGAGTGTTATGGCCACTCTCATCGGTGGCTTGGAGTTTCATATGTGCCTTGCACAACCCTCATGGCCCTCTGGAAGCTGACTTTCTGGGTTGGGATCCATGCTCCGCCAATCCTAGATAGGAGGCCTTGAACAGGTGACTTTAGTCTCTCATTGCCACAGCTTCCTCATCTGTAAAATGGAGTTGTTTTGAGGATGAAGTTAGAAATGCAGGTCAAGTGTTTACTATCATGTCTAGTCCATTGTATGTTTTCAGTAACTATCAGTTTTTATCAATAATGCCAGATTGGTTTAAGGTTCAACTGGGGTCAGATTGGTTTAAGGTTCAACTGGGATGATGTATTTGAAAATATTTTGCAAAAAGCTGCATATAATGCACGAGTTATGACGCTAAAGGTCTGGCATAGACACGACAGGTAATGTCCTCGTATTGTAGATGAAGAACCTGTGCACACAGAGGTGAATGAACCTGCCTCATGCCACCTGGTGTCTGAGGAAAGGGTGATCCCTATGCTGTTGCAGATTCTCTTAGCATGCAGTGATGGGGCCTGATGTGATGTGGGGCCTGCCCAAAGGCCTGAATCTCCCATATCAGAGCTTAGGTTTGGTACACCCTCCCCACATCTGTCAGGTCTTACTATTACTTTCTGGTGGTCTTCTCTGTGCATACCCATAAATGTCTATGTCTACTTAGTTACTGTGAGTTGGTATAGACTCTAGCCTTTCACCATTCTTATCAATAAATCAAATTTCACTCAAGAGTTGTGTTGTTGACAACTCTTCTGTGGGCTGAGGAGTTATTGTGAATGATCCTCTAAAGCATCCCATAGGCTTTTTCATCTCTCTGGCTCCCCACCCCTTCACCGAGCTGCCTTTGAGCTGGTTCTCAGTTCATATGGATGATATTCCTGCTCATGCAGACCCCGACCTACATTTACAGCCTCCCACCCCACCTGGGTAGAGGTGGGAGACAGGGTCATGGCTACTGACCTGAGCTTTCACTGCAGACACCTTGGGTTCAAATCCAGTGTCTGCAACTTACTTGCCTTATCTTAGGCAAGATGCTGATGTTCTCTGTAAACCTGTGTCCTATCTGGAAAAAAATGATATAATAATGGAACCCAGGGTTATTTGGAATGTTTATAAAGGTAGAGCTATGTTTTCTGGTTTCTTCTGACTAATACTCCACCTCTGTTTCTTATTGGAAAACACCTGAAATCTTTTCATAATTTGCAGTGATCTTATAATAGGTGAAATTCCATTTCATCTGTAGGACCAATTATGAAAGCAGATATTATTCCCTATTTATAGATAAATGGAAGTAAAATCAGAGGGTTTGTAACTTGTTCTCAATCACATAAATACTACTGGTGCAACCATAACTAGACACAAAGTCCATAATGAAACCATAACTAGACTCTTAACTGTATGTCTAGTGCTCTTTCCACTAGAGGTGTAGAACCAGTTCAGCCAGGAAAAACCCAGTGGGCATATTTCTGTAGCTGATATTGGCCAATTATGAAGACACACACACAGACACACACATACATTTTCACCATTAGTTTCCATAGAGTATAAGAGAATCCAGTTTTGAGACTCTTAGTTTACCCAGGGTAATGTCTCTTATCTCCTGAGCTAATTTAAAAGATATGTGTTTTGTTGTTGGAGTCATGCACAAACTAGGTGCTCAAAAACTTTTATTTCCCATTCTCCTTTCTGTTGGAATGTTATCAACTGACTTTTTTTTTTTTTTTAAAAAACGATAATCTCATGAAAATGGCCCGTATGTGTTGGTTCTATTTATAGGTAGGACTATTCCAAGCCCTTTCCATGAATGCAAGGAATACTTACAGCAACCCTTTGGGTAGGTATGATTGTTATCCTGATTCTGTAGATTTATCTGTTATCCTGGTTTCTGTAGAAAATGAGGCACAGAACTTTTAAATAGCTTGCTCAAGGTGGCCACATGTCTAGTAAGTGATAGAACCAGATTTCCATGCAGTCTGGTCTTCACTGCTTACTAAGCAATGGGTCCAGAAAATTACCATTTATTGAGTGTTGACTTGGTGCCTGGAATTGTGCTAGGTACATTCATATATTAATTTATAACTTTACCACAGCTCAGAAGGATAGTCTATCAGTTAGGATAAAACCAGGACACCATTCTGAGTATTTGAAAGAGGGAACTTAAGGCGGGAAATTGGCTACAGAGGTAACTAGAAAAGCCAATACATCAACAGGGGATGGTGAGCCATCCCAGATTTAATAGCACCAGAAATCCTCTACCTTCATGGCTCTGGAGAGAAAATGAGGAGGCACTGTTTTTGGATCCCTGGGGCTAGCATTCTTTGACAAGAGCGGAAACCACCATGGACCCATCTGGTAGAAGACGAAGCCATGGAAGATATGAAGTTGCTATGGAAACACTGCCTGAGCTACATAGAGAGAAAAGGAATATCCAGGATTCTCCCTTCCTTCAATCCTTTAGCGTCTCCCCAGTGCTTCTCTTTGGGTGAATACAATGGAAAAATCAGCCTGCTCAGGTCAGCCCCTTTGACACAGGCAGGACAGGGGAGAGGGAGGAACAGATTTAAGAGAAAAACAGATTCAAGGGGGGCACAGACCATTTGTTTTTGACATTCTATTACTTCTGCCATATGTAACTCTCCTAAGCACCTGCATGTGCTGCCTAACATGAGGAAAGATTACACAGTATAAATGAAGATACTCCTGCCACCTGGCCAATGAGGGGAATCACCAAGGATCATTGATTAATGATATCGAGCTCAACTTCAAGGTCTCTAGGTAATAAGTGGTCCATTCCTTAGAGGCTTTTCATGGTCTGTGAACTAAATCATGAGGTAAAGCATCAATGAAACACTTCATTCTAATAGTAGAGGAGAACAGAAGAAAAAAGAAAAAAGAACTCATTTGTTGATGTCGAAAATACACATAGCTCTACAGTTCCCACGTATGGGATGGTCATGAGGCCATAGTTGATATGTGTTCCTCCCCCTTTCTTCTACTCCATGTCACTTTTGTCCTCAACTGGCCTCTCATTTGGTTGGCATTTTTAAACCTGGTGTGGTTAAATCTTTATTCTTGAAGTATCTGGATTCTTAGTTGTCCTGATTTGTGGCAGGTTGCTATAATCTGTTATTGACATTACTGTTGGACAGATATATTAAGAAGTGCCCTAATGAATCCCTTACATTCCACTCATCATTCTCCCTGCCCTACTCTGTAGCAGCCAGCAATTTCCTCTTGAAATTTGAATTAATCATTCAAGCCATAATGGAAACCCTGTCTCTGCCTGTTGTTTTTTTTGATATGTAGAGCTAAAAATAGCCAGGTGGTTGTTTCAACTTCAGTTTAATTAGACCATTTCTGTGTCCCCTGTTGGAAGAACTTTTATCTTGGGAACTAAAACTGCTAACTCAGTAACACCCATGGTTTCAAGACAGGAAGCAAACATGTTGCCAGTGGATCATTAGGTGACATAGTGATGGGGACACTCCTACTCACATCCCTTATTTTCTGGACCTATGTATTTTGCTTTGGAAGAAAGGATGTCATATTTTTGTCACTAGTTTTAAAATGTGTTACATAGTGTAGTACAGGGTCCCAACTTTGAAAAGTTTTCTGCTAGTTAATGCCATCTCTCAGGCCTCAGTAGGACATCCCATCAGTAGTCACAGCTAGCAGGCTACTACTTCTACATGTGGCTGGTGTAGGAGGCAGACCAGTAAATACAATGAATTCATTACCATATGTACCTTAGGTTGTGAGCCCAGTTTTGTACTCCTGTGATAAAGTGAGCTCTTAGTCAAAGCATGTTTTACCAAGGGAATGAACAGATAATTCTGTAAGTCCACAGATGGGAGTACGAGCAGATGCGTGATGTGCAGGAATGGCAAATCCTTAGCCAGAATATATGCATTCTCCAGTGACTGTCAATCACTACACCCTCCATCATGAACTGGATCCACTGTCACCAACCTGTTTCTAGGAGAGCAGCCACACTGGCCACTCAGCTATAGATTGTGTTGTTGGCACACAGGACTCATAACGGTGTGGTGCCCAGAGCAGCCTTGCTGAGCCCGAGTCTATTGTTCTGAAAAGGTACCTGACCTCTATCTCTGCCACCATGGCCACTCTGAGCAAATACCAGGGTAGGGAAAGGTGCTGATTGGCATACCAGGATGGTCGTCTTGTCTACATGATTGAGTGTATCCTCTGTGTGGGATACTTCTTGGTAAGCAATCAAATAAATGTGGAGCAAGGGTGCTACATTTGGAAAACAGCAACAGAGAAGAAAGGGATGAAGAATGCTTCTGGTGACAGACCCCACAGTGGCAGATGTGGGCTGCCGTTATCTGCATTTCACAGATGAGAAAACTGAAGTTCAAAAAGGTGAAGAGACTGCTCAAGGCTGTAAAGCAAAAATGTGAAAAATTTGGACTTGAACACAATTTATCTGACTGCAAGGCCATACACTCAGACCGCAAGCATTTCTGATGAGTTACATTGTGAAATAATTCATTGCTACTTAACAAATGTACTTTGTAGTCAATACGGGGGCTTTAAAACCATGATGATGACATTCATTCATTTGTTTGGAACTGCACCCTACCCCAAGCTTCTGGACTGGAGAAGGGGCTGAGGTTTAGGTCCAAGAGGCTAATGTAGACATAGAGTACAGGTAGATCTTCTCAGGTGATTTCATCACAAGCATTGCTGTGACTGCTTAAATCTGAACATGAGAAGAGGTTTAGCATTGCAGGTGGGTGGGTACAGGTACAGACTAGGTGAGGGTCTAGAGGGTTCTACTTAGTAGTTTACACAGGGAGAAGAAGGAGATTGACATCCTTGTGGACATAGTTGTTATATGAAGGTTGCAACAGGTAATGTTTTCCAAGACCCTGAGATATGGTGCATCCGTAGAGAGACAGCAGACCCTAGTTGTCTAATGAATAAACCTTCCAGTGGCTGATAAAGTAGCTTAAATTATAAAGCCAATTTAATAGCATGAATGTAGGTTCTGCTATAGAATTTCAGAGGGGAGGAAAAGATCAGTATAAACTGGCTGTTTCTAAGTTTTTCTGTGGATTTGGGAAGGAAGTGGGCCTTGACGGGTAGGGGCCATAATAAGAGAGTGTTCCCTTTATTAGTCATTTCCCATTTCTCCACGATTCATGGAATTTTTGCATAAAGAAACATTTTCTTTATTTTCCAGGTAGCCCAGGAATCTAAGTGATACATATCCCCAGAGTTTTAGTCTCTCCTTTAATCATGCCAAATATGTTGCTGGAAGAGCAGGTTTCAGGAACCCTGTGTGCTGATGTCAAACTGTGCCTGTTGGTCTGCCTCACTCATCGGAGAGCGTGGCAGTGCTCCTGCCCTCTGTCCTCCCATGCTGGCCATCTTGTCAGAATCCATGTCACAAATGTCCCCATTCGGTGACATTCTTGACAGTTCTTTGAAAACATGGGCTACTGCTGTGCATGAAAAAAAAGCTCTTCAGACTGATGAATGAAGTAAAACACTTCAGTGCTATAACCCACTGTTGGTCACTAAAAATAAGAAAGATGGGATCAGTTTACTGTTTTACAAGTGAAACAGATTTTTGACTGCAGATCCAAGATTACAGATCTGCAGCTGGCTCCATCTTGTGGAATAAAACCAGGAATGTGCTTTCCTTCTGCTTAGGGACTTTTGGACATCCCAGAGTTTGTACTTTATTTTTATAAAAATAGGTCTTCAGGCAACATTATCAAGAAATGCAACCCTTTAAAAAAAGTACCCCAAACCTTAAACACCAGAATTCTTATTGAAGACTTACATTGGTTACCATATATACCTTAGGTTGTGTCACCATTCTAAAGTTAGTAAAATCTATGAAACTATTTTTACTTCACTGGTAGAGAT
The DNA here is from genome assembly GCF_000001405.40 of Homo sapiens. Taxonomy (NCBI): domain Eukaryota; kingdom Metazoa; phylum Chordata; class Mammalia; order Primates; family Hominidae; genus Homo; species Homo sapiens. The sequence continues at coordinate 139,468,654 of NC_000008.11, read as the reverse complement.
TAGTGACTGTTGTTTCTGTCTTGGACTGGCTACAATGTATCCAGCGTCATAGGGAACAGTGGTATAGACTGCAGAGGCTCTCAGCTGAGTTAGGACTTCATATCTGGGGACATTTCTTAACATGCATCTATTGATATTTAGTCACACTACTTTTGGGGCAGGGGGAAGAAAATAAGAGGCATGTTTTATATTTCGGCAGGTTATAAAGTGCTCTTCTTAAAATTCCATCTACCCCCTTCTTGGAGAAGGAACTCTTCACTAAAATTTGTAATACATTTTAAATTTCACATTTGATTGTGTAGTTAATATAAGTTGAAACATTTGATGACCATAGAAAGCATTTATTTATTTCTAACGGCTTTTACAAATTGCAGAGGGTACAAAAGTTAGGGGTTCAAGCAAAATTAACACCACATTTTCACCAATTTCTTCTTTGGCAAAATCAGTCAACTGATGCTCAGAAGTCTCCGAGTGTGCTGCAACCCACTGAGCCAGTCGGCTCCTAGACTCTCACATGAACATATGAATCAGGCAAAGTTCTCATGATATCATAATCCTTGCAGTGTTAATCCCTTGTGCATCCATTAACAACCATTCACTGAAAAACAGATTTTCTCATGAAAAACTCAACAACTGGCTGTGTGTTAGCAGAAAGATATAGCGGTAGTGTCCGACTCCCCTTCTAAATAGAAAGTTGGATCCAAATGGGTAATGAGCTTGGAGTAGCTGAGGAAGAGAAAGAGGGCTGGTGCAGTTGGAAGATGCTGAATGAATGGAAAAGTGCCAGGAAGAGAGGACATTCTGGGAGGTGGGACCAACTCCTGTGGGATCGTTAGGTCACAGTGACTGGTCTAATTTCCATGAACATCAGTCTCTCTGTTTATAAAAAGGAGGAACTGACTAAGTAGTATTTCCCAAACTTGGAGACTTCAGCAAGAATTGAAAAAATAGGTGTGGAGGGCACAAAGCCACCTTATAGTTGGGCACCAACTTATTCTGTCAAAAAGAATATGAAAACTGAATCAATAAAAGGACATGTAATTCACCAGAACAAGCGTTTCATGAGAGATTGAAAACATCAGAAATGGGCTGGGCACGGTGGCTCACACCTGTAATCCCAGCACTTTGGGAGGCCGAGGCGGGCAGATGGTGAGGTCAGGAGATCGAGACCATCCTGGCTAACATGGTGAAACCCCGTCTCCACTAAAAATACAAAAAATTAGCTGGGCGTGGTGGCGGGCACTTGTAATCCCAGCTACTCGGGAGGCTGAGGCAGGAGAATGGCGTGAACCCGGGAGGCGGAGCTTGCAGTGAGCTGAGATCCTGCCACTGCACTCCAGCCTGGGAGACAGAGCGAGACTCCGTCTCAAGCAAAACAAAACAAAACAAAACAAAACAAAAAAACACCAGAAATACAGTTGGAACATCATCTAAGATTAAATGAAATTTTATTTGTTTAACAAACATTTATGTAGCACTTACAATGTGCCAGGCACTGTTCTAAGTGCTTTGCGAATACTACTTTGTTTAATCCTCAAAACAAAACTATGTGGTAATATCACTAGTATAATCTGCATTTTACAGATGAGCAAACTGAGGCTGAGAGGAGTTATGCAACTTCACCAAGGTCGTGTGGCTAAGAAGTGGTAGAGCTGAGATTTGGACCCAGGTCTTCTGGCTCCAGAGTCCACTGTATTCTTGACCTCTATGATATGTGGTCTTTTAATCCCCTCAGTTGAATAAAATTAGACTTTTGTCATTTAATCTTCTTTTAAAAATGTTTTGATCACTTTTCGATGAACCAGGAGCACCTCCCTTATGGACTATGCTGGGCCAGGGATGGAAATGTAGGAATCTGTGGTGACTCCTGATAGTCTTTGACTGTGAAAGAATAGAGTCAGGATGGGTGGTAATGGGATAAGGTGTACAAGTGGCAGGAGGTGTGCCTTTGCATGTGTTTGAGGGCTAAGCTTTTGTGGGAATGTGTGTGTGACTGCATCGCAAAGCCGTAAGCAAGCAAATCTGCCTTTAAGTACATTTACTTTGCATCTGTTTATACCTTTGATAAACCACAGATTAGTTCTGTTTGTATATTTTCTTTTTCACTTTGAACATTTACCAGCACTTATTAAGGACATATCTTAGAGTTAGCAAATATCCTTTACTGAACCATCAAAGCTACCAACATCTTCTTCTTATCAGGTAAGAGGGTCTAGCAGTTCCTCCTCCATCCTTACTATTTAATAACACCACCACTGGTCTGTAGGCATTGTGTTTACTTGTAAATGTTTGAGTGATTACCGGAGGGTGAAAAGTATGCATAGTCCACCTAGCAACTGGGGTCTCCCTATCCCTATGACCCATACAATGTCTGCATACTCTGCAAGCTCAGTACCTAAAATTCTGTACATTTCTAATGATGAGGTGGATGAGGAGACCCATATTTTTATTATCCTTGACTCTAGGCTCTTGTTTCTGCTTCGTTTGGTTTGTGCCACTGCCTGCCCTATTTTGTCTTGTGCTGGTCCATATGTGGAACTCAGTCTCTTCTCTCACTTGCCATGTTCACGCCCATCATGTACAATTGCACAGTATTGGTGCATGTAGTCAACTATCCTGAGAGTTTGGGAAGAAGGAGTGAGATTGTTTACATGGACACAATTGTAATCATATTGAAATTTGATGTTAGATCCCTGACCTTAAAAGGTCCACCTGCTAGTCAGTCATACTTCTCAGCAACCCTTCCTCCTCTCCTTTCTTCTTGACACAGCATAAGCTCCATATGCTCTGTTCTTTTCTAGGACTAAGCATTTTAGCTTTCTGTTTCTTCAACTCCTGCACACTCAGGACTTTAGTGTCTCAGTGTTTACTCCAAGCAGCTTATCAAGAAATGGTTTCTTTCTGAACAAATATCCTTTATTTTGGGGTGCCTGCTCTTATCTTAAAATATGCTCACATATGTACACACACACACACACACACACCCCCCTCAATCTGGCTAAGTCTCTTCTTCACAGATGCTTGTAATCAAGTTGGGGAGGGAGCTATGTGTGGATAGAGGTGGGACAGGAATATCCACTAACATTATAGAAGCTTGTTTCTCACTGATGGGAGGGGAGACTCAGAAAACCAGAAGAGATAAAGCCTGTGATGGTGGCACGTGCAGAATTGTGGTCAAAGTTTTGGGCAAAGGGTCAAGAGAGACAATCACTCAAGTTTGAGATTGGTTCTAAATAAATGGAAACACATCAGAACAGAATAATCTTTCTGAACACAATGCCTTTGGTTGGGGGCTGACTCTGTAGCTATGCCATTTATTTGAAAATGTTTAATTCTAGTGTAGGAGTAGAAGGAATTAAAAGAAAATATGGAATAACATGCAGGTTCTTACGTACATTCTGAGAAAGTTCATATGCTTCCAGCCCACAGATTAAAACATTTATCTATGAGGGTGATTGTGGTCAAGATGGAGAGAAGCGAAGTGCCAAATTTGGGGATTAATTTTGAAAATAGAGCTGGCAAGATGTGCTGACAGATTGTGCATGGGGCATGAAGGGTGGCACGAAGGTTTGGCTGAAGCAGATTGATGGTGCCAATGGCTGAGTTGGTAAACCTTTGCAGAGGACAGGCAAGGGATGAAAGGATAAAGAGCTGTACTTTGGACCTGTGAAGTTATTTTGACTACCAGACATCTAAATAGATGTTAAGTAGATGACAGCATAGAGAAACTGGAGCTCGTAAGTTAGCGATGCATATAGTTATATAAATGGAAGTTGATAGCAGGGCAATGTTATATAAAGCCAAAGCACTGGCTAATATCATATAGCAAGTGTACAGATAGAGAAGAAGTCTCTGACATGAGCTTGGGGCACCAGCACTTAAATGAGAAAGAGGAATAAGCAACCAGAAGGGCAGGAGGAAGTACCAAGAGAGTATGGTATCCTAGAAGCAACACGTAGAAAAGAAATTCAAAAAGTATGAAACGGCCAGCCATGGTGGCTCATGCCTGTAATCCCAGCACTTTGGGAGGCTGAGGCAGGAGGATTGCTTGAGCCCAGGAGCTCGAGACCATCCTGGGCAAAAAAGTGAGAGCCAGTCTCTCCAAAAAAAAAATCAACAAAATTAGTTGGGTGTGGTGGTGTGGATTCACAGTCCCAGCTACACAGGAGGCTAAGGTGGGAGAATCGCTTGAGCCCAGGAGGTTGAGCCTACAGTGAACTGTGTTTGTGTCACTGGACTCCAGCCTGGGTGATAGAGCAACACTCTGTTAAAAAAAAAAAAAAAGAAAAGAAAAGAAAAAAAGAAAAAGAAAGAAAGTTTTTTTAAAAGAAGGATGAAATGTTAATATTCCTCTATGTCAATACTGATGAGAAATTGAGTGTGACTACTGAAAGTTGACCCCTCATTTTTGCACGGTGGAGGACAGGTTTCATTGAGGTATTGAGGGCAAGAATCTGATGGAGTTAGTTGAGACGGAATTAAAGTTGAGGAAATGCAGATGGGTATAATAGAAAATAAGTTGAATTTTACTGTAAAGAAGACACAGATATTAAGGGCAGAGAGTCTGCATCTCTTCAATGCATGCTAGACATATTAATGTTTTCCAACTAAGAATCCATCCTTTCATTCTGAAATAATACTTTATTATTTTAATTTTAATTTACTACTGAATTTTATTTGCCTGTAATACGGATTTTACAGCAATATTTCAGAGTGAGACTTGAACAATTTCTTTATTATATCTTCATCAGGATTTGGACACAAGATTACATACTGGGTTTGTAAAACTGAGAGCATTTCTATGTTCTAGCATAGTTTACAAAGAATAAGGATTTTTAAAACTTCGCTTATAAATGGTCTTGGCTGAGCACTTTTTCAGAAGCAATTATGTAACTACTTTCATTCCAGTTTGTTTCTGGTTACTGTCTTATTCAGGTTATCTGTGTTTTCTAGTATTACTTTAGTAATTTGTTATTATACAAATATTTAAATTCAGATTTTCTAATTAAGATGTTTTTATATTTTTAATTTCCTTGAAGTCTATCATTATAGTTTTAAGATACTAATTTGGATATTTGTGTTTTCATCTCTCCACTTTTTTCTCTGTAACCTGGAGTGGTTTTGCAAATCTGTTATCCATATTATTTATTTGACTCTATCCATTTTTACATTCACTTTTAAAATATTTGTTTTAGATTCTAGTATGATTTTTTAATATGCATGTTCTGTTTTTTTGACTTTATCTCATTCATTTTTTCCCCCATCTTGCCTAGCTGACTCAAGTCGTATTCTCCTTATGGTTTTCTTTTTTTTTTTTTTTTTTTTTTTTTTTTTTTTTTTTTTTTTTTGAGGCGGAGTTTCGCTCTGTCGCCCAGGCTGGAGTGCAGTGGCGTGATCTCGACTCACTGCAAGCTCCGCCTCCCGGGTTTACGCCATTCTCCTGCCTCAGCCTCCCGTGTAGCTGGGACTACAGGCGCGCGCCACCATGCCCGGCTAATTTTTGTATTTTTAGTAGAGACGGGGTTTCACCGTGTTAGCCAGGATGGTCTCGATCTCCTGACCTCGTGATCCGCCCGCCTCGGCCTCCCAAAGTGCTGGGATTACAGGCGTGAGCCACCGCGCCCGGCCATGGTTTTCTTGTAGGGGCAACCCACCCCTACATCTGGTGCCCAACGTGGAGGCTTTTCTCTAGGGTGAAGGTACGCTCGAGCGTGGTCATTGAGGACAAGTCGACAAGAGATCCCGAGGACGTCTACAGTCAGCCTTACGGTAAGCTTGTGCGCTCGGAAGAAGCTAGGGTGATAATGGGGCAAACTAAAAGTAAAATTAAAAGTAAATATGCCTCTTATCTCAGCTTTATTAAAATTCTTTTAAAAAGAGGGGGAGTTAAAGTATCTACAAAAAATCTAATCAAGCTATTTCAAATAATAGAACAATTTTGCCCATGGTTTCCAGAACAAGGAACTTTAGATCTAAAAGATTGGAAAAGAATTGGTAAGGAACTAAAACAAGCAGGTAGGAAGGGTAATATCATTCCACTTACAGTATGGAATGATTGGGCCATTATTAAAGCAGCTTTAGAACCATTTCAAACAGAAGAAGATAGCATTTCAGTTTCTGATGCCCCTGGAAGCTGTTTAATAGATTGTAATGAAAACACAAGGAAAAAATCCCAGAAAGAAACGGAAGGTTTACATTGCGAATATGTAGCAGAGCCGGTAATGGCTCAGTCAACGCAAAATGTTGACTATAATCAATTACAGGAGGTGATATATCCTGAAACGTTAAAATTAGAAGGAAAAGGTCCCGAATTAATGGGGCCATCAGAGTCTAAACCACGAGGCACAAGTCCTCTTCCAGCAGGTCAGGTGCCCGTAACATTACAACCTCAAAAGCAGGTTAAAGAAAATAAGACCCAACCACCAGTAGCCTATCAATACTGGCCGCCGGCTGAACTTCACTATCGGCCACCCCCAGAAAGTCAGTATGGATATCCAGGAATGCCCCCAGCACCACAGGGCAGGGCGCCATACCCTCAGCCGCCCACTAGGAGACTTAATCCTACGGCACCACCTAGTAGACAGGGTAGTGAATTACATGAAATTATTGATAAATCAAGAAAGGAAGGAGATACTGAGGCATGGCAATTCCCAGTAACGTTAGAACCGATGCCACCTGGAGAAGGAGCCCAAGAGGGAGAGCCTCTCACAGTTGAGGCCAGATACAAGTCTTTTTCGATAAAAATGCTAAAAGATATGAAAGAGGGAGTAAAACAGTATGGACCCAACTCCCCTTATATGAGGACATTATTAGATTCCATTGCTCATGGACATAGACTCATTCCTTACAATTGGGAGATTCTGGAAAAATCGTCTCTCTCACCCTCTCAATTTTTACAATTTAAGACTTGGTGGATTGATGGGGTACAAGAACAGGTCCTGTGAAAATTGTAGATTGCTTACTTGCATTGATTCAACTTTTAATTGGCAACACCGTATTCTGCTGGTGAGAGCAAGAGAGGGCGTGTGGATCCCTGTGTCCATGGACCGACCGTGGGAGGCCTCGCCATCCGTCCATATTTTGACTGAAGTATTAAAAGGTGTTTTAAATAGATCCAAAAGATTCATTTTTACTTTAATTGCAGTGATTATGGGATTAATTGCAGTCACAGCTACGGCTGCTGTAGCAGGAGTTGCATTGCACTCTTCTGTTCAGTCAGTAAACTTTGTTAATGATTGGCAAAAAAATTCTACAAGATTGTGGAATTCACAATCTAGTATTGATCAAAAATTGGCAAATCAAATTAATGATCTTAGACAAACTGTCATTTGGATGGGAGACAGGCTCATGAGCTTAGAACATCGTTTCCAGTTACAGTGTGACTGGAATACATCAGATTTTTGTATTACACCCCAAATTTATAATGAGTCTGAGCATCACTGGGACATGGTTAGACGCCATCTACAGGGAAGAGAAGATAATCTCACTTTAGACATTTCCAAATTAAAAGAACAAATTTTCGAAGCATCAAAAGCCCATTTAAATTTGGTGCCAGGAACTGAGGCAATTGCAGGAGTTGCTGATGGCCTCGCAAATCTTAACCCTGTCACTTGGGTTAAGACCATTGGAAGTACTACGATTATAAATCTCATATTAATCCTTGTGTGCCTGTTTTGTCTGTTGTTAGTCTGCAGGTGTACCCAACAGCTCCGAAGAGACAGCGACCATCGAGAACGGGCCATGATGACGATGGCGGTTTTGTTGAAAAGAAAAGGGGGAAATGTGGGGAAAAGCAAGAGAGATCAGATTGTTACTGTGTCTGTGTAGAAAGAAGTAGACATAGGCGACTCCATTTTGTTATGTACTAAGAAAAATTCTTCTGCCTTGAGATTCTGTTAATCTATAACCTTACCCCCAACCCCATGCTCTCTGAAACATGTGCTGTGTCAACTCAGAGTTAAATGGATTAAGGGCGGTGCAAGATGTGCTTTGTTAAACAGATGCTTGAAGGCAGCATGCTCCTTAAGAGTCATCACCACTCCCTAATCTCAAGTACCCAGGGACACAAAAACTGCGGAAGGCCGCAGGGACCTCTGCCTAGGAAAGCCAGGTATTGTCCAAGGTTTCTCCCCATGTGATAGTCTGAAATATGGCCTCGTGGGAAGGGAAAGACCTGACCGTCCCCCAGCCTGACACCTGTAAAGGGTCTGTGCTGAGGAGGATTAGTAAAAGAGGAAGGAATGCCTCTTGCAGTTGAGACAAGAGGAAGGCATCTGTCTCCTGCCTGTCCCTGGGCAATGGAATGTCTCGGTATAAAACCCGATTGTATGCTCCATCTACTGAGATAGGGAAAAACTGCCTTAGGGCTGGAGGTGGGACCTGCGGGCAGCAATACTGCTTTGTAAAGCATTGAGATGTTTATGTGTATGCATATCTAAAAGCACAGCACTTAATCCTTTATATTGTCTATGATGCAAAGACCTTTGTTCACGTGTTTGTCTGCTGACCCTCTCCCCACAATTGTCTTGTGACCCTGACACATCCGCCTCTTCGAGAAACACCCACAGATGATCAATAAATACTAAGGGAACTCAGAGGCTGGCGGGATCCTCCATATGCTGAACGCTGGTTCCCCGGTTCCCCTTATTTCTTTCTCTATACTTTGTCTCTGTGTCTTTTTCTTTTCCAAATCTCTCGTCCCACCTTACGAGAAACACCCACAGGTGTGTAGGGGCAACCCACCCCTACATTTCTGGTCTTCTTGGCAGTGGGATATAACTCCTTGCACCTTCTGACAATTTGAAATAGTATCATAGGATTTTTTGATGGATCCTGCAATAGATTATCTTCACTGATGTACTCTGTGGATGAACTTGACCTTTTCAGCTCATGTCATACTTCATAGGACCAATGTATTTATCTATTTTTGTCCATATTCAGTATGGAATGAGGTTGACACTTTTTCAGATTACAGTTTTGCCAATAGAGAGAGTGTTTACACAGTGCCTCTTTCGGCGCACTGAAGTGATGGTCAGAGACGTCTCAGATCTGCAGCTGAGAAGATTCTTTCTCCAAGAAGCATTAGAGTTATCTCTTTCTTGAAGCAGGCTTTCCAGGCACTGTTCTGAGAAGATTCTTTCTCCAAGAAGCATTAGAGTGATCTCTTTCTCGAAGCAGGCTTTCCAGGCACTGTTCAGGGTATTTACTGCCTCTTTTTGATTCTTTATTTCCCTTGGCCAGCATCCTAAGTCTCCATGTGATATGGTTTGGCTGTGAGCCCATCCAAATCTTATCTTGAATTATAGCTTTCATAATCCCCATGTCTCATAGGAGGCACTCAGTGGGAGGTAATTGAACCATGGGGGCAGGTTTTTCCCTTGCTGTTCTCGTGATAGTGAATAAGTCTCATGAAATCCAATGGTTTTATAAAAGGGGAGTTCCCCTGCATAAGCTCTCTTGCCTGCAGCCATGTAAGACATGCCTTTGCTCCTCCTTTGCCTTCCACCATGATTGTGAGGCCTCCCCTGCCATGTGGAACTGTGAATCCATTAAATCTCTTTTTCTTTATAAATTACCCAGTCTTAGGCATGTCTTTATTAGGCGCGTGAGAACAGACTGATACACTGTCCTTGAGTGAGCTACGTCTTCCTGTTTGTAGCCACCCTAATTACCCCTAACTCCCATTGAACCCAGCATCATCTAGCAGCACGATCTTGAAAATGCAAAGTTTCAGCTGCTTGCCTAGACGCACTTACCGTTGATTTTGACCAACCCATTACACTAGAAACTGATCCTGCATGAGCTGTGTCCCCATCAACTTCCTGGATAAAAGAATTTCTATTTCAGTAAAGCTGACTGTATTATAAAAAGCAAATTAAATCCATGTTTAATGATAGTATCCTGATGTAGAAATCCACCACATTGATTATATCCCTGGCAGGGATGCGTTAGATGCGCTAGTGCCTGCTACTCTATCACAGAGTCTTGAATTGTGGTTTTTATAGCTAGTGCTTCAAAAGTCACATAAATAGTACCAATTCATATTCTACCTTCTACAGGAAGCCTCCTGAGATTATTTTGGTTTCCCATTCCTTGTACCCCCAAATATCTACAATTTTATCCCTTTAAAGATGATATAAATTGGAGATATTAACTTTTGTTTAGCATTCTATGGTTTACAGAGAAGATATTTGCATACATTATTTTGTTACCTTATTACTTAGGCATTATTTACTTCTGTGAAGTAAAGAGTATAAATTTTCCATATTTTGCATTTGAAGAAATTAATGATGAAGAAATTGTCCAAGTTTACACAGTTAATGGCTAAGGGGCTGGAAGAAAATAACTTTTTAAAATGTTGTTTCATTAGCATTTTTGTTTTGTAAATGAGGACATTGAGACTTACAGAATAAGTTATTCAAATAAACACAGATAATTAGTGCAAGAGCCTGCGTTTGAATCTTAGACTGTGTGAGTCTAAAACCTACGCTTTTTCCTTTATATTACCAATAACTAGATCACATTTAAACAGTGTCATCTTGTGTTTCCCTCAGGAGTTTAAATCTCTTCTCTCAAGAAAAAAAATCATAAGAATACAAAATGTAGATATCATGATTATCATCATCATCTCCCTTCAAGGCTTAACTTAAACATTCCCCACTCTATGGATTTTGTGCTATTCTTTCAGTCAAAGTTAAAACATTTTCTCCTATGTCTCCATGGCACATAGCATATAAAGAGCTTCATTGATCCAGGTCAGAGTTTTGTGTGATTGTTTGTGTATGTGTCTCCTCCTGTAGACTTCTAGAGATCAGGTTCTGTGAATCTTGCCTTAATACAATACACCGAACATCTTAAGCGCTCACTAAATGTATATTGAAGGGATTTTTGTTTGTAACTTGAAGGAAGGACTTGCACACTCATTCGGTGTCTTATACTCTAGACTTAACATTTTGATTGACACTATTATATCACAAATTGGATTTCTGATGGCCAATAAAATTTTACATATATAAGAATATTTTAATTTTTTCTACTTAGGTCATCATTAACAATTAAGGATTTGGTTAAGTTGCTACAAAAAAAAAAGACTCAAAAATTGGCCGAATAAATATATTCCATAATTTGGCATCAGAATGTCTCAGACTATTTTTCTTTGGTTTAATCTTAAAATAGCCTCTTTGTTTGACACAGGCTATTAACCTCAGTGACTAAAGAATTCATCCTGTTCCACAGCTATAATATTTTTATATACAATCTATGAATTGTTGAAAAATCGATCCCTGTCTTCTGAGACTGGGACTACCATGGAACGAATATTTCTTTCTTGTAAAGTATGAAGCCCTCTGCTGAGTTTTCAAGACTCTTCCTCACCTAAGCTCGTTATGCTGCTCCAAGAAAATCCCCTGCTTATTTTTCCATATATGACTGGTAATTTTTTTAACTCTGTGCTAGGTTATGTGCCTCTTGTATATTCCTACCACACCCAGGGAAAATCTTGACCAAAGCTCTTAACACACACAGGTATACTTATCAACTGACATGGTTTTTAAAAAATTCCCTTTGCTTAATACAGTGCACGATAAATAATAGATTAATATCTATTTGTTCAGTTAATAAATGCATGGGTGGATGACTGTGTGGTGGCTTGAAAAATGCCCTCCCCACCAAGATGTCCATGTTCTAATCTCCAAAACATGAATGTTACGTTACAGGGCAAAGGGTATTTTGCAGTTGTGATTAAGTTAAGGTGCTTGAGATGGGGAAATTATCCTGGATCATGTGGGTAGTCCTAAGGAGACCCAGGTCCTCAGGAGAGGGAGGTAAGAGTAGCAGTAGATGTGATGATGGAAGCAAGAGGTTGTAGTGATGGGGAAAGGAGTCATCCTCCTCTTTGATCCCAGGAATGAGGGTGACCAACAGAAACTGAAGAAGGCAAGAAGACGGATTCTCCCCTCAGTGGCTACAGAAGTAACCAGCCTCGCTGACACCTCAGTTTTGAGCCTGTAAGACTCATTTCAGATTTCTGACTTCCAGAACTGTAAGGGAATACGTCTGCGTTACTTTAAGCCACTACGTTTATGGTAATTTTTTAACAGCAGTAATAGGAAGTGAATACAGGCTGGATGAACGCATGAATGAATGGACCTATGCTAATCAGTCATCCTGTGTATTCCCTGAACCGCTCGTGTCCCCATGCTGTTTGCTCCTTCTCTAGAGGTGGCCTTCCCATCTATCTTCTTCAACCTTCAAGACCCAGGTCAGGGAAGGCCGTCCTGCTCAACAATGCTCATGGGTTTCTCTCATATTGTCTCTGCCACATTCCTCCATAACCCGGTAATAAATACTGGTTGCACCGTCCTAATCTAGAAATAATTTCTTTTTTTATGTATTTCTTTTCTTTCTTTCTTTCTTTTCTTTCCCTCCCTCCCTCCCTCCCTCCCTCCCTCTCTCTCTCTCTCGCTCTCTCTTTCTTTCTTTCTTTCTTTCTTTCTTTCTTTCTTTCTTTCTTTCTTTCTTTCTTTCTTTCTTTCTTTTTCTTCTTTTCGACAGTCTCCCTCTATCACCCACGCTGGAGTGCAGTGGCGCGATCTCGGCTCACTGCAAGCTCCACCTCCCGGGTTCACGCCATTCTCCTGCCTCAGCCTCCTGAGTAGCCGGGACTACAGGCGCCCACCACCACACCAGGCTAATTTTTTTTTTTTTTTTTTGTATTTTTAGTGGAGACAGGGTTTCACCGTGTTAGCCAGTATGGTCTCCATCTCCTGACCTCGTGATCCGCCTGCCTCGGCCTCCCAAAGTGCTGGGATTACAGGCGTGAGCCACTGCGCCTGGCCTTTTTTCTGTATTTCTATTCAGATTACGTTGCACTCTCCAGTATAATTTTCTGATTCTTCTTTGGATGATAATTGAGTACTTTCTCATGTGAAGAGGAGATTTAGCATAGCAGGCCTGAGACTGCTATCCTAAACACAGCCTTCATGGAGGGAAGATGGAAAACCTGGGTTTCAGAGAGGGTTCTCACCATCCCAGAACTGATGAGAGTGGCTCACTGTGTGTAAACTGTTGGTACAAACTGTGTGGTCTATGCTGAGCTCCTGCTTTCCTTCTGGGAATCTGGAGTTTGGTGTGTGTCAAGAAAACTGCCTGCAAGACCAGCCACTAATAAAAGCCTTGGGCATTCAGTCCTTAGTGAGCTGCCCTGGAAGACACATTTCCCACGTGTTTCACAATTCATTGCTGCAGGAATTAGGTGCATCCCATGAGACTCCACTGGGAAAAGGCTCCTGGAAGCTTGCATCTGGTTTCTTCTGGACATTGCCCCCTCTGACTTTTCCTTTGCTGATTTTGCTTTGTGTTATTTCACCATAATCAAGCTTAGCCATGAGTACTAGTAAATTCTGAGTCCTACGGATCCTCCTAGTGAATTACCTTGGGGACCCCAGGTCCATCTCTATTAAGTTGCAACCACTTCACAAACTTGGAGCATATTTTGGGGCACTGCGCTCATTAGCTACCCAGCACAGCTTGCATATAAGTCATATAGGTTTCTTTCTTATTTTGTTCAAAGATCATAGTATTATTTACCGTTAAGTAGACAGACTCAGGCAACTGGGAGGATTGTAACAGAGGAAGGAGTACATTGAGTAATTCTAGGTGTTTAACTTCCTATTTTGTGTACCTATGAAAAGAATCAACATAAGAAGAGAACAATCCCAGTCCAGTCATTATATTCTAAACAAATCATGCATATTCATGCTTCCATATTTTTGCTTATGCAGTTCTTCTGCCTGAAAAGCTTGTCTCTTTGGCTTCCATTCTCAGCATTACCACCAGAACAGAGTTTAGGAGTGCCTTACCCATTTTTTTTCTGTATTTGGAACGAATTACCCACCGACCATTTATAAAAAATCTTGAGGCTTCTGATAAGGTTGCATGTAGAGCATTTGTTGGTTACATACCACTAATGGATCAAGTTCTCTTGCAGGGCTTAAATGTCTTAGAATATGAGGTCACTGAAGATTCTGGCCAAGTATGGGGAACTGGTACAACTGTAAAGTTTTCATGAAGGTGAGTCAATGTGCCTGCAATGAGTGATCATCTCCTTAGCAAAAAAAAAAGAAATTTAAAAATTGAAATAGTATTGAAGACATTAGAGATACTAAAAGCTTATGAGACTGAGCAGAGAAATGAAATGCTGGGCTCATTTTAGATGAAAGGAGACGTATTTTTGCATCTGTTCCTTCCAACTCATTATGCTATCTCCCACAAGTTCAACAAATTAAAACCTGGCTTGTTTCCATCTCATTAGGGATCAATTTGCATGAATTATAGGTTTGCATTAATCAAGATTTGTGTTTAATTACAAGAGTTGCATAAAAAAAGAAAAGAAAAAGAAACAGAAGAAGTATCCCTCACCTTTACATTCTTCATGTTGGTTTCAAATTTGGCTTTATTACTGAAGTATGAAAAATATTTAAGAGCTAAAAACTGCTGAAAAATGAATAAAGCTTTTCCTGAGTTTACAGCCTTCTCTGTGACTAAAACACCTTCGATCTTCCCTCTGCATTTTAAGGCCTACCTGTCCCTGGAGGCCTGAGTCAACTGCCTCATCCTCAGTGGGAAGCAGAATGTAGGTGGGAAAGAAGAGCTCTGAAATTACCTGGACCTGATCCTGATCCCTGGCTGCACTCCTGCTCTATGCCTGAGATGATTCTATTTCCTTTTATCCTCTCAACAAGCCTGCAGAGAATGGACTGTTAGTCCCACTTTACACATGTGGAATTTAGGGCTTAGAAAATGAAATGACTTGTCCAAGGTCCCAGAGTTAGGAAGCAGAGGTTCCCTAACCCTATCTCTGTCTGCCTTGAAACCAAGGTTGCAGGTATTGGTTGTTGAAGACAAATTGATGTACCTCACTTTTTGCAATTAAGACCACTTGTATCTTTTAAAATTCATGCCCTGAGTTAACTTTGACTCTTCCCTGTTCCTCACCTGCCATATCTGTCCTCTCTATTCCACAGTTACCTTCTTCCCTTTAACCCTCCAGACTTGGCCTTATAAATAGGAATAGTGAAATAGGAGCTTTCATCTTCCTATTGAATAGGAGCCAGATGGAGGTAGCATCACATGCTGATTACGTAGCTTACTTGCTGTTCAACCTCGGGCAAGTAAATTATTTCAAATCTCTGAAGCCTTGGATTTTATATCTGTACTTTGGATAATGAAACTTATCTCACAGGGTTTTAATAAGCATTGATTGAAATAATAGATGCAAAGTACTCAGCACAGGAACCAGTCAATCAGTTATAGTCCGAACTGTTAAGCCCCAGGATTTGAGCTTTTTCCCCAAACAGTACCAGTCAATGGTATTGTTATCCCCATTTTAAAGACAAAGAAAATGAAACGCAGGGAGGTTAAGCAACATATTCAAGAGTAAGTAGGTGATGGGGCAGAGATACAAAGCCAGGCCCAAGGGGCTGCACAGCCTCTACTTTTTCCATTATAAGTCTCTTTGCTGGACTTCTGAAGTGGTTTTCCAAAAGACCCAGCTCCTCTCCCTACTTTGCAAGAGCATCTTGCTACAGTGTAAACCTAACCTTATCATTCCCTTGCTCTGTGGGCACCCCTTGGTCTAAGGACTAAGTTTGAGTTACTAGGTTGAATTAATGCAAAACTCAAGTCTAAATGTGGAAAAATGATAATGTGTTGCATGTTTGCGTGGTGGGGGGAGTGGGAGTGTATATGTATGGATGCACACAACAGCATTTATACAAAGACACTTAGTCACACTGAAAATAAAAATAATTATTTGCAAAGATCAGAAATCAAGTAAAAACACACCACTTGCTATGCAAACCTACTGGACGCTGGGCCAGGAGCACACCTGTGCAGCTCAGTGTTCAGACCCTGCAGGGGCCAAGAATAAGAGGGACTCAAGCTCTGAGCACGATAATAGGTGATCCTGATCACTTTATGGGGGTGAACTTGCCCTCTAAAAGGAGGCAGATAAACATTGTGTCAAGGTTCAAGACTGTGGCTGCACTGTTCTGCTCTTCCAAAGGAACAGAAATAAGCAGAGGCAGCCCAAGTCAAGAACTGGGAAAAACACATCTTGACTCAAGGACCAGATCAGGAGCATCCTTGTGAGATGAGAAACCCCAGCTGACAATGTTGAACATAGTTTTAAACTGGGGACTTAAAAGACTCCATAGAAAGAAAGATACTAAGAAAAAAACTGCTAGAGATGCAATTGCAACCCAAATTTTTAAAATTATAAAAGAAAACAAAAATAAATGAATACTGGTTTGGGAGTGAGATAAGAGGAAACCACAAAGGAAAAATTCAACTAAAATTCTGGAGCATTATATAATTAAAAAAAAGACAGAGAAAAAATTAGGAACAGGTGGATAAGGAACCAAAGCCTTTACAAATTCTGGGGGAAAATTAAACATTGATAAAATGAAATGCCAATAGGCAGGACAACTCTAAACTGGACATGGTCAGAGAGGGAGAGAGAGAGAGAGCGAGAGAGCTCAGAATTGGAAGATAATTGTGACAAACTCACTCAGAATATGGTACAGAAGGGGACAATTGTGACAGATATGAAAGAGATTTTATGAGACATTGGGGACAGATTGTGGTGTTCTAACATGCATCTCGTATTTTTCCTCAGAACTAGAAAATAGGTGGAGTGTCAAATGTAGCAATATTCTAAGAGAACTTTCCCATTATTTAAGACAGACATGCTAAGTAAAATAAATTCACACCTAGTAACATTGTGGTAAAACTTCAGGACACCAAGGATGAAGGAATGCTCTTAAAAGTTACCAGACTAAGAAACAAGTATTCCGTACAAAGAAACAATTCTACTGTTAGGAAACTTTTAATATAGGACCATAGATGCTAGATTACCATCTTCAGAATGTGGAGAGGAAATAAGTATCAACCTGGAATTTTAAACCTAACCTGCATTATTATTCGAAAGTGAGACGAAACAAAGATATTTTCATTCATACAGAGAGAGTTAACCTTGCCTGACTCTCACGGAAATATCTAGCTCCTTAAGAAGGCTTTTCAGCAAGAAGAAAGTTGAACCCAGAAACTTGGGTTAGGGTACAAGTAAAAGAAAAATATATACAGAGGAAGCTAGTAAACTATGATGGTAAATCTACTTAAATCTTACCTTTATAAAAACATAACAGCAAATAATATCTGCTTATTTGTTTTTATCTAATGTGGAAAAATACTAGATAGTAATAATAATATGCACACTAATAAAGAGGGGTCTGCAGGATAATTAAAGTGTGCTAGGGTTCTAATCATTTTGGGGGAGAAAGATGGTGAAAAATAATGAACCCTAGTAACATAGTATGTGGTTAGAAAAGTATGTATACTTTGAGAATTTAAGAGTAACCTCTAATGAAAAAGAAATAGAATCAATAATCTGTAATGGCAAAGGATAAACCTTTATCAATCCAAGAAAAAGTGAGGAAAGAGAAAGTATACTGATGAAAATCATAAAATGTATCAATAATTATAATAAAAGTAAATAGATTATGTTTGTGTGCTTACAAAACATGCAGTTGGGTGCGGTGGCTCACACTTGTAATCCCAGCACTTTGGGAGGCCGAAGTGGGAGGATTGCTTGAGCCCAGGAGTTTGAGACCAGCCTGGGTAACATAGCAAGATCCTATTTCTATTTTTAAAAATAAATAAATAAATAAATAAATAAATATTATTAGATTTGATAAAACAAAACAAAAAATGCATCTAAGCTGCTTACAAAAGTCACACTTAAAACAAAAGCAGCAAATAAAAATAAGCCAAAATAGCTGAAATGAAAATGATAGGATATAAAATTAAAAATGAATGTACCAACATTAATGTCAAGTAATGTTAAAAAGGGATACTAAATCATGATAAAAGATAATTTACCAAGATAATACAAGGAATCAGTAGGCACGTAATAACTTAGCCTCCAAATATAGACAGCACAGAAAGAGTCAAGCCCTTTAATAGGGCAACTAGTACCCTCTGGATCTGGCCAGAAATAACCTATCCAGTTTTATATCCTCGTGCACACTCCGTGCTCCAGGATATGTATAAATGCTTGAATGCACCCAATGTTTTGCCTTCTCCTCAGTATCCCAAGCTTCTGTAAACTTCCAGGCAGCCTACAAAACTTTTATCCCTTTCTCTGTGAGAAGCTTCCTTTAGCATCAACTCTTTCCTCTTTCTAAGTAGAAACTTCTTCTGAAGTCCGTTCTTTTATAGATGGATACAAAGTTGCCTATTGTGGTAGGAGAGAAAGAAGTCCGCCCACTGCCCTTTAAGCCACCTGTGAAGCTACTCTTGGTTAGGGTGCTTCAGAGTCAAGGGAAGAGCCGTTGGTCCAATTCCAGCTGCTTGTTCTACTAACGGTGAAACCATGACCCAGAGAGGAAAAGTGGATTTCCCAAATTCACACAATGACGTAGGTGTTGGCATGAGTATTGCAACTCCTATCTCTGGCTACCCAGTGTTCTTTCCTGACCATTGTTTCTCGCTCTAATCTACATAAACTATGGACTATGGGCTTTGAGAAACAAAAAGGCCTTGCACAGAGTCTTGGCTAGATGTTTCATGCCACAGATGGAAGCACTGGAACCCAGAGAAGGAAGCTTAAGACACTCACGGAGGCATTAAGTTCCCATGAGAGTGCTGTAATACCCACCTGGGCCATCTGGTTTTGGTATTAAACTGGGCAAGCTTGGAGTCTACAGAATATAGCTTTACTTACATAATGAAGTGCAAGCGGCCCTTGTTCTATACTTCTTTTACTGTTTTAAGAATGTTTTATTCTTGTCAATACAAATTAATATATGTTCATTCTATAAAATCAAGAATGAAGGCCTGTATAGAAACAAAGGCAAAAGCTCCCTTTTACAGCTTATTCTGCAAAATCAATTTCCCAATCCAAAGGCAAGTGCTCTTTATTATACTGTGAACTTTCCCCAATCTGCGTTATGTATTTACAAACACACTCACATATTTTACAAACACAAATGCTCACACATGTGGACATTCCATACATGTGATGTTGATATCTGCATGGGCTGAATTGTAACCCCTGAAATTCGTATGTTGAAGTCCCCATCTCCATTATCTCAAAATGTGACTATTGGGAGATAGCTCTTTAAAGAGGCAATTAAGTTAAAGTGAATGTATTAGGGTGGCTCCTAACTCAATCTGACTGATGTCCTTATAAGACATCTTATAAGAAGAAGAAATTTAGATATGGGTATACACAGAGGGACAACCAAGTGAGGGCACAGGGAGAAGAGGGCCTTCTGCCATCCAAGGACAGAGACCTCAGAAGGAACCAGCCCTGCTGACCCTTTGATCTCAGACTTCCAGCTGCCACGAATATGAAAAAATAAATTTCTGTTGATTAAGCCACCACATCTGTGCCACTTTGCTATGGAAATCCTAGCACACTAATATGTTTTTGAAAAAAAAAATGCTATCGTACCATACTTGTGTTCTGAGGCTTGTGTTTAACAGCTTTATTGGTCAGAAAAGCTGTACATGTTTAATGCATACAATTTGATGAGTTTGGACATATGCAAACATCCACGATACCACTGCCATAGTCAAAGTGAGAAAAATATTCACCATGTGCAAAAGTTTCCTTTTGTCCCTTCATGGGGATTTTTTGTTTATTTGTTTTGCTGTAAGAACACGTAACGTAAGATCTACCCTCTTAACACATTCCTTTTTTTTTTTGAGACAGGGTCTCACTCTGTCACCCAGACTGGAGTGGTGTGATCACGGCTCATGGCAACCTCTTCCTCCCAGGTTCAAGTGATCCTCCTACCTCAGCCTCCCAAATAGCTGGGACCACAGGTGTGCGCCACCATACCTGGCTAATTTTTTGTATTTTTGGTAGAGACGGGGTTTTGCCATATTGTCCAGACTGACCCCCAACTCCTGGCCTCAAGTGACCTGCCCAACTCAGCCTCCCAAAGTGCTAGGATTACAGACGTGATCCTAACACATTTCTAGGTGCACACTAACTACAGTATTGGTAACTGCAGGGACTATGCTTTACAGCAGATCTCTAGAAGTTATTTATTTCGCTTAACCGTAACTTTATATCCATTGAACAGAAACTTTATATCCATTTCCCCTACTCTTGGCCCGTATTCTATTCTCAAATTCTATGAGTTTGACTATCTGAAGCTTGCTTTTTTCACTTACTGTATCAGGGGTATCTATGGTAGAATTTATAAATCCATGTTACATCCTTCTTTTTAAAGCTTGAGAATGAATGTAGTATATTACAACCTGTATTTTATAAAGGTACCACTTCAGGGGCTTTGAGGTCAACGTGAAAGAACATGCCAATTGATTTTGTTATTTCGTCTAGAAATGTTCTCTGCATTTGTCTATTATAGAACAAATGGCAAGAACAAAGTGTTTTGGAATCAGAAAATCTTGGTGCCTTCACTGAAATGTATCCTCCCAAAATTCATATGTTGAATCCTTAAACCCCAGTGTAACTTTCTGGAGACAGGATTTTTAGAAGGTGATTAAAGTTAAGTGAGGTCATAAGGGTAGGGTCCTAATCTAGTAGGATTAGTGTGCTTATAAGAACGGGGAGAGAGGACACAAGAGCGAGACGGTGTGAGAGCATTGTCTGCATCTTTGCCATGTGAGGAGACACAGTGAGAAGGCAGCCATCTACAATCTAGGAAGAGAGTTCTCACCAGGAACCAAATTGTCCAGCACCTTAAGCTTTGATTCTCCAGTCTCCAAAACTGTGAGAAAAGAAATTTCTGTGGTCAAAGCCACCCAGTCTGTGGTATTTGGTTATGGCAGCTTGAGCTGACAAAAAGCACTTGGTTTGAATTCTCCTGGCTCCTCCAATGTGAGACAAATTACTAAGCTTGAAGTTCCTGTAAAGCTTGAAGTCACTACAAGCTTGAAGTCTATAAAAAGGAACAATGGTACCGTCTAACTGTGCTTCTGCAAAGGGTCTTAAATCAGAAATTGTAGGCAAAGTTCCTTGGACTTAGCATGCATGCAAAGAAAGCTAATAAACTCTTTCCCCCCACCAATCAGATTGTAAGCCTATCAGGAGCAAGGAATGTGTATAAAAATCCATGTGTATCCTTCAATGTGCATTGGATGGTGGTTGATGTATTTAATATACTGCCTATATTCCAGATCATTCCTTCTAGTGCCTTTCTTCACACCTTTGTACTGTTGTCCACATTCCTCTTAATATGGGCAATCATAGACATTCTCTCTCTGCACTCTCAGCTCTCTTACCCTTTCTTGCTTTATAATACTCTCTTAGCAAAACTTCAAACCTGCACACACACAAAAATCTTCTCTATGTTGTGTCTGCACCCAGGTAACTAAACATGGCAAAAGAAACACAGAAAAATCATGGCCTTACTTTAAATGCATGACTCTGACTCTCTAATGAACCGACCCTTAATGTAGTGCCACTATCATGATGGCTTTCCCTGGCCCACTGACTCTCCCACTTAAGACAATGGCACACCCTTCCTCTCTCCTCAAACCTCTAACACTGTCTCCCTCATCCTCACACTCAGGTGATGCCATAGCTTCCAGTTCAAAAAATAGAAGTGATAAGAAAAGGATTTCCACACATTTCTACTCCCACACCTGCCCACCTAAAGGCATCTGTACCTATACCTTCTGCCTCCTTTCCTGGCATTGTTCGTAAATTCTCTACACGACATTTTAGGGCTGGCCCTTCTCTCATGCATGAGGTAGCATCTATCTCACCTACTCAAGGACATGGCTACTGTAATTTTCCATTCTCTCCCTGCATCATTTCCCCTCTACACTAGATCATTCCGGTAAGCATGAAAACATGCTAATATTTCTCCCATCTTAAAAGCCCAGTGTTGATCTCATTTTCCCTTCTCTGCACTGCTCCATTTTCTGCTCCTGTTTACAGCAAAACTCCTTAAAATAGTTGTCTACTCTTGCTTTTTCAAATACTTTTCTTCCTTTTCTCTCTTAAACACATCCTGAGCATCCGTTTGCCACCACTCTCTAAGGAAATTGCTTTTGATAATATCACCATTTTTCCATGCTGTGAAACTCTGTGGTCATTTTTCAGTCCACTTCTTAGTTAAACTTCAAGTAGTTTTTGACAGTTGATTTTGTCCTCCTCCTTCAAACTTTTTCATTTTACTTTTCTTCCAGGACCACACATACATTAGTCAGAGTCTTGGCAGATACAGATGAAATATTGGGCAGGGATTTTTAAAGAGACATTGTTATGAGTGAACTATTTAGAGAAGGGTGACAGAGTAAAGGGAGGTTGATGCATCCAGAGAATAACAACCCCAGGAAGTCACTAGCACTCGGAGACCTGTAGGGGTAAATTGAGGACACGTTGTTGCCAGAATCTAGTTGAGAGTTGGGGTCAAAGGAGGAGAAACTAGCCAAAAGGTATGGTCATAGAGTGAGACAGTGCCCACCAGAACAGCTTTGAAGAAAAATGGCATGGGAGGGATAAATGTCCCCATCTCTCTCTCCCTGCCCCATCTGGTTTCCTGAAAGCACCTCCCATTGGCTAAATGCAAAGGGAAGCCAGAGGGCATGGAAGCCCAGGAGGTGGCTAAAGGAGAGATAGACAGCCTTCCAGGACACATCACAATGAGAAAGGACGAAGAATAAATCCAGGGTGGTAGTGAAACACAGAGAATAGAAGACACACACATTTTCTGCTTCTCCTCTTGTTACTGACTGTTCTATGCTGGGTCTCTCTCTCCTCTAAAAGTTGGACTTCCAGGACTCAAACTTCACACCCCCTCTTCTCTTCCCTGTCTACATTTCCTTGATGACCTTTTTCAGTCTCCAGCTTTAAATATCTATACACGAATGACCCCCTACATTGTCCCAGCTGGACTTTTCCTCTGAAACCTGCCCTTATGTACTCAACTACCCACTTCTGCCCATGGGTGTCTGCAGGCACCTCATCTACAGCATGTCTAAAGTGAAACTCCTAAGCCTGGCCCCAAACCTTTCCCTGCCACAGTCTTCCGTGCCTCAGCTCATGGTGGCTTGATCTTTCTAGTAGCCAGGCCAACAATTTGGGAGTCATTCTAGTTTAAACCTTTTCTTTCACATCAGATATCTAATTCCTGAGCAAATAATTTTTGCTTCACCTGCAAAATAGTTCAAAGATTCAACACTTCTGGTTGACTCGACTGCTAATACCCTTGAACAAGCCACAATTAGCAATTGCATAGATCACTGTGGAAGTCTCTGTAGTGGATACAGTGGTGTGCTACCCAGACTCCCTGGGAAGGGTTATGGTTGGGGTTAGTTCTGGCCCTTCAGAAGTGAAGCATACATTTTTTTCAGTTGCTGGTGGGGCTGGTGGATGAAGGCTGTCAGTGAGTCCCTCTCTGGGAATTGTCCTCTATTGAAGAGAGCTGCCTAGTCAAAGTCACGCCTGAACTCTGGAGTCAGTATACATCCAGCAACCAATCAATGTGGGGTTAGAAAGGCCTTGTGTCAAGATGGGAATAACGTTAAAGAGTCTTTGCAGCTTCAGAGTCCTTTGGGATCAGAAGAGGCCTTTTGTGCAACCATGTCTCTGTTCAAACAATCTCTGCTCTGCCATATCCTACTTCTCTCTTCACACATATCCCTCCCTTCCCATGCAATCTCCAGTAAAGTTCCTGCAGGCAAATTCTCATCTTGGAGTCTGGCATGGAAACAGATCTAAAGCAGCCTCCTCAGTGACCCCCCCTGTTCTCATTCTTGTCCGCCTGTAGTCTATCCCTAAACACTGTAGCAAGAAAACAGTATGGCAGTTCCTCAAAAAGTTGAAAAATAGAATTACCATATGTCCTAGCATTGCACATATAGCTATATACCCAATACAAAGAATTGAAAGGAGGGTCTTGAAGAGGTATGTGCACACTCACATTCACTGCTGTAGCCAAAAGGGAACAAGCGCAAGTGTCCATTAACAGATGAATAATAAACAAAATGTTGAACATCCATACAATGAAATATAATTCAGCCTTAAAAATAAAGCAAATTCTGATGCATGCTATGATAGGGATGAACCTTGAGGACATTATGCTAAGTGAAATAAGGCAGTCACAGAAGGACACATATGGTATGGTTCCACTTAGATGAGGTCCCTGGAGTGGTTAAATTCATGGAGAGAGAAAGTAGACTGGTGGGTGCCAGGGCTGGGGGAAGAGAGAATGGAGAGTGATTGTTTAATGGGTACAGAGTTTTCATTTTGCAAGATGAAGAGTTTGGAAGACGGATGGTGATTATGGATGTACAACCATGTGAATGCACTTAACCTGGCCGCGTTGTACACTTAAGCAGGGTTAAGATGGTACATTTTATGTTGTGCGTATTTCATCAATATTTTTAAATAAAACGAAAACTTATGTCGCCGCTTCTCAAAGCTTCTCAGTAATCTCCTTTCAGCCAGAATAAGGCCATATTTCTTACATTCAAGGTTCTAGATGATCTGGTCCCACCAACTCTGACTTCACTCTCCTCCTCAGCCGCAGGGGCCCTGTGAAGACCCTGGAACACTGCAAGCGTGCGGCTGCTCTGAGCACTGGCCTTTGCTGGTTCCTCTACCAAGAATCCTCTTTCCTGCAATATTTGCAGGGTTTCCTTCCTCACCTACTTCAAACAGCGGCTCAAAATCATCTTCCCCTTGGGCTTATCTTGTCTCCTGATTTGGTTGCAGCTCTTCCTCCTAGCACTCCCCTTCCCCATTCCCTAGGTCACAGTCCTTCCCAAAATGTAGTATTTTCTTCAGACTTTTACAGTGACTTATGTCAATTATTGCATGTCTCCTCTGACCCCACTAGACTGTCCTCTGGAAAAACAAGCATTTTGTCTCCTTTCTTCACTGCTGTCATCAGCAGTGCTGTCAAAACACATAGTAGGTGATCAATAAATATGCGTAGGAGGAGGATGTTAGAAGCTGAATATGGTTTTTGTGAATGAAATGTAATTTGTCCCTTCTCCATATGTAGGATAGTTAAGATTTAAAAAAAAACACACACACAATACAGTTTGAAACATGTTTTTGTTTTACGGACTTTGTTGAATGCAGGGAGGGTTTAGTAAACAAATACTTTCTGCTAAAGAGGGAACCCGGCAAGAGGATGAATGCTTCAGTGACTAGTATGATGTTCTTTGATTTTTGCTTCATGGGACCGAAGGAACACAGCTGGGGAAGTTTTTGTCCCACTTTTGGATGTGTTTGGGCTGAATTCCTGGAGTGGGAGACAGAAGGCAGAATGGTAGTTTCCAACGGGGTGGGGGAGGGAAAGTCATGAGTGATGTATCTGCAACATGGCAAGGTTTCCAGAATGAATGATCCAAGTGGCTCCCCATAAAGTGAAGAGAAGGGAAGAGTAGGAACGCTGAATCAGCAGGGTGGACAACAACATCCACGGCCACCTCCGGGTCCCTGCTGAGCTGCGAATCTGTGTCTATCCATGTATGGAGCACACAGGGTTCAGGGGACAGCTGCTCATTAGGAACCATCCCAGTTGTGTCTTTAAGATGGAAATTCAGTAAAAGAATCTGCCGAAGACTGCACCGTGATTTCAGCTTACGATATATCTTCTAAGCTGGAGGGCTGAGAGGGAGAGGAGGATGAATTATTTATTTTCACTTCAAATTATTGGACCATTTACTAAAATAAATTTGAAGCCATGATCCATTATGCATTCCAGTTTATCCCATGCAAGGGTGTTAATGGGTTTTCCTGGATTCAGCTCTGTGGACTGTAGCGTTCAGCCCTTGTTTGCGTCTGAACTGACGCAGGCACATTGAGGATTCAGCCTGCAGACCCTCGCAGACGGGACCCTGCCATTTGTTAAAGTGGTTTACTTTTAAAGTTTTTCAAATATGTTGAGTGATAAAATCTTATATTTTACCCCTAACTTGTCCATATATATATATATATATGTATAGTCCATATATATATATATGGACTATATATATATTCTCTCTCTATATATATATATTCAAATTCAGAGAGAGAAGAAATTCATCTTCTTCTATTTTTATTTTTTGTTTGTTTTGTTTTTATAACTAATGGGAGCATCCAACTTAATTTATGAGTGTTCCAGACCCTCTTGTTCCAGTTAATAAGGAGAAGTTCAGGGAATGAAGATAATGAGCAAATCCCATGCTCTGAAGCTTCTTCTTGTCCCTTGGTCTTTCCCAGCTTCCCAGGCAATGCTCATCAGCTTTCTGTTGTTCTAAGCAGTATGTTTTTAAAATGGAATCATGCAGGAGGTATTTCTTTAGTTTGGTTTCTTTCACTCTATATAATGATTTTGAGATTTGTCTGAAGAGTGGAACTCCAGGCTACCCCCACGACTGTTGCTGGCCTGGGTGGGCTGCAGCCACAGTTTTTTTCTGTGGTGTTTGGCTGAGTAAAGGGGTTATTGCCTAAAAGTTTTCTGTCTTACTAGCCTGCCTCTTTCCTGGGCCTTTGGATAGAGAAAACAAGCTTTTTTGTTGGGACTTTTTTGGATGGTTCATGCCTGCTGGAGTTTCTGTGTTGCCATTTTCATCTGCTCCAAGTCTGGGATAGATGAAGCCCACACACACATATAAAACTATAGTCAATAATAATCGAATATTTTTAAATAACTTGAATAATGTAATTGGATTATTTGTAACTCAAAGGATAAATGCTTGAGGGTATGAATACCTCATTCTCTCTATGATGTGCTTATTTCACATTGCATGCCTGTATAAAACATCTCATGTACCCCTTAAAGATATACACCTACTATGTACCTCCCACTACATACCCACAACAGGGAACTCACATCCTTGTCAGTCCCCAGGTCCTGAGGTTCCTGGTAGGTCTACCTTCTGCTTCCCACCTTTCAGAGTCTTCCCACATTTGTTTTATGTATAATGCCTAGGGTTTCCCATTGCCATTAGCAGGAGGGATAGGGAAAGGCATGTGCTCATCTTCCTGGAAGTGGAAGACTCAATAGTATCGTTTTCAAATCACATTTAAAAAATCTTAATGACAAATAAAATAATTATATATATTTATAGGCTATGATGTGATGTTTTGATCCATGCATACATTGTAGAAAGATTAAATCAAGCTAATTAACATATCCATCACTTCCCCTGCTGTTTTTGTATGATGAGAATTTTTTTATACTTTTAAGTTCAGCGGTACATGTGCAGGTTTGTTACATAGGTAAAGGTGTGTCATGGGGGTTTGTTCTACACGCTATTTCATCACCCAGGTATTAAGCCCAGTACCCATTAATTATTTTTTCTAATCCTCTCCCTCTTACCACCCTCCATCCTCTGAGAGGCCCCAGTGTGTGTTGTTCACCCTATGTGTCCATACGTTCTGATGAGAACATTTAAAATCTATTCTTTTAGTAATTTTGAAATATACATTATTCTTTTGTTTTGTTTTGAGATAGTCTCACTCTGTCACCCAGGCTGGAGTGTAGTGGTACGATCTCAGCTCACTGCCCCCTCCATCTCCTGGATTCAAGCAATTCTCCTGCCTCAGCCTCCTGAGTAGCTGGGATTATAGGCATGTGCCACCACATCCCGCTAATTTTTTTGTATTTTTAGTAGAGGCAGGGTTTTGCCATGTTGACCAGGCTGGTCTTGAACTCCTGACCTCAGATGATCTGCGATCTCTCCACCACGGCCTCCCAAAGTGCTGGGATTGCAGGTGTGAGCCTATGGTCACCATGCTGTGTTCAATATAATTTTTTTTATTGTTTCTTGCTAGTATATAGAAACACAATTGATTTTTATACTGATTATGTATCCTGTTGCCTGCTAAACATACCTTCATTCTCAGAACTTTTTTGTAGATGTAGTAGAATTTTTCATGTAAATGGCCCTGTTATCTGTGAATAAAAACAGGGTTTTTTTGTTGTTCCTTTTCTATCTAGAGGGCTTTTATTTCTTTTTCTTTTTTTCTCTTTCTGCATTTGCTGAAACCTCCAACACAATGTGGGATAGTGGTGGTGAGAGCAGACATCCTTGCCTTGTTTCCAAATTAGGGAGAAAACATTCCGTTTTTCACTGTTAAGTATGACATTAACTGCAGGTTTTTGTAGATGTCATTTATCATGTTGCAAAGATTCCTTCTATTCCCAGATTGCTGAGAATTTTTATCAGAAATGCACATTGGATTTTGTTAAATACTTTTTCTGCATCGATTGAGATAATTTTTCTCTTTTGATTGGTTTATATGGTGAATTATGATTGATTTTTGAATGTTAAACCAGCCTGGCATCCCACGATAAACCCCAGTGGGTCATGATGCATTATCCTTTGATATACTGTTTGATGTAACTTGCTACATTATGTTGAGTTTTTTTGCATTTATATCCAGAAGGGCACAGACTCTGAGACTTGGGCTGGGATACCTGGCTATACGTACTTTAGAATCTTGTACCCTCAGCTTCCATAAAACCACATGAGCCTGCAAAAGTGGCTTCATCGCATATTTCAGTGCTTTTCCTTTAAAACTGATAAAACACGTTGAATAACAATGAGTCAGAATGTAGAAGAAAACAGGAGATGCAAAATATTAGGAGTGAGAAATGTGGCGCCACTACAGATTCATTTTTCCTGCTCAGTCGGCCTCTAGGATCATCAGTTTATTGATTTCTCAAAGAATCAGACTTGGATTTTAATCAAATCTTCTACTGTGTTTCTCTCTTTCAGTTTCACTAATTGTTGGCTCTGTCCTTTATCCCTTTCTCCTGTTTACTTTGGGTATAATTTGCTCTTCCTTTTCTATTTTTTTTAGTTGGAAATCAAGGTAATTGATTTGAGACACTTTTCTAATACAGGCAGCTAGTGCTAAAACTCTCCCTAAGGACTGCTTTAGTAACGTCCCAAAGTATTAAAATTTTGTGTTTTCCTTTTCATTCAGTGCAAATATTAATTTCCCTTTTGATTTCTTCTTTAATGCATGATAATTTAGAATTGTTGTTTATTTTCCAGCTATGTGGGGATTTCCCAGCTATATTTGTATTATTGATTTCTAATTTAATTCCATGGTAATCAGAGATCACACTTTGTATGATCTGAATCCTTTTAAATTTATTCAGACTTGCTTCTGGATCAGGACATGGTCTAGCTTGGTGAGTACTATTTGCACTTAAGAATAATGTGTATTCTGCTGTTTGGGGGTAGAATGTTCTACAAATGTCAATCAGTTCAATTTGGTTGATAATGTGGCTCAGATCTTCTGCGTCTTCACTAATTTTCATTCAATTTGTTCTATCAGTTATTGAAGGGGGTTGTTGAAATGTCTTAAGGTAATTATAGGTTTGTCAGTTTCTCTTTTTAGGTCTTCAGTTTTTGCTTCATGGACTTTGAAGCACTCTTTAGGCACATACACATTTAAGATTATTAGGTCCTCTTTATAAATGGGATCATTTATCATTATAAATATTTTAGCCTTGTTAACAGTTCATATGTATGCTATATATAATTATATATGTACAAGTTTTACATTTATTTTATTAATTTTATTTCTAAATAATTTATTCTTTTGATGCTTTTATACAGGAAATTATTTTCTTAATTTCATTTTTGGTTTGTTCATTGAAAGTGTATAGGAATGCAATAGATTGTTTTGTATATTGATCCTGTATTCTGCCACCTTGTTGAATTTGTTTATTAGCTCTACTATTCTTTTTATGGATTCTTTCGGATTCTATATACTAGGTTATGTCATCTGCAGATTGAGATATTTTACTTCTTGCTTTCCAGTCTGGCTGCTTTTTATTTTTTTCTTGTCTAACGGCCCTGGCTAGAACCTCCAGAACAATGTTGAATAGCAGTGGTGAGAGTGGACGTGCTTGTCTTATTCCTGATCCTAGAGGGAAAGTTTTCTATCTTTCAACATTAATTCTCCTGTTAGCTGTGGGTTTTCCACAGATGCTCTGTATCAGGTGGAGAAACTTCCCTTCTATGTCTGGTTTATTGGATGATTTTTTTTCATAAAAGAGTGTTGGATTTTGTCAAATGCTTTCTCTGCATATGTCGATGTGATCATGTGGCTTTTGTTCTTTATTCTGCTAATATAGTGTATTGCATTGACAGTTTTTGTGTGATGAACCAATTTGTATGCCTTGGATAAATCCCACTTGGTCATCCTATATAATCCTGTTCATATGTTCCTGGATTCAGTTTGCCAATAGTTGTTGAGGATTTTGCATCTATAATCATGAAATATATTAGTCTACAGTTTTTTGTGTGATATTATTGTTGAATTTTCATATCAGAGTAACATTACCTTCATAGAATGAACTGGGAAGTGTTCACTCTTATTTTTTGCAAGAGTTTGAGAAGAATTAGGTGTTAATTCTTCTTTAGATGACTGATAGAATTAATGAAGAAAGCCATCTTGTCCTGGACTTCTCTGCGTTGGAACTTTTTGGATTACTGATTCAATATCTTTACTTCTTATTGGTCTTTTCATGTTTCCATATTTTTGAATCAGTTTTGGTAATTCTGTCTTTTTAGGAGTTTTTCCATTTCATCTGGGATGTCTAATTTGTTAGTATAAACATTTTCATAGTATTTCTTTATAGTCCTTTTTTATTTCTATAAAGTCCATAGTGACATTCCCTCTTTCATTTATGATTTTAGTTATTTGAGTCTTCTCTCTCTTTTCTTGGTCAGTCTACCCAAGAGTTTACTTTCCCGTGCTTGCTTTGGGTTTACTTTGCTCTTTTTTCTCTAGTTTCTTAAGGTGGGAAGTTAGGTTAATGACTTATTTCTTTAATATAGTTGTGAGTGTTACAAATTTCCCTCCAAGCACTGCTTTAGCTGCACCCCACAGGCTTTGCTATGCTATGTTTTTGTTTTCATTTATCTCAAAAGTTAATTTCCCTTGTGATTTTTTTTTTCTTTGACCTATTGGTTATTTCAGGATGTATTATTCAATGTGCATGTACTTGTGAATTTCCCAGATTTCCTTCTGGTACTGATTTCTAATTTTATTCCACTATGGGTAGAGAACATACTTTATATGATTTAACTTTTTTAAAATTTGTATTCAGATTTGTTTTATGGCCAAATATATGGTCTATCCTGGAGAATGTGTACTCAACAAGATATGTATTCTGCTTCGGTTGGATGGAGTGTTCCATAGAAATCTGTTAGGTCCAGTTGGTCTAGCAGGTCTAGTTGTTTAAGTATTTTATTTCCTTATTGATTATTTGTCTAGTTGCTTTGTACATTATTGAAAGTGTAATATTAAAGTATTCAACTGCTTTTGTTGGGTTGTCTATTTCTACTTTAAATTCTGCCAGTTTTTGCTTCATGTTTGTTTGTTTGCTTTTGCTTTTGTGTTACCCTCTATTACTCAATGAGATTTTCTGGAGATGGAGCTCAGAGCCATGCATTTTTAACATGTGCACTGAAGTTTGAGAGCCACGGTTTAAGTTAAAATGTTTCATTTTAGATAATGACTGAAGGCCAGATCAGGAAAGAGATTTCCCTAGTCTCTTGAAATCTAATCCAGGTTTATCCTAATGAATTGTATTAAAAGTGGGGTTGGCAAAGTTAAAGACTCTCTTCTTGCCTTGAGAGAATAACCAAACTCCCTAACACAACAACAGAAGCAAAGAAAAATTTTAAGAGAAATATAAACACATATATACCAACAATAAAATTCAACGTGACAACACTAAAATGATGGATGAAGTTATTTTCTGCATTGCTATGGCTAATTGCAGTATAGATAATCTTGGCTGCTGCAGAACAAACTGTTGATTTGCTCATGCCTTTACTCTTGTCGTCATATGAAGACTTAATTTCCTCCCACACGTCTCCTTCCAAACTACTGAAAAGCTTACAATCACATATATAGCTCACTATAATACCATTTTACTTTACTTGTCCAGACACAAACCCATTATTTTACATGCTAATGCGCTGTGTTCTTCTCTCATTAGTGTGAGACAATTAATGCAATTGCTACCTACGTGGTGCCAATATGATCATAAACAAAAATGCACATAAGGCCTTCATATTGCATGATGGTTTTGAAAAGCCATCAGCAACTTTTCGCAAAGGGCCAGACAATAAATATTTAGACTTTGTGGGCCATTCAGTCTTGGGTGCAGGTATTTAACTCTGCTATTTTATCGTGAAAGCAGCTTTTGGCAATATAAAATGAATGTCTGCGCTCCACTAAAACGACTTACGAAAGCTGGCAGTAGGCTGGATTTGATCAAGTGGTGGTTGTTTTCCAACCCCTGGTCCTTAATGTAAGGTGTTTGTCCACAGCCTAGATTTCAAAATATATATGTACAAATTGTCATGAAACTCAGAACTTTTTTGGACTTCTTAGGCAGATCTTTATGGTAGATTGAAAACAAAAAGCCACAATTCTTTGCAATGTTTCTTGAACAACAACAAGAGTACTGTCTATTTTCCTGCCCTCTGACCGATAGAAAGCTGTGATAGGATGTCATTTTATGCCTGGGTCCCCAGAGGAGTTGCAAGCTCCATTTTCACTCCTGGAGGCCATCTTCCACAGCAACAGGTCTAGTTTGGTTTGCTGGGTTGAGAGTCTCTGTGAAGCAGAACCCTGGTGGGTGCCAGCTGGCCCTCAGCCATCCTGGAAGCTGACCACACTTATCACTAAGCTCCACACTTATCACTAAGATCAGCTAAGCCTGGGTGGATAAGCAGAACTGTTGAGCCCGGCCTAAGTTACCGACCCACAGACTTGGAAAGTCAGTAAATGGTGTTACATTAAGCCACGACATTTTGGTGTGGTTTGTATGTAGCAAAAGCCGATTGAAACCATTCTGCCTTTTGAACATGTGAAACAAACTTATTTTACAATGTCGACTTTCCAGAGGGAAGAATAATTAGAAAGTCAACTGTGCTTTTGTTTATACATGTGTTCTCAAAGCTGATTACTTCTTTGCTACATCTTTTTGCTTTGGTACATGAATTGATTGTATGAATATATTTAAGACTGGACTCTGGGTACTAAATGCTATGGGGATACAGACATACTTTAGAAACACCTAGTCTGCTAGAGCCTAATATCAAAGTATAAAGACATCAGTTAATATCATGCTAATGACAGAGTAAATAAAGGTATGATTTCAGTCCACAGATTTTTCCAACTTTTATGCTTTCAGTGAATATTTATTGGTATTTATAGGCTTTATTCCCATGTCTCATGGGAAGCGCCAGTATTACTGTGGTTTTCCTTTATCTGTTAATTTTATTTTCTTGAAATATAGAAAGTTAAAGCTTTAATTAGTAAAATTTATTTTCCTTTGTAATATTTTAACCATTCTTTTCTTACTTTATAAAGTCCACTGCTATGAGGTTTTTTTTTTAAACTATGAACTTACACGTTCTTCTGGTACTTATATGACTACATTAAAAATATATTGAATGTTTTAATCTATCTGCAATTAGCTTTCTGTAGTATTAGATGAGGATCTCAGTTGGCTTTTCTCTAAAACGTATTGTTTCAAATAATTCTTTAATTACTATTCTTGTACTTACCTGCTAATTTAAAATGCTACTCTTTAATATTCTGAAACTTTATGTAATTTAGTCTTTTTGTGGATTTCTATTATATTTTAGTTTTCTGTCTATTTTTATAACAGAATGACACTGCTTAAATTATTTGAGGCTTAAGACATTTGCTACCTGGAAAGGCAAGCTACCCTTGTTGTTCTCTTTTTTCAAAATACCTGGGCTAGTTCCTGTGTTTATTCTTTTCCCAGATAAACTTCAGAAATCGTTTGTGAAGTTTCACCGTATCACACTAAGATTTAGGATGGAGTTGTAGACACCTAATTTAAAAAGAACTAACAATACTACAATGTTGAGTATGCCTATTTGGGAACAATTACAGTTCTCTATTTAAATCTGCTTCATGCCCATCAATAAACTTTTGTCAGATGTAAATGCGTGGTGGGGCAGTATTTTTGGTGTTCATTATTTTGTTTGTTTTCATAAAAGTTGTGTTAATTCATTTTAAGCTTGTCAAATATTTCATCCTTTTTGTTGCTCTTAGGAGAGAAAAATGTGTTAATGTACTTAATAGTAAATGTTTGGGCACATTAGAAGTCATTAAGAAATGCTTAACTGGGTAACTTAATTAAAGCTGGTTCTCTGAGACTCTTCACTCCGCATCCCTTTATTATCTCTCTTTGCATATTTGCATGCATTTGAAAGTAGAATATGATATACTTAAAAGTATTTTAACACACATCTTCCACTGGTTTTCTCATCGAATAGCCACAGCTATATTATGACCCTTAGACGCCCACACATTTATCACCCAAATTTGTCTTTTCCGCTTGGCACTTGTGATCACTGTCAGTATGTCCTGTGGTGCCAGTTGTACCTTCTGGCCCTTTTGCTGAAACCACTTCAAATTTTCAGTGACTTTTCCATAACCCCTGTAGTCACTGGTCTCTCTTTGGGCTCCAACATGGCTCATGGCACACCACCTTTCCTTCCTCTCCTTGGCAGGGAACTTGAAGTGGCCTGACAATGATTTGGAATGACTTGAACCCTGGAGTGAGGGGATGACAGCCAGGGAAAGAGAAAGACGCAGAGGGAGGCACCTGTCCTCACCGTGTTCCAACTCACCAGCCAGAGCCAGCTTCCCCAGGAATTCGAGTGCTGCGTTGCATGCTTCCCTGTCTGCACCATGTGCTGGAGGGTGGGGCAGCCACAGGGGCTTTGATTAGACTCTTCTTCCCATCGATTTTGTGGCCACCTGACTCGTCATTCTGCTTTGAGACAACATGCTTTCTCCAGGTACCTCTCAGGAGCTCTCATTTCCATGTGACAGATGGTGGTTTTCACTTC
This sequence comes from Homo sapiens, assembly GCF_000001405.40. Taxonomy (NCBI): domain Eukaryota; kingdom Metazoa; phylum Chordata; class Mammalia; order Primates; family Hominidae; genus Homo; species Homo sapiens. The sequence continues at coordinate 139,433,749 of NC_000008.11, read as the reverse complement.
ATCGCTTTATACACTGACAGCCCAAGCCCATGCTCCCGGTCACTCCCAATATGCCTTTGGCTCAGGGAGGAGGCAAACTGTTGGTGAATAATTTCCTGTGCCTATGAATTGGTACAGATGCCAAGTTATACTCATTTCAAATCATGCTTTTCCATTTTTTAAGGATGGTTTTACTAATTAGACTAGGCAACTCGGTTAACCTAATTTAAGTATAACAAGGAGGAAATTTGGAATTATTGTCATATAAGGATGCTTTCATAATAGTGTGGTTGCTTTGTCTGAGAAGAAAAGGCAGAATGTGGACATGACTGCCCTCTAAGAGAACTTGAAGGACGTTCTGGGGAGAGAAAGAAATACTTCTCCCATGCTGCTCCGAAGAGACAGCCATAAAAAACTGGGTGAATCGTCTAAAATTCACATTTGTTTTCCATATAAAGAAGATTTATTTTTATGCACTCAGATGTTCAAAAATGGGAATGGCTTGAGCGATGGTGAGCTCTCTAGCAATGGAGGTATTTAAGCCGGGATGGGATGCTTTCTGGGGGAATAATATACTTGGGATTCACCTATTTTTATTTCATATAGTGTTGAGCATGATATCCTACATTAAGAAGTAGTGCAGGAGAGCAGAAATAATACAGGCACTGTATTATTGGAATCAGACTCGCCTGGCTTAAAATCCTCTTTGTTCATTTACCTTGGGGCAAATCACTTAATCTCACCAAACCTTAGACTCCCTGCTTATAAAATAGAGGTGGCCTTCTCTGCATTAGTTTGCTAGGGTTTTCATAACAAAATACAACAGAGTGGCTGGTTTAAACAATAGAAACTATTAAATATTTTATTTAAATTTTAATTTAATTTTTAATAGCCTCACAGTACTGCAGGCTGGAAGTCCAAGATTAAGGTGTCAGCAGGTCTGGTCTCTTTCGAGGCCTCTCTTCTTTGCTTGCTGTGTAAGCACATCCTAGATGTCTCTCTATATATATCCTAATCTCTTCTTTTTGTAAAGACCCCTGTCTGATTAAACTAGAGCCATCCTAAAGGTCTTATTTTAACTTAACTACCTCTTTAAAGGCCCTAAATCCAAATAAAATCACATTCTGAATTACTGAAGGTTGGGCTTTCCACATATGAACTTTGGGGTGACACAATCCAGTCTATAATATCCTTCTACCCTCAGATTATTTTTTTGTCTACATGAACTGTTCTGGTGTTCATCCCATCACTAACCAGGACACAGAGCTAGGTGCATCTTCATGTTGGGCTAAAATAATCTGCCTGCAGAAAAGCCTGGCTTGAAGATTTCACAGGGCAGATGGACAAAGGGCTGTAAATTGTACACACAATTTACACACAATTATAACCACAAATCAACTTTTCTGTTTTCCAAATGGGTGAATGAGAAGCAAATTATTCACTCAGAGAGCATCCCATTCCTGCTTAAACACCCTCCTTGCTGGAGAGCTCACCACCTCTCAAAAAACCCATTTTCGCTTTTGAACATTTGAGTGCATAAGGCAAGATCACACCATTGCACTCCAGCCTGGGCGACAGAGTGAGATTCCATCTCAAAACAAGAAAAAAATAAAAATAAATAAATAATAAATCTTCCTTATACGGAAAACAAATGGTATCTTGAAAGATTCACCCAGTTCCTTGGAGCCCACCCTTTGAAGAAGCATGGAGGGTGTGTCTTCTTCTGACCCCTGCCTTTGTGTTGGGATGGATGGTTGAGTCAAGTGTTTTCCCTTTGCTCCTTCCACCTGTTCCCTCGCAAACATCCAGCATGCACACTCTTCTCTCTTTGTAGACTCCATCTGCAATTCCACGATAAAATTCTCCCCCTCCATTATGCAGGGATGAGCTCTGCTCTCTCTTTGTAGACTCCATCCCCAGTTCCACGATCAAAGTCTCCCCCTCCATTATGCAAGGATGAGCTCTGCTTGATCACTTTTCCCTGTACATACCTGTATGAACCCATCTGGTTCTCTGCAAACAAAGGGTTCACATCTGCACAAGGCATCCCTTTCTTAGGAGGCCATTTTTACAAAGAGCCTTTGGAGAGTCATCCCTGCCCCGGGAGGCTCCTGTGGGGTTTATCCTGACACAGTGCTGCATCACTCTTTCATTAGGGGAACTCTGATGAATCACATTTCCTCCATCTTGATTCATCAGGCTAATAATTGTATGTGTCTCAGGTGGGAAAAGGGGAAGGACAAGAGTGTTCTCCACACTCAATAAGATGTTTTTTTCTGAATGAATTCATGAGTAGATGAATGCAAGTATTCAAAAGAATATTATACTATGGGAGTTGGCCTTGAGATTACTTTGTTTATTTCCCAAAAGTTGTTGTATAACCCAGAATGTTTTATTAATTCCAACTTGCTTTCTCCCCCTTTCCTCATAGTTCAGTTTAAAATAGTGAATGTTTATTGAACGCTCACTCTGGGTCAGACGCTAGTCAGTGTGCTTCAATTATGTTGGCTCATGTAATCCTTACACATCCCCTATGAGGAGAGACTTGCTATGGCCCCTTTTATCCAGGGGAAACTGAGGCAAAGAGAGGCTATCAACCTGCCCAAGGTCATTTAGCTAGGTAGAGGCAGAGCTGGTTCAAGTTCAGCCATTCTGGGTCCAGAGCTCACAAGTTAAACCCCACAGCACTCTTTATCCAGTAATGGAGTGTCCAGAATTCACCAGAAGTGTCAGGGTCAGGGGTGTCTGGAGTGCAGAGTTGGGGGCGTGCTGATTAAATAGCCGCCAAGAGGAAGCACAGCTACACTGGAGGAATAGATTGGCAGCTAGTTGACTCGAAAGTCTGCAGAATCCTAGAGTTCAACAGTGTCTTTAACTTAGGCCAACCCTCCCACCAGCTCCCTCGCTCATTTGCTCAGCGTGTTCAAATCCCAGACTTCACCTTCTCAGCTGATCTCTGGATACTAGTCATACCTCTGAGCTTCAGTTTCACCTTTTCATTGTTAAAATAAGTATGTTAATACCTACTTAACAGTCACAGCAGAGTTTCATTAATTAACATCATAAAACCATTAGCACAATGTCTGAAATACAGTAGGTGCTTAATAATTGTTAGCTGCTATGAGCATCATCATCATCATCGTGTAGTCAGACTTCACAGTTTACATAGAACATTCATATATTCCAGTCTTGTTGGGGGTTAAATAAATACATAAATACATACAACTATATTGTGCATTAATATTTTCCCCATTGCAAGTGGTGCTACTGAGTCTCAGAAAATGAATACTTTTCCCCGGGGAAAGTAAGGTGATCTGTGGTAGAGCTTGTATTTAATCTTAGGTCATGCAACGGACTGAACGTCTGTGTCCCCTCCAAATTCATATGTTGAAGCCCAATCCCCAATGTGATAGTATTAAGAGGTGAGCCTTTAGGAGGTGATTAGGGCCTGAGGACAGAGCCTTTACAAATGGCATTAGTGTCCTTATAAAAAGGAGCCCAGAGAGCTCACTCACCCTCCCTTTCTGATGTGTGAGGTTACAAGGAGAAGTCATCAGTTTGCAACCCGAAAGAGGGTCCTTGCCGGAACCTGACCACGCTGGCACCCTGATCCCAGACTTAGAGTCTCCGAGACTGTGAAAAATAAACTTCTGTTGTTTCTAAGCCACCCAGTTTATGGCATTCTCTTCAGCTTCCCGAACTAAGTAAGATAGGTCATCCGTTTCAAAGTCTAAGCTCCTTGCTTTATATTAATTCCTTCCTTTGTTACTTTGCTGGTTCATTCATTTGATAGATACTTACTGACTTCATGCCATGTGATAGTCACTATCCTGGATGCTGGAGACACAACTGGAACAAGATGTGCAAACTACCTGGTCTCCTGGAGCTCACCTTCCAAAGCAGTGCAAACAGTGAGGTTAGTAAACATAGAATGTCATCCGGATCATGACCTGGGATACTGCCCGTGAGAATCACAGCAAGCTACCTTTGATGTTGGGCAAGGCTTTTCTGTGGAGGTGATCTGTGAACTCACATTTGAGGAACAAGAAGATCCAGGCAGAGATATTTCAAGCTAAACGGTGGTACCTGCGGAAGTCCTTGTGCACATCATGAGAAGCAGAAAAAAGGCTGATTCTGGATTTAGGTGAGCAAGGTGAGTTCAGAGAGGCGGAAACGCCAGTGAACGCAGACCCTTTTCATACGAAGGACCAGGCTAGCTGCTAAACTGTTTGTATATTTGTCACAACACTTATTTTCAAGGGGTGGAACCCCAGGTCAAAAGGAGTTAAATTGAAAAAAAAAAAAAAGAATTTTACTGTCCCCCCCGCTGGAAAGCAGTCTGGAGCTGCTTGGAGGATGAGAGTGAGCTTCTGCAGCCTCGCCTCAGGACTTGATTTGAGGATAGAACACCACGTGGCCCTTTCTCTCTGCCCATCTCTGAAGCTTGGCTTTTTTTTTTTTTCTGTTTTTTTTTGGTGTGGTGGCTTCATGTCTCCCAGACTCTCTACCTCGCTACCAGGCCTGTCCCAGCTTGGCATCTCTGGTGGAAAGAACTTCTTTCTTCCAGAGTCCATAATAGCAGCTCCAGGGATGAATGCTGACTGGCCTTATCTGGATCATGTGACCTTCCCTTGGCCAAACCGCAGCTTCCAGGTGTCAGGGAAGAAGCTTTGCTAAGGCACCTGGGCCAGGGCTGATGGGGGAGGGAGGGAGGGAGGTCAGGTGTGTCCTCTAAAAAGGAGGACGATCAAGCTTGCTGGACAAATAGAAACAAATCACCACTACAGTCCAGGACACTACAGATCTGAGAAAATCCATGACACAGGATGGCCACTGTGCAGCTACAAGAAGACCTGGTTGAAATACTTTGAACGGTGGCCTCTCCACCTGAGGGTCCCCTAAAAGGAGCCAGACCTGCTTTGTCCCCTCTTCTGTCCCTGGAGCTGGCACAGAGGGAGGCAAACTGAAGAATCCTGCGAGAGAAGAACGGCTGAATGAAGAAATAGATGACTGTGTGAATGGAAGTTAAATCTGTGCCTGGCCTGCAGCTCCTCTCTAAGCCTTTAATATGTAAATGTGTCTAGCGGCTCTCCTGGAGGGAGTTTGAGCCTGCAGGAAGGGGAGAGGAGAGGGCGAGGGAGCGTTCCAGGCAGGAACTAGCAGGAGCAAAGGCACAGCCTGCTCAGGAAATCATAAATAACCCAGAGAGGGCTTGCAGGCAGGAGGATGGGTGGCGGAGCTTGAAATGGAGTTAGGGCCAGATGGCGGTAGCCTTAATCAGGCCATGCTAAGGACTGTGCATCTATCTGCCAGGCAATGGGGGCCTAGGGCAAGTCTGTTTGTTAGAACATGATTTGACCTGTGTTTAGTAGTGTTTTAAAATATTGTTTTCTCTTCCCTGAAGCCATTTCTGATCAATATTGTTTATGATGATTTCTAAATTCTCTGTATTCTAGCGATGCGTTATTTGCCTTAAAGTGGAGGGGAACAATTTAAACGTACATCAGTAGTTAAGGAAAATCCATACCATGGAATTGGTACAGTATTAACGTAACAGAGAGATGTTACTGACATGAGAAGATGGCCAGGTTGTACCGTTAAGTGAAAAGACGACTCATGAGGAACGATGGGTATAGTAAGGTCTTACTATTTTAGAAAGAAAAGAAAATTCAGTATCAAGGTCTGGAAGGGAGCTCAGAAGGTATACACAGTGAGTAACAGGCCTGGCCTGGGTCATGTTAACAGAAAGGACAGACCCTGTAAAACATTTTAAAGAGGTTTATTCTGAGTCAATACAAGTGACCACAGCCAAGGGAACACAGTCTCAAGAGGTCCTGAGAAAGTGCACCTGCGGCAGCCAGATTACAGTTTGTTTTTATACATTTTAGGGAGACAGGAGTGACAGGCAAAGACATAAATCACTGCATGGAGGTATACATTGGCTTGGCCCAAAAAGATGGGATATCTTGACGAGGCAGAGGCTTACAGGTTGTAGGTGATTCAGAGGTTCTTTAATTTGCAATTGGTTAAGAAAGCAAAGCTTTATCCAAAAATTGGGAGTCTGCAGAAGGGAAGGTTTGAAAAGACAAGGAAGTCCGTTAACCAATACGCTGGGTCAGAGAGACCTGCAGGAGTGTGTGATCTAACCCTTGTCTGGCATGGCCTTAGGTCCTGTTAATAATTTGATATCTTACTGTCGCAAAGGGCCCGTTTTGTTAGTCTTATGTTCTCTTGTTGAACATTAGTGCTGGTCAGTTATGCTTAAACTCCTAAAGGGAAGGGGTGTAATGAGGTATGCCTGACCTCCCTTTTAATCGTGGCCAGGAGTTCAGGTTTTGAGGTTTTTCTGAGGTCCCGTTCGGCAAGAGAAGGGTCCATTCAGTTGATCAGGGGCTTAGGATTTTATTTTTAGTTTACAGTCATGGCAGCTGTCGAGGAGACGTGGTAGGCCGGGGGCCCAAGGATTGTCTCCAAGAGGGCGTGGACTCTGGAAATTGCATAGAAATCAATGCACACATGCACATCTTTCTGGGAAAGACATCTCTTCATCTCTCCCATTTTCAAAGGTATGGAGAGAGGCACAGACTCACAAAAGTGTTCAGAAGAGTGGCTGTCAGAGGAAGACGGCATCCTATTCCAGCAGGCTGACCCCTTAGGATGCTAAGAGGCTTGGCTTTCTTGTCTCTGTGGACAAGGATTTGATTGTGCCAGATCATGGCTGCTATTCAGTGCTCCATAATTGGATTATTTTCGCAGAAGGATACTTCACCGCTAATTGGCACAGGGAGGAGAGCGTCGGGAGCCAAGGTGTCCGGCTGAAGGAGGGAGGGGAGAATTACAGAAGACCCAAATAGTGAGAGGTGCCTTTGGAGATGTTTAAATGGCTTTGAGAGGGAGACTGTCACATCTGGTTGTTGTGATAATTAGATTAGGAAGCGGAGAGATGGAGACAGAGCAGCAGCCAATGCAGTCTGCAGGCTCTGCCAGAAGCCGGAGAGGTGGATCTGAAAATAGACTGTGTGCAGGGGTGACCTCCGGGGGGGGTCACACTTGACACAGCCCAGAGCCGGAGGCCCTGTGGGCTCCAGGACCCCAGAGAGCATCTCGTGCAGCAGTTTCCAAGCCTGGTCCATGGAGCCATCTGAGGATTAGAATCCCCCGGTGTGAGCCTACTTGAAAATACAGTTTCCCAGTTCCTGCCCCGGCATATCCCAGGCTAGCAGACCTGGGTTTGGCCCCAGGGCAGATGGATACTTCACTCTCTATTTTAGTCAGGTTCCTGGATGGTTCTGATGCCTGTTCAGCTAAGGAGTCAGGGACCTAATTTGACATCAGCCTTCGCGAGACCTAGAGACGAGTTGAGGAGACTCACCCAGGACATCACAGCACAGCAGCACCCACACTGAGCCAAGTGTCTCGCGTGTGTTATATATCTCCCATTTAATCCTCCTAGGCAGCTCTGCAATAGTGACTTTATTTATGTCATTTGACAGACAAGGATATTGAGGTTCTGAGAGGACTAGGAACTTGCCAAGATTGAGCACAACTACTGAGTGATGAACCAGAGACAGCTTCACTGCCTCCCAGGATGCTCCGAGGTCCCACTGTTGGGGGCTGCCTGCCGTGGTCCACAGACCTCGGCCCTTGACTGCAACTTCAATTCCTTCCTGCACCCTCACCTCAATTTTGTTTGTTGAGAGAATAAATGGAAACCCTAAACTCCTCATTCCTAGTTCATAATTCTCTCCATTAAATTCTGAAAAGTCCCATCCATAGTGTTTTGACCCAACTCTTGTGCTCTTGGAATAGTGGTTTCCTATCTAGAAGCCCAGTTTTGCCGACTGAACAAAGATGGGGGCAGTATTGACAGTGCTAAGGTTCTTTCCAAAGCTGACATTCCGTTGTTTGGTTGTGGCCAGGTGGTATTATTAAAAGTCATTGTTATTTCTGAAGTGCCTCATAGGGCACGGTAGAGAATTTAGACTTTTGCCGTTTAGATAACCTTTTTTACTTTCATGACATTCATGATGTATGGTGTTGGGTTCAGGACTGACCAGTGTGGGTGAAACCAGATTTTAAAATAAAATAGGCTGGGATACGTATTATTTCAACCTTTGTCAGTCAGGGTCCTAGCAGGAAGCAGATAGCACGCTTAATTTTTCAAATAACAGGCTTATTGAAATGTAATTTACATTCTATAAAATTTATCCTTCCAAAGTGTATAATTTAGTGGGTTTTAGTATATTCAGAGTTGTGCAACCATCACCATTATTTAATGTTAGAAGATTTTCGTCACTCCCAAAAGCTATCCCATACCCATTAGCAATCACTTTTCATTTCCCCCTGCCTCTAACCCCTGGCAACCACTCAACATATTGACCGATTCTGGTCATTTATATAAATGAAAGCATATAATATGTGGTCTTTTCCAACTGGATTCTTTCACTTAGCATAATTTTTCAAGATGTATCTGTGTTGTTGCATGGATCAGTACTTCACTCCTTTTTTTTCTTTTTTTTTTGAGACTGAGTCTTGCTTTGCAGTGCAGTGGCTGGAGTGCAGTGGTGTGATCTCAGCTCACTGCAACCTCTCCCTTCCGGGTTCAAGTGATTCTCCTGCCTCAGCCTCCCAAGTAGCTGGAATTACAGGTGCCCCCCACCACACCCAGCTAATGTTTGTATTTTTGGTAGAGACAGGCTTTCACCATGTTGGCCAGGCTAGTCTCAAACTCCTGAGCTCAGGTGATCCACCTGCCTTGGCCTCCCAAAGTGCTGGGGTTACAGATGTGAGCCACTGCACCCAGCCCTTCATTCCTTTTCATTGCCAGTATTTCGTTGTGAGAATATGCCACCTTTGCTCACCTATTTATCAGGTGATGGACATTTGCATTGTCCCCACTTTTTGGCTTATGGATAATGCTGCTATAGACAACCATGCACAAGTTTCTGTATTGATATATCTTTTCTTTTCTTTCTTTTTTATTTTCTTTTTTGAGATAGGGGTCTTATTCTGACTCCCAGGCTGGAGGGCAGTGGTGCCATCACAGCTCACTGCAGCCTTGAACTCCTGGGCTCAAGCAATCCTCCTGTCTTAGCCTCCCAAGTCACTGACCCAGGTGTGAAACACTGTGCCTGGTTTGTTGGTGTACGTTTTCACTTATCTTGGATATACACCTAGGAGTAGAATTGCTAGGTCCCATGGTAACTCTTTGTTTAGCATTTTGAGGCACTACGAAACCATTTACCAAAGTAGGTACAACACTTGCCATTCCCACCAGCAATGTACGAGAGCTCCAGTTTCTCCACATTTTTGTCAATACTTGTTATTGTCCATCATTTTTCATGTTAATTATTCCAGTGAGTGTGAAGTGATGTCTCATTATGGTTTCATTTTGCATTTCCCTAATGGCTAAAATGATGTCAAGCATCTTTTCATGTGTTTATTGGCCACCTCTCTTATCTTCTTTAGAGAAATTTCTATTCAAATCTTTACCTATTTTTTAACTGGATTGTTTATCTTTTTGTTGTTGAGTAGCAAGAGGTTTTAAAAAGATATATGTATATATATTTTAGATATTAGACCCTTATGATTTGCAAATGTTTTCTTCCATTCTGTGAGTTGTGTTTTCACCTTTTAAATGTTGTCCTTTGAAACACAAACGTTTAAAATGTTGAAGCCCAATTTATCAGTTTTTTTTCCTTTGTCACCTGTGCTTTTATCATATCTAAGAAACCATTGCCTAAGGTCATGAAGAGTCACTCCTGCATTTTCTTCTAAGTGTTTTTATCATTTTAGCCCTTACATTTAGGTCTATGAGACACACTTAAGCTTGAGGAGTGTTTACTGAAGTGAATATTGACAAAGTGTGGGCAGGATGAAGGGAAACAGAAGGGATAGTGCAGTCCCCTTGGGCTAGTGATAGGATGAAGCTTTGTGGATTCCAAGACCTGAAGGGATAAGGAGAAGAAACAATGACAGGCAACTGGACATGGAATGAGTTCTGTGGGCAAGTGTGACTGTCGCAGGAGCTGTGGCCTTTGGTTGAGGAACACAGCCTAGCCAGACAGGGTCAGCAGCATGCGGGGAGAACCAGGAGAATTAATTCCTTGGCCAACCTATCCTTTCTCTAGTCTTGTCAGCTAATCCCCATCAGCTGAACCCACTTAGAAGCCAGGATGTGACAATGGCAACGACAGCAACAAACCTGTATCAATCAGGATTTATTCAGGCAGCTGAGTCATTGTGAGATTAGGGAATAAGGAATTCATTATTAGAATTAGACCTTACCCAGTTGTTGAAGGAGGCAGGGAATGAAAGTTCGAAAGAAAGAATAAGAGGGTCAGAAAAGGAGGTACTAACCAGTCAACCTGATAAGGTGTCCAGCTTTCAAAGTGGTGCTGGAAGGGTTCATGGATTGACCTCCTCTGTGGATCCACAGCCAAGCTCCTGGAGGTGGATCTGGGATCCCTGTGGGTCAACAGAACAAGCAGCCTGGGAGAAGAGCTGGATGCGGCTCGGAGTGAATGTGAACAATGTGGAACAAGTGGGCACTCCTGAATCTCTCTGTTACTGCATCTGACCTCAAGAACCTTCGGAGTATAATGGTGACGGATTTACTTCTGCCTTCCAAATTTGGAATATTTTCCTCTTTTGGATGACTATAATCTGGAATCATTCAGGGAAGGAAATTCTAGGAAAATTCTACCCCCACCTCAGCCAAGTCGACACAGCACAATTTGATACTGTCCATTCCTCATCCATTTGACCCCCACACGTGCTTTTTAAACCACGTTTAGCTTCCAAACAAAACACAAGCAAAATCGTGCTTCTGCCTAACATAAGGCAACAATTCCTTACGTAAGTGAAAGTACATGAACCGTCCCCCCCGAAGGAGAATATGAAGTCCCCCATGTTCACTTCATTCACATGATGGTATTTGTTTCCCTTTTAGCTGAATCACATTTCCCCCTGACAGCCTGTAACCGAATTCCTGAGAGATAAAGTTAACCACTAATAATATATCTTATGCTAGATAGTTTGAAAATGGTAGAGAGTTTGAAAACAAGAGACACAAAAAAATACTTGGTTAATATTATACAAATATATTCATAGAAAAGCAAGAAATAAATGCTCAGAACACTATTACCTTTATGTCTGCAACTGTTCACATGGTTGTTGCAGGTATTTACACATTTTCATCATCCACAACCCGTCACATGTTTCCTTTGCCCTCAGCAAGCACCTCAGGTGGTTGTAGGCCTCCTGGATTGGTGGGGTGATTCTCCTTACCTGAGGTTGCTCTTTAGTGAATGTTCACACATGACACAAACTCTAAATTCCTGAAGTGTATGTTCCATTTTCAATCTGTCTGTGTTGTGTTGCTGTAATTTTTCGTTGGCTTTTATTACAGAATGTAGGAGTACTGACAGGTGCAGAGAAGGTCTCCTGCATTCTGGACATATTCCTCCTTGACCCTATTGTTTAATAGCAACCCCCAATCCCCTTGATAGTCAGAAGCAACTATACCAGCCAGTACAATTATACTAGATTTGCCTGATTGTCAGAGACTGAGGAGCTCAAAGTGTCCAGGTGGCAATCTGACTTCCAGTTTAATGGAATGACTGCTGTGTCCCTTGGTGGAAACATTTCTCCCTTAGGAACTAAACTGTCTAAAGCAGAAAAGTGTAAAGTTGCAGGAATTGATTATAAAAATGTTGCTAGTAGAACAAGAAGGGAAAATATGAAGAACTGCTAATATTGCATCATGATACTTGACCCTGGGAACCCTGGCAAGAAAGAAGCTCCTATGTATCAATTGCTTATTCGGCACATATAACTTGTTGTGTCAAAGGGTTGCCGCCTCACTGCTACCAAAACTGAGGCTTCAAAAAGCCATTCTATCATTTCATAGAGCCAGCTAATTCATGGAACCGTGGTAACCCCAGTAAATCACATGAGCACGAACCTGCCGTTATACTTCATTTGCTATAAAATCTTCTTTCTCGGACAGAAGTAATGAAGTGTGGATTACCATGATGGTGAATAAGATGACTAAGAAGCCCAGAGATGCTGGTTTTGACAAAAGCATTGTGGACAGAAAAAAATCAGTCCATATCCAGGGAAGTTTCTCTTCCTGAGAACCAAGCACTGCTTCTTTCATGATGGAAGTGGTTCTTAGTACAGGTGCACCTTGTTTATTGCACTTCACTTCATTGTGCTTTACAGATAATTGCATTTTTTACAAACTGAAAGTTTCATGGCAACCGTGTGTCTAGCAAATCTACCGTTGCCATTTTTCCAACAGCATCTTCTCACTTTGTGTCTCTGTGTCACATTCTAGTAATTCTCACGTCCGACTGTTTCATTATTGTTATGTCTGTTATGGGGGTCTGTGATCGTGATTATATTGTTACTACTATAACTTTTTGGGGTACCATGAACCACGGCCATGTAAGATGATGAAATTAATTGATACATGTAGTGCACGTTCATTGCTGGTCCCTGCTGTTGGCAGGCTGTGTGTTCAGTGGTAGCTGTAGCCAAAATGGTTTTGATGTTGCTGAGCCCGTGCGTAATTCCCATCCCTGCCACCATGCTCTCTGTTCATGAGCCCATTGGTTAAAGACAGGGTTGACTGGGGAATGAGATTAACTGACATCCACAGAATTCATCATTCTGACTATTAAGATTCTCCTGACTTCCACCTGACTATTAAGATTCTCCTTAATGGAGTAGTATTCCATTGTATGTATATACCACAGTTTCTTTATCCACTCGTTGATTGATGGGCATTTGGGTTGGTTCCACGATTTTGCGGTTGTGAATTGTGCTGCTATAAACATGCGTGTGCAAGTATCTTTTTTGAATAATGACTTATCTTCCTCTGGGTAGATACCCAGTAGTGGGATTGCTGGATCAAATTGTAGTTCTACTTTTATTCTTTAAGGAATCTCCACACAATTTGGGTGATGGATGCACCAAAATCTCACAAATCACCAATAAAGGACTTACTCATGTAACCAAATACCACCTGTACCCCAATTACTTATGGAAAAATAAAATAAAAATTTTAAAAAGATTCTCCTTAACCAAGGCTGCTCTTCAGTGAACGTTCACACATGACACAAGTAATTTTCACACTTGTGCCCATTAAGAGAGGTCTATCCACATAGCTTTTCCCCAGACCACCCTGACACCACATTTCTCATCATCTTACTTTCAAGTCTCCATCTTTCCAACCAAGCTTTTAGTCAATGTTCATGAATCAGTATATAGATATAAACATCTAACCATCTTTTTTTAAAGGCACATTTAATAGCCAGAGGTGCATTGCTTGAAGTTCTGAAAATATTTCACTCGATTGACATTATTTTCCTTTGAGTCTACTCCTGAATGTGGCTGAAGTGTTGTGGCTCTCTGTTTTTGGATACTGCCAGAATCTTCTGCAGAACCAACTGTAAACCAAGCTTGCAGTTTTTCTTCCTCAGTTAACTAGTCACAGAGAATTCTCCATGAAGCAATTTGTGCTAAGTAGAGAGAGTGAAGGCAAAGTAGCAAGAGTAGGAGCATGGGAATCAGGACTACTTGATCACACAATTTATTTGAGCCTCTGGGTCCTGTTAGCCAAATCTTGTAGCCACCGTTTCCACTCAACAATGGAGTGCTGCGGTGCATGACCAGCTCTGTAACTTGCAGGATCAGACAACATCCAGTTAGTGATAGGGTAGCTTAGGTTGCCTAGTAACTTGTATATTATGGTAAAGCATTTGCTGTCTACTAGGGCCTATAGCAAGCTAAAAACTTTCAAAAGAATAGAATCTGAAGAGGGTGGCACAGCTTCACTCTAAATTCTTCATGGATTTTGCTGTGATTCTTCTCTAGGGGCCTGCCAAGGGCTCTACAAACCATTTCTATCTGCCACAGACACATCAAACATGATCAGATCTTCTGGGTTATACCACCTAAGTGCCAGAGCAGTTTGAATGACAGCTTTGACCTGATCCATGCATTTTTTCCCCCTCTGGTTCTTAATCAAAATGGGCAGCCTTCATGCTGCTTGGAAAATGGGTCAGAGTAGCTTGACCAAGTGAGATATACATTGTATCTAAAACCCAAAGAGACCCATTAGGTATTGAAGGAACACAGGGAACTTCACTCCAAAATATGACTCCCTGATATAATGAGTGTTTTGAATTAAAGACGGTTTGAGATGAACAGGTGCTGGAAGAGATTTCCCCTCTCTACGTAAAGACCAGACAAACTCACCGAGGAGAACAATTGTTTTTCCTTCCCTCCCCACTCCTTCTTTGAATCCTCTACCTCTCTCAAAGCACAGGATGAAGTTGTTCTCTAAAGTTCCCTTATCTGCCTGAAGTTTGGGATTACAAAAAAAAAAAAAAAAATCACCCTCCGTCCTTTCCCTGAGTATTCATTAACTGAACCCATTTCATAGGAAGGGAGACTGAGGTTTGTCAACAAATCAGGACAGACTTTTGTCACAAACTAGTGTTTGCTTTGTGGGCCCAACAGACTTTGTCCCAGGCTACTGTATATTCTTCAAGCCCATTGAATTCCCCTAAAAATCATTTACTATCCCCCTAAAATCATCCGCACTTCCCCATCTTCCTTTCCCCTAAGAAGTAGGGTATATAAGCATCTGTACTCTATTGAGATATTGGGTACTAACTCTGTGATTCTCTCCTGTGCACACTGATAAATTGGTATGCCTCTTCGCTTATTAACCTGCCTTTTGTGAATTGATTTTTCAGCGAATCTTCCAAGGGTGAAGGGGGAAGTTTTTCCTTTGCCTCCTACAGCATTTAGCCTTTTAATATAGTAATAGGAGCCACCAGATACAGCAACCTGTACTTCACCTTGGAAAGGATACATTAACATGCCCCAGGCCACTGGACTCATTAGCAATGTCACTGAATTTTCTTTGAATTTAAGATTCTGTGGGTCAGCAGTTTGGAATGGGCTCATATGCTGTTTTTCCTGAGTCCACTTATGCCGTTACAGTTGTCTGGATGTTCACCTAGGATGGGAAGGTCTACAATGGCCTCAATCACGTGTCTGGCAGTTGGTGTCGGCTCTCAGCTTGGCCTCTCTCTATATATGGTCTCTTATCCTCCAGGAGGGTAGCCCAGGCTGTCTCATATGGTAGTCTCAGGTTCCAAGAGAGGGCAGAAGCTGTTGGGACCTCTTCGGGGTCAGGCTCAGAAATCCCACAACTTACTTTTGCTACATTCTCTAGGTCAAAGTAAGTCACAAGTTGGCTCAGATTCTGGAGCCTGAAGGAGTAGGGGGAAATGAATAAATAGAGTCTGCCTCTTTGTGGAAAGAACAGCAAAGCCACAGCTGCAAAAGGGATGGATATAGAGAAGGGAGGAATTTGTGGCTATCACTTGCAATCACCCATAGATTTCATTGATGTAGTCAATTCAGATCAGTGCCTGGGGCACAGAGCAAGGTCCAGGAAAGGGGTGATATCTGGCATAACACTTCGGGAAAACATCAGAGTGCAAGCAAGAGGGATGCTTTCATAGAGGTAACCTTGAATTTTCTCAGAGTTATTTATAAAGCACATCATTTGAAGTACATCAGTTCTTTAATGGTTATTAGCTTCAGATTACTTATGACACATCTCTTTGCTCACTGAGATACATCAGAGAGTAGACACCATATTTGGGAACTGTTCTTCTAGATTATGAGGAATATCTGAGAAGATGGATCAGAAGATAATTTTCCTGGAATTCCTGTGGCCTGCTCTGTTCTGGGCAAATAATATTTCTGGAGGTTAGACCAATCAATTCAAAAAAGGGTTTAATTATCTAAAAATTAAATGAGATTATTTAATCCAGTCCCACATAATCTGAATTTTCCTTCTACTACAGAAATTTTAAAATGGGATATATATACACACACACACACACATATGCATTATATATACTGCATATATATGTATATATAATGCATATACACATATGCACTATAAATTAATGCCTTAGAATGGTTACCTACTGAAACATATAAATGATTTGAACAGTCACAACTCTTAGGGAATATTCAGGAGTAGTCGGTGCCATTGCACTGGTTTTCTGACCCATGCAGTCTGCCTTGCAAGGATGGAACACTGTTAACCAATCACTCACAGCTTTCCTGACACACCCTGGCCATGTGCCATGGACCACAGACAATGGGTTTTGCATCAGTAAATCGGGGTTGTGTTTATTTGTTTTTAAAGTGGTCTTTCTAAAGACATTTTAGGGCAATTCTGCTGTTGGAATGCTTATCATGTTTAGACTCCTAGTATAACGGGTTTGTTTTGTTTTGCTTTTTATTGTAATTTATTCAACAAATATTTATTTTATACCTGCTATGCCACTGAGCTCTTTTAAGCAATGAAGAGACATCAGTAAACAAAACCAACTAAAATTTCTGCCCCCAAGGAGCTTAGATTTAATTGCAATGCAAAAGATTTTAATGGAAAGAGTGTTCTTAGGATAATTTCAATAGTAAGTAAATGGATATCAGACTAATAGCAGCTTAAGATCAAGACTCTTCTGAGTTACTTAAGAAGCCCAGAAGTGAGCAGTGCCAGTATTGATGATAATGTTTGAAGGATGTCATTAAACTCTGAGGCTTCTGTTTTTTTGTGTTTTTTTTGAGACGGAGTCTCACTCTGTCGCCCAGGCTGGAATGCAGTGGCAGGATCTCAGCTCACTGCAAGCTCCGCCTCCCGGGTTCACGCCATTCTCCTGCCTCAGCCTCCCAAGTAGCTGTGACTACAGGCACCCGCCACCAAGCCTGGCTAATTTTTTGTATTTTTATTAGAGACAGGGTTTTACCGTGGTAGACAGGATGGTCTCGATCCCCTGACCTCGTGATCCGCCCGCCTCGGCCTCCCAAAATGTTGGGATTACAGGCTTGAGCCACCACGCCCGGCCTAAACTCTGAGGCTTCTTCAGGCGCTGTGCTCTGCCATTCCTGCGTGGTGATGCGACATCATGGTTTCAAGATGGCTGCTGGAACTCTAAGCTACACATCCTCAAATCATAGCTACCCAGGCAGGAATCAAAGGTGCAGCATAAAATAACTTTTCTCTATCCAGTCATTTGGAGAAAACTTTTCTTGGAATCCCAATCAGACTTCTCAGTTTTCAGTAGCCAGAAGTGGGCCCATTCTCACTGCTACATCAGCCATATACATCGCCGTGCCTGCCTTACACAAACCGTGATTGGCATCCTGGGTAGGTGTGTACCCTGGTGCCAGAAAAAGAAATCTGAAGTCTGTTACCAGGAATAAGAGGGGTGGCTGTCGGTTGGGCCACCTTAGGTTTAATTTAATCATATTCTTGGCTTAAACTTTTTCATTGTGAAATTTTGTAGCATTACTGTTTTCTGATATTTAATATTGATCTGGAGATGTATGTGTCCTGTCTCATATTTTGCCTTCTTTAGAATGTGATTTCCTTTTTCTGCCTGAAAAGTATTTTTATTGTTGAGTTCAATATATCAGTTAGAATGTGTCATGGAGTTGAGGGATTTGAAACAATTTTTTTCTGGTTTATTATTTCAGTCTTTATCATTTCTATATTTTAGAAATTTTTCTTGTATTTTACCTTAAATGTGTCATCTGCATCCTTTGTGGATTTTTTTTTTTTACTTTACAGCCATTAATTATGCTTAGTTTGGCTTCTTTTTGCCCTACTTATCTATTATTTTATCCTTCATCATTTCACTATTTCTCTTTTTCATCAGAAATCACTATTTTAAATCCCATAACTTTGGGAGGCCGAAGTGGGCAGATCACCTGAGATCAGGAGTTTGAGACCAGCCTGGCCAGTATGGCGAAACCCCGTCTCTACTAAGAATACAAAAATTAGCCAGGTGTGATGGTGCCTGCCTGTAATCCTAGCTACTCAGGAGGCTAAGGCATGAGAATCGCTTGAACCCAGGAGACAGAGGTTGCAGTGAGCCGAGATCATGACACTGCACTCCAGCCTGGGTGACAGAGTGAGAATCCGTCTAAAAAAAAATATATATATATATATATTTTTTATATCACTATTTTAAACCTATCTTCTACAGCAATCGTCAGCCATGTTTATTCTGCTTAATCAGAACTTATTAGTTCTATAATGTCAAATTAAATAAATCTTCCATATGCATTGTTTAAGATAAGAAACCAAATGGATTCAGATCCTTAAAAGCTCTGTAGACCAAGAGGGGAGATACAGATAATTCTAAGATTCTTCTTCAAAAGAGGTATCGCTATTAACATATATTCACGTATTACAGAAATTAGGTTGCATGTGGTTACCAGGCCAGCTCAGTTGCAGAATCTGCACCGTCTCTCCAGGCCCAGTTTCCACACGTCCCTGCTCTGTCTTGTGCTCCAGTAGGCTGGGCTCTGAGGACCTGATCAAAAAGGCTGCCTTTGCTTGGTTTCTCCTTCTAGTTGCATTCAGCCAAGAGTGGCCTTGGTAGAAGGAGGAGCAAGAAGCAGAAGGAGATCAGGGCATTTGTTACCAAAGTTCCTTCCCTTCTGCTCTAAGGTTTCACAGTGGCTTTCTTCTACCTATGCTCATCTCCTTTCAGGCAGCCCTTCCTGCAGCTTCAGTCCTTCCTTGTTGGCTTCCAGCATTAGCTTCTTCCCTGTCCCCTCAGGCCCAGGGTCTTCATTCTTCTCTTGTTTGCACCCTTGTGCTTCACCTTCTCATGTTTATTTCCCTCAATGCTCCCCTCACCTTGGTTAATAGGCAATTTGCTCCATAATTTTCAATCACCCCTATTGAGTATGGTGTCTGTGTTCTGCTTAACCTTAATGGATACAGTGATCTAGAAGCATCAAAAGCCCTTAATGATTACAGTTTATATTGCTCAGGAAACACATTCAAACCTTGACATCTAGATGTCTGGGTTGGGGGCGGAAGCTAGTTTTACTTGCTTTGTGTGTGTGTGTGTGTGTGTGTGTGTGTGTGTGCATATTTCTGCTGCCTTCCCTTTTCTGCAGTATGGTTAGGTGGTTTACACACCATTACTTTTCCTTTTGATCATCTTTAGAAGGCTCAATCCTTTCTATTTTCTCTGCTGTAGTGAGGATGACTTCTTGACTCACTGCTCATCATATGTGAGGCAACACTTTTTCTCTAATAGCTACAGTTTAAGAACATATTCTATCTACTCTTCTGACTTAGGAAATTGCTAGAGTTTAGCTAAGAGGCTGTTATGTCAGCTGGGATGGATTTAGGGTCAATGCTAGAAAAAAATGAGTTTAGCAGTTTCCTGTGGGATTTCATTAAATGTCTGGTGCCAGGTGTCACTGCAGCTTGCTGGAGATGGTAACTAATTCCATGGGGGATATCTCTGGACTTCATATTTTCCTCTCACTGTAGCTTTTCTATCCTCATTCCCATCAGAGAGAGACAACAATGAGTCACCTCTGTGGCTGATTAAAAATGGTCACAAAGTATTTGATATTCTTTCCATGGAAAACAGAGTCTACTCTTCCTATCCTTGAATCTGGGCTGGCCTGGGACTGTTTTGACCAATAGAGTATGTGAGAAGTAATCTTATGCTTGCTCTGGGGCTACACTTTAGGCAGATTGGCGGCTTCTGGCTCATTCTGCTGGAAGATAGCCATCATGTAAAAAGGACATGCATCCTGAGATCATCATGCTGTGAAAAGCCCAAGCCATGCAGAGAGGCCCTGGCAGATGACATGCCACATGGAGATGGGGAGACCAAAGAACACAGGATGCTAAACATTTGAGTGGAGAAGCCATCTTGGGAGTGGGTCCCCCAACACCGGCTCGCCCTCTGGAGACCACGTGGATGAGTGTCAAACTGCTCAGCCAAGCAGTTTCCTGAATCTTGACCTACATGATTGTGAACAAATAAAATGGTTCTTTTAAACCACTACATTTTGGGTAGTTTGTGATGCAGCAACAGAAAACAAGAGCAACCACTTTCAACAATTTTGTTCCAGTAACTTTCTCCAGCTCTCTCCAGTCAGATGGGAAGAAAAATAAGAATTCCTGTTTTGTTTGGCTCCTTCTGGATGAGTGAATATTCTCTGGATTTGGGGTCGATTGACCAGTTCCGCTTTGTGGTTGAGGACAGAATTAGAAGTTGTGCCATGCTACAGTTCTCCTTATGAGCATGAAGGAAACATGAATACTTTAAAAAGCGGGAAGATATACACATATATATATATATATGTATTTTGAGACAGAGCCTCACCCTGTCGCCCAGGCTGGAGTGCAATGGTGTGATTTTGGCTCACGGCAACCTCCACTTCCTGGGTTCAAATGATTATGCTGCCTCAGCCTCCTGAGCAGCTGGGATTACAGGTGCCCGCCACCACACCCAGCTAATTTTTGTATTTTTAGTAGAGACGGGGTTTCACCATGTTGGCCATGCTGGTCTCGAACTCCTGACCACATGATCCGCCCTCCTAGGCCTCCCAAAGTGCTGGGATTACAGGCATGAGCCACCGTGCCTGGCTGAAAGTGGGAAGATATATTTTTTATTCCTTTCTTATTTGGCCAACGTTTATGTACCACTTGTCATGTTCCAGACAGTATGTTAACTATGGGGCAACAAATAGATGAAGAATAGGAGTGCGTGGCTTTGTGGAGCTTGCATATTAAGGACAATACAGAACCAGAAACCAATGACTAGGCTATTGTAGAATAAGTGCTTGTCGTAGAAGTGCAGGAAAAAGGGATCTTGTAGGTGTTTCCGTAGGGGATGAACATTGAACTGGGTTCAGGCAAGGGAGCATATGGGGTGGAGAAAGGAAGTGAATTACAACCAGAAGTGAGATAGTACAAAATAAGGAAGTAGAAAAGCTCTGGAAACTGTAAGTTGACTAGGACACAAAGTAGAAACTTGTTTATGGGGCTATGTCCTTCATCTCATGAGTAAATGGTGAGCTAGAAAACTGCCTCTCAAAAAACAAACAAACAAACAAAAAAAGAAATCACTGATTTGCAGAATTTGCTATTTTTTTTTCCTAAATTGTCTCACCACAGCCAATTTCAGGCTAACATCAATTTAACAACTGGCTTGCAAAATTCCTAAATATTAACAATGGACTCTCTGAAGCCAGTATGAGCAAATGTCAGCACACAGTCAACTGAAGGATTTTGAAAATGTGAGTGACATAAACGAATTTGTGCTTTACAACATCACTCTGGATAATCATTTAGAAGCCCATCAAAACAATCTGGATGAGAGATTCTTGAGGCGAAACTAAACAACTGATTGTAGATCTAGACAGAGGAGGGGACACACACGCACACACACACACACAAATATATTGAAATGATACATTATAAGGGAAAGGTAACAGGCTTTGGTGACAGGTTAGACTCAATAAGCAAAGAAAAGGAGCCAGAGATAAGCAGAAAATTCAGAGATACAATGTGGGGATCAAGTCATGAAGAAGTTTGCATGTACAGGAAATAATCTCTAACAATAGAGAGCCACTGAAATATTTTAAATCATGGAAGGAGATGATTAGATATGCAGTTTGATCCTGAAGACAAATGATACTTCTTAGAAAACACTTACATAGAAAGGCTGTTGATATAACCCTATATATTAATAGATAAAGATAATTGGCTGTCATTATTTTAAATAAATCTTAAGTGGCAACGTCTTATTCCAGAAATACAAAAATGGTTTAACACTGGAACTAGAACATTCATTAAAATAATTCTACACCTTAATATATCTAAGCCCAGAAAAGATTTGGTTGTATCATTTGACATAAAAAAAGTTCTGAATTTTATTCAAGATTAATTTATAACAACTCTTTGAAAAAAATAGTAACAAGAGGAAGCCCCTGTTGGCTAAAAAGTACTAACTGGCTAGGTGTGGTGGCTCACTCTTATAATCCCAGCACTTTGGGGGGTCAAGGCAGGATAATCACTTGAGGCAAGGAGTTCAAGATCAGCCCAAACAACATTGTGAAACCTCATCTGTACAAAAAATTTTTGGCTCACGCCTGTAATCCCAGCACTTTGGGAGACCAAGACAGGTGGATCATGAGGTCAGGAGTTCAAGACCAGCCTGGCCAAGATGCTGAAAATCCCGACTCTACTAAAAATAATAATAAAAAATTAGCCAGGTGTGGTGGCATACACCTGTAATCCCAACTACTCGGGAGGCTGAGGCAGGAGAATCGCTTGAACCCAGGTGGCAGAGGTTGCAGTGAGCCAAGATTGCACCACTGCACTCCAGCCGGGGCAACAGAGCAAGACTCCATCTCAAAAAAAAAAAATTAAAAGAACTATCCAGTCATGGTGGCATCCACCTGTAGTTCCAGCTACTCAAGTGGCTGAGGTGGGAGGATTGCTTGAGCCCCGGAGGAGGGTGAGGTTGCAGTGAGCTATGATTGTACCACTGCACTCCAGCCTGGGTGATAGAGTGAGACCCTGAAAACAGAAGAAAGAAAGAAAGAGAAAGAAAGAAAGAAAGAATTTATTATAGTAAGGATTGTACTTGTGGTGAGCCATTAGAAGCATTTTAATTATATTAAAACAGAACTAAATACTTCCTATGAACATATCTAATTTACATTTTACTAGAGGTCCTAATTAGCACAGTAAAATAAGAGAATAAGAACTGGGATACATGAGAATTACAAAGGAAGAGAGAAAATTATCCATATTTACAAATATTAATAAGGTTATCTACATAGAGAATCTAAGAGAATATAAATATACAGAAAAATAGGAAAATCAAAGAGGTGCTGGATGCAAGTTTACTGGATCATGGTTGCTAGATTCAATATAAACTCTCATAAATCAATGGCTTAACTATAATAATAACAACTTAGAAGCTGTAATGGCAAAACCAAAAAAAAAAACCCTACCCATTTGGTTAGACAATATGGAAAATCTAACAAAATATGCAAGGCCTTCATGTAGAAAATTCTGACACATTATTAAAGGATATAGGAGAAGACAGAATAAATGGTGATATGTACTATGTTCATGGAAGAGTAGATTGACTATAATAAGATTCCTGTCATCACTAATCTAAAATTTTAATAAAATTCCACTACAAATAACTAAACTTTTTCCCCTTCTAATTTAAGCTGCATCTAAAATATAGATGAAAGAGAAGGCCCAAAGTGTCAGATATCAAACCTTATTACAAAGATGGGGCAATTAGGATGATGTGCTATTAACATAGGGATAGGAAAATAGGCCAAAGGATCAGAATAGAGATATATTTGATATATCAGAGAGCTATCATTAAAAATGTATTAGGAAAAGATGGTGCTAAAGTTATTACTTTTATACATGCAAAAATAGATTCTTTATTTGCAGCATGTCCAGAAATTAATTACAAGTATGTGAAAGACCCAAATAAAAAGTCAAAAAAACTTCTAGAATAACATTTAGGAAAATATATTTGTAACTCTATAGATAAGAAAAAAAGTCTTAAACAAGACAATAAACAAATACAGATTATGAAGGAAAAGATCAACAAAGAAATTAATTACAAGTATGTGAAAGACCCAAATAAAAAGTCAAAAAAACTTCTAGAATAACATTTAGGAAAATATATTTGTAACTCTATAGATAAGAAAAAAAGTCTTAAACAAGACAATAAACAAATACAGATTATGAAGGAAAAGATCAATAAAGAAATTAATTACAAGTATGTGAAAGACCCAAATAAAAAGTCAAAAAAACTTCTAGAATAACATTTAGGAAAATATATTTGTAACTCTATAGATAAGAAAAAAGTCTTAAACAAGACAATAAACAAATACAGATTATGAAGGAAAAGATCAATAAACCTTAGCAAATTAAACTTAAAAGGTTTTTTTGTGTAATATAAAACCATAAAGAAAATTAAAAAAATAAAGGCAAGTTACCAACTGGGAGAAGATATATGTGGTAAAAGTATTAGTACCTAGGATGAATAAATACCTCCTTCAAATCAATGTGAAAAAGACAAAGACTGAATGGAGAAAAATGACAAAAAGATATAAGCAAGCAATGTCACTAGATGGCAATTCACTAGCAATTCACTAGATAACAAGAAGCTTATGAAACAAGGTACACAATTTTACTGGTAATCAGAGAAAAGTGAATTAAAGCCACACTTTTGGAGGCCAAGGTGGGTGAATCGTCTGAGCTCAGGAGTTTGAGACCAGCCTGGGCAACATGGTGAAACCCCATCTCTACCAAAATGCAAAAAAAGTAGCCAGGCATGGTGGCACACGCCTGTAATCCCAGCTACTCAGGAGGCTGAGGTGGGAGAATCGCTTGAACCCAAGAGGCAGAGGTTACAGTGAGCCGAGATCGCATCACTGCACTCCAGCCTGGGTGACAGAGCGAGACTCCATAAAAAAAAAAAAAAAAAAGGCCACATTGAGATATGATTTCACAGCAATCAGATTGGCAAAAGCTAATAAAGCTGGAAAGACACAACAATGTGTTGCAAGGATCTGTAGCAAAGTCCACTCTCATGACAGTTGATGACAGAAAACCTGGAGCTGTATAGTAATGTTGAAGATGCCCATAATTTCACATCACCAATTCTGTAACTGTGTATAAATCACAGGGACACATGTGCATATGGAGACATAGAGAAGAGTATACATGATTATTTTTATTTTTGAAAAATGACAACCTAAAAGCCAAAACCAGGAAATGTATAATTATATAATTGTATAATATACTCATAAAATAGAATCATACAGCCATGAAAAGTGAATTAGATCTACATGTATCCACTTGGATATATTGCAAACACTTTTTGAATGAAAATAGCAAGTTACAGAATGACAGGATCTATAGGATACTATTTTATAAAGTTTTAAACCATGCTGATATATAGATACACATATATAGTCATAGCTATAATATAGAGAGACTTAGTATGAAAAATACAGGGGAATGATAAGGATCAAATATAGGATAGTGACTTACTGATAGATGGGGGGTATAAAATCAGAATATGGAGAAGATACAAAGGAAGGTTCTGTTCTATCTGTTTCATTTTTTAACATATGAAACAATGTATATACCCACAAATACAGATGTTTGGTAAAGGTGGCTGATGGACACGAGTTTATTATATTATTATTTTCTATATTTATGTTTAAAATTTTATAAGTTAAAATATTGATATATACTCATGATTCTTTTTTTTTTTTTTTTTTTTTTTTTTTTTGAGATGGAGTCTCACTCTGTTGCCAGGCTGGAGTGCAGTGGCGCGATCTCGGCTCACTGCAACCTCCGACTCCGTGGTTCAAGAGATTCTCCTGCCTCAGCCTCCCGAGTAGCTGGGATTATAGGCACATGCCACAACACCCAGCTAATTTTTGTATTTTTAGTAGAGATGGGATTTCACCATGTTGGCCAGGCTGGTCTCGACCTCCTGACTTCGTGATCTGCCTGCCTTGGCCTCCCAAAGTGCTGGGATTACAGGCATGAGCCACCGCACCCGGCCTATACTTATGATTCTAAAATATCAAAAACATAAGAGTTGATGTAGTAGAAAGTGAGATTTCCTCCTTCTGATTCCTAATCCCAGTTCCTCTCTTCAGTTCCTTGTATCTTTTCTATCTTTTTATCTTTTTTTTTTTTTTTGAGACGGAGTTTTGCTCTTGTAGCCCAGGCTGAAGTGCAATGGTGCAAAGGATCTTGGCTCACTGCAACCTCTGCCTCCTGGGTTCAAGCGGTTCTCCTGCCTCAGCCTTCCAAGTAGCTGGGACTACAGGCACCCACCACCACGCCTGGCTAATTTTTGTATTTTTAGTAGAGATGGGGTTTCTCCATGTTTTGGCCAGGCTGGTCTTGAATTCCTGACCTCAGGTGATCCGCCCACCTTGGTCTCCCAAAGTGCTGGGATTACAGGCGTGAGCCACCGCACCTAGCCAGTTCTTGTATCTTTTCAGGAGTATTCTCTCTATATAAGCAACTATGTGGTTGCATATTTATATATGCTCACCTTTACTTACAAAATAAATCACGCTATATGAATCGTTTCTCACCTCAATGCTTTTCTAAATATTTTATTTATTCCATTACAATTTTCTACAACACTTAGCCAGGCAGAATAAACACACTCAATCACCCCAGGCTGCCTTGTTCTTGAGTAACATCTACTTTGCTCTTGGGACCACTTCAAATTCTGGCCTTTACCTCTTTCTTCAGTCCCTTCACTCCTTCTCATCCCCCATCTCTAGGTTACTCACCACCAGTCCTCCCTACATGCCATCACTAAATAATGATACCTAAGATAAAGCCTTCAGATATCTTAAAAGGGAGTCAGACTGCCTGGATTTGATGCCTGGGTCTACCGCTTCCTAGTGGGTAATCTTGGGCAACTCCTGTAATCTCTCTGCACCCAGACTCTCCTTGTTTTTAAAACAGGGATAACAATACACATCCCAAATTATTAAATGAGATAATATAGGTAAGTGCTTAGAAGACAGAGTTGACAAGTGGGACTTAAGCTGTAGTCTGATCTATCTATCTATCTATCTATCTATCTATCTATCTATCTATCTATCTATCATCTATCTATCTATCTATCATCATCTATCTATCATCTATCTATCAATCACATATCTCGATTTATCCATGTTTGTCCTTCTACACTGCCTACTTAATAAAACCTGTAGGCTGCCCACCTTACCACCCACATATGACTGTCTGCTGCCTCTCCAGCTTGAGCTCCTCGGCTCACTGTGGTTGGCCCTCTGCCCTCACTAGTGTTGTTCTAGAAAAGCTGTCCATTCCTTCCCCTCCCCAGACCCATCTTGCCTGACATCTGTGCTGCACTGGACTCTTTGCCAGCTACTTTCTCCTTGAAAACCCAGCTCTCCTGGCATCTGGGTTGTTGCTCTCCCCTGTTGTTCCTATACCTGCCTGGCCTCCTTTATATTCTCCACCAGGGGCTGCTCCTCTCATGCCTTAACACCCTTAAAATGTCAGCATCGCCTGCAATTTCTTCTTCAGTCCTTTTCCATTCTGAAGCTGTTTGGAGTGCATGCTTACTCTTTTGTCTGGTTATTTCCTGGGGGGACCTCATGCATCCCTCTTGGTATAGTTTCTTCCACTACACTGTTGATTCTCAGATCCCAATATCTCCATCCTCACTCAGGCAGGGGGCCCCAGACTTGTCTGCCTCCTGGGGTTCCTCCTCTCCCTGCAAACCTCCGCTTTCATGTCTGGTGTCCATGAATGGCCTTGCCATCCTCCTCTCCTTACATCCAATCTGTAACCACAGTCTCTTGATTAAATCTTTAAATATAATGAAAATAATCACTCTAACAAGGTTTAGTGAGTAGGCATTATTTATCAAGAATTGTGCTAAGCATTTTATATAGCTTATTCCTCTTAATTGGCATGGGAGCTCTGTAATGTGGACACTGTTACCTCCTCGCAATTTTTCAGGCCTGGATAGTGAGGTTAAGTAATTTGTTGCATGGCTGCAAAGAAATGGCACCCCCTAATAAGGCACCCTCTGCATTCCCATTGCCTGCATCCTCCCTGAAGACAGAACAAGCTTCCTAAAACACATCAAATGCATCACTTCCCAGGCTGAAAACCACTCAGGGGCTTCCCATCAGCTCTAGAGTAACACCCAGCTTCTTTGCATGACATACGTTCCTTGTGATCTGCGTCCTACCTACCTATTTACTGTCAGATTTTGCTAATGATGGTGGAGTCTTGGGCTCGCTTGCATTTCTGGCACCCAGCAATTCCTTCCCAGGTGGTGCTTGCTCCAGGCTCTTGCTCCAGCAACTCAGTACAGTAGGGTAACAGCACCTGAGAAGCTCTTTGCTGCCCCCTACTGGCACTCATAAACCACCGGTGAGAACCATGAAGGTGGATCTGTGAACGGTTGTTCGGCGGGACTCCCGTGACTTCAGACATGGTTTCTGTGGATTTTATACAGAGCTCCTGTTGTGAACGCTGTGTATCCACAGCATTAATGGCTCTTCATCATTAAAGGGTCAGCATGCAAGGGTGTATTTCACCAGCTGCCGGGAGGCGGGTGGCTAACAGTTCTCCACCCTTAGCCCCTTTTGGGACCGCCTCCGCTGAAGAGAGCTACCTGGCTGTGCGTCTTATCTCCCACCTTCCAGGGCGACTCAACCCAGTGGTTGCTCAAGGAGCTGTATAGAGCTCCGGCTCCCTCCTTTCAACTCAGGCCAATTCTGAAGGGTGGCCTCAGCTTCAGAGCTTCCATTAATCGCCACTGAGGCCTTGCCGTGACTTACAGCCTGACCTGCGTCCTATCCTCGCCCTAGGTGATGGCCCTGAGAACTCTCGCCGGTAAGTCTCCTCACCTGTTTCCACCTGAGCCCGCTTCTGCTTCCAGGAGCTGGACCTAAGCAGCCGCCTGGAGGCAACTGGCTGGTGCTCATCACTCCCCGACTGGAATCAGAGCCCCAGGGGTGGAGCCTCCAGAACTTGCATTTCTGGTCTGCATCTCTGAGTTCAGGAAGTTTTGCAGCAAGCTTAGAAAGGAGAAAGCATGGGCGCCCTGGAAGCCAGACCTGGGGCCCAATTCCAGTTCCACTATGGCCCGGTGACTCCAGGAAAGTCACTTAACCACCAATGCTTGCTTCTCATCTGAATATCGGGATTCCTTAAGATTTACCTCAGAAGACTGTTGTAAAGTTTGAATAAGATAAATCTTGCTAATCATATATGTTTAAAAGCTTAGCACTGTGCCACCCACAGAGCAAGTAGTCAGTGAGCGCCGGCCTTCTGCCCTCTTGACAGGTAGAGCTGTTGGTGAATAACCAGTGTGATCTGAGCATTGTAAAGTGCTGCACAACAAAACCCTCTCATCCCATAAGACCTGAACTCAGACTGCTTACAATTCTTTTATTTGGCTCAGGGCATTGTCTTCCACCCTTGTTAACATGCACATGCCCTCTGGGCAAGTTCAATTGTCACTCAAGAAGTTCCTAAATCTGCTGAGTCTTGGCACTATAGCCACAGCCTGTTCTCCAGCTGTCAGTTCTCCACTGTCAGTTCTCCACCTTTTCTCCACTATAGCCACAGTGAGTCTCTCTCCAGGGAGTTGAGATCAAAACGCACCGAATGGTTGGGGTGGAGGGGGGCTATGAACTCTCCAGGGTGTGGGCCTGGGGAAAGCTAAGGGACAGGAGGTGAGACAAATACATGCCTGCAGCCAGAGTTCTGCACCTGCTCTGTTGCTCCTGGGTCCTGTTCCTGCAAACACCTGGCTGCTACTTTTTAAACATCTTCCCGTTCCATTTCTCCCCGGCTCCCTGGACACTGACCAAGTCACTTCCGGGAGACTCTGTGGTCCAGATTAAATTCTGAGAAAATGACTTCAGTATGTAGAGTATCATCATCCCCTTGGAAAAAGAAGTTGGCAAAGGAATGCCGGGCTGCCTCCCACTGCTCGGTGATCTGTGCCTGGTCTCATTTTCCATCCCGAGATGATGTCTCCACCCCTCCCTGAGGTCCCAGCTGACCAGCCCTTCCCCCACCTGACAGTGTAACTGATCCTCCTGTGCGGAATGCCCAACCTGGAGGTGCTGACCCTCCTGTGAGGGATGCCCAACCTGGAGTTGCTGCTCTCTCTTCTGCCCACATCACTCTGCTTCTGCACTGGGATAAAGATGCAGAACATGGTGGGCTTTCTTCACAGTGCTGGCCCACGTCATTAGTCCTCCCTGACCCCAGTAGAAGAAATATTCATTTGTTTTTTTTGAGACAGAGTCTTGCTCTGACACCCAGGCTGGAGTTGCAGTGGCGTTATCTTGGCTCACTGCACTGTAACCTCTGCCTTCCAGGTTCAAACAATTCTCATGCCTCAGCCTCCTGAGTAGCAAGGACCACAGGCACATGCCACAATTCTTGGTTATTTTTTTTTTTATTATTTTTAGTAGAGATGGGGTTTCACTATGTTGGCCAGACTGGTCTTGAACTCCTGACCTCAAGTGATCCACCTGCCTCGGCCTCCCAAAGTGCTGTGCTGGGATTACAGGCGTGAGCGACTGCACTTGGCCTTGAAGGAATAATCTTGAGCTTGTTTCCTGACACTCTGAAATTCTGGGCCAGACAATAGGGGAAGGACACCTTGCACCTTCTCTTTAAGTCTTAAACTTGCCTTCTGAGTTCGTCCCTCAGCAGTGGTCCCAGCCTTCCTTGATCTGGATACTGGAGACTCTTCACTCTCTAGAAGCAAGGACTTCTCCAGCATGCATGGTCCCTGCACTGGAGGCCTAAGGGATACCCTTGGAACAGCAGCGCTGTAGAAACACATGAAGACCACCCAGAGGAGAGCAAGCAGAGGCCGCACATCCAAAGCTTGCGAGAGTGAGAGAGGCGGCCACTATCACTTGCATTTGGCAAGCAGGGGAGTGGGAACCCTTGGTCGTGGGAAAAGGAGAAGGCTGCAGGTGTGCTCCTGCTGGAGGCTGTGGGTGTGAGGGAGAAGGAGGCCACTGAGCAGGAGCGGGGCATCCTGTGTGATTGGTTTGGGGACCATATTTGGCTTTGTCTGGTCAGTCCTGAGTTGGAAATGGGGGCAAAAATTAGAGGATCTGGTGGTCCTGACAGTTTAGGGATGGTTGCTTCAGAGGTTGTGGCTTGGCTTCCCAGGGGGGTTGCTGCAGAGGTTGCCAGTCAGAGTTCTGTTGTGTGGGGTCTGGCCACTGTCCATTCATATATTCAGTTTCCCAATTCTCACGCTTGACCGCATGCTGTATTAATCTGAGATCTCAAACATGCTATGTCCAGGGTTGATGCCTGGGTCCCAGCTACCAAGATTCTGATTTAATTGTCTGGGTCCATTCTAGTCATGGGAAGCTTAAATGTTTCCCCAGGTGAAGGTGATTCTATTGCCAAGGTTGAAAACTACTGCCTTAGAGAAGAGGTCAGCAAACATTTTATGCAAAAAGCCAAATAGGAAATATTGTAGGATTTGTGGGCCATACGGTCTCCACGGCAATTCCTCAACTCTGCCATTATGGCACGACAGCAGTCACGGCCAACCCATCAATGAATGGGTGTCACTGTGTTTCAAACTTGATTTACACAAACAGGCAGAGGGCTAGATTTTCCACAGACAGCAGTTACCTACCTCCCCCCACAAACTATTTTCCAAATTGCCTGTTTATAACAATTCCTCAGGGAATATGTTTACAACACAAATTCCTGGGTTCACTCCAGAGCTGGTAAATCTATGTCTGCAGAGGAAAGGCCTTTGGGGTTTATATGGATACACGTGTCTTATCTACCCTGAGAGAAGACGAGATCCTTTAGGGGAGGGGCTGCATTTTCTTGCATGCCCCACACCTGTGTTTGGCGCCACAGTTTTTGTGCAATAAAAGGAGAAGGAAGGAAAAAAAGGTAGGGAAGGAAAATGGGTGAGGTCAGTAAGCAGAGACTGAGATGGAGTTAGTGGTCAGAAAACCCAAGAAACAAGGAAAATTTTCAGATCCACTCCAGTGCAGATCTGGCACCTCTGAGAGGACGTCAAGGAAGAAGCTGACTTGAGAACACCTCCATCTTCAAGGCAGATCTAACAGCATCTCAATCAATTCCAAGAAAAGTCTGGAGCAAAGATTATCTGGAAGAGGAGCCACACGTTGGGTGCAAATGGCTAGACCGCTGGCCCTGCTAGCTCAGCCACTGGGTTGGGCTATCAGCTCAGATGTACAGAGGAGCCCGGAGGATGGATACTGTCAGCCAACCACACTCCTCCAGACCGATAGGCAAGGTCCTTCTCCAAGGGAGACTTGAGCTGTGCACCTCCATGCTGCCAAGAGAAGAAGGATAAGGGGGATGGAGACAAAAGAATAAAAGAGAAAGAAATAAAAAGAAAAGGGAGAAAAAGATAAGGGGGATGAGCAGGGTTAGGTATAATCTAGACACATGGTTATCCTGGAAGTCTCTCACTGTTGGATCTCAAAGGTTGTAGGGTCCTTGAATCAACTTTCATTCTTTTCTTCAAGAGTCCAAACTCTCATTACCCACCCAGCACAATTGTGTCCCTGGGAAAGGGGAGCCAATCATTTGAGAGTAGTAATAATTACAAGATAGAATATATGTACAAAATCCTATGCTTTTCCAAGAATATGTCACCCTCCTTCTCATATTTAATAATGATGATACCATTGCCTTTAGTTAGTTCTCCGTTTTATTTTTTACTTTACTTTAATTTTATTTTTTGAGATGGAGTCTCATTCTGTTGCCCAGGCTGGAGTGCAGTGGCATAATCTTGGCTCACTGCAACCTCTGCCTCCCAGATTCAAGCGATTCTCCTGCCTCAGCCTCCTAAGTAGCTGGGACTACAGGGGCATGGCACAATGCCCAGCTAATTTTTGTATTTTTAGTAGAGACAGGGTTTCCCCATGTTGGCCAGGCTGGTCTTGAACTCCTAACCTCGGGTGATCCACCTGCCTCGGTCTCCCAAAGTGCTGGGATTAGAGGCATGAGCCACCACGCCCAGCCTTAAGTTATTTTCATATACCAGGTTATTCAAAGTCTATCAGAACTTTGAGATGCAAACAGTGCCATCTTCTTTCTCCACTTCAGGTGAGCAAACTTTAATCAGAGAAGTGACGGGATTTGCCAAAGGCGTCATGCACGTTAAGTGGCAGAGCCGGGACGTGGACACAGGTTCTGGTATTATAAATCCTGAGTATTGGCTTGTGGAGCAACGCCACCATTTTCTGCCACCTCCAGGTCAGCCTGCCTGAGTCACATGTGGCTGCTCTCCAAGGCAGGCTTCCCTGTCTCCAACAGGGTCTCTGAAAAGCATCAGCAGAGATTTACTTTAAAGGAGGAAGGGCAAAGATCCCCAAAGCATCTTGTGCCTGAGTACCATAAAAACTAGATTTTTGGAGAAAGTAGCAAATGTGTTTCTAGTTCCACATGAAAGAAAAATAATAATAAAACTGTGATGAAAAAGATGTCCAATATATCAGATCAATAAAAAAATAACAGCAACAACAAAAACCCTCAAAATAATAACAGCTCCTTAGTGAGGAATTTTAAAAAAGAAATCTCCTGTCTTCATTGCACTTCACTCTCTTCAAAAAAGAAATAGAACAACATCTGATTTTCTTAGAATAAATTTGAGAAAAAACGTGTTTTCTTTTTTTTTTTTTTTTTCCTTTGAGATGGAGTCTCGCTCTGTCGCCAGGCTGGAGTGCAATGGTGTGATCTCGGCTCACTGCAGCCTCCACCTCCCAGGTTCAAGCCATTCTCCTGCCTCAGCCTCCCGAGTAGCTGGGATTACAGGCGCACACCACCAGACTCAGCTAATTTTTGTATTTTTAGTAGAGACGGGGTTTCAGCATGTTGGTCAGGCTGGTCTCGAACTCCTGACCTCGTGATCCGCCTGCCTCGCCTCCCAAAGTGCTGGGATTACAGGCATGAGCCACCGTACCCGGCAAATAAAACGTGTTTTCTATGGTTTCTTCCATTGCAGCAGGATGTCACCTTCTGGGAGTGTCTTTCCTTCCGTCCCCAGCGAAAGGCACTCTCAGGACCCTCTCATCCTTGTCCTCTGTCCTGTAGAGCACAGGTATATTCACTTGCTGACTTACCTTGAGCCAGACACTTGGAACATCACTGGCTGTTGGCCAGCATCTGCTCCTTGCCAGGTGGGCTCTGTAGGACAGCCCATGACATGGCAGTGGCTTCCCCCAAAGCAAAGACACACACACAGAGAGAGAATGAGAAACAGCAAGCAAGACGGAAGACACAGTCTCTGTATAATTGAAATTAGAAGTGGCAGCCCATCACTTTTGCCCTCTTCATTCATTAGAAGTGAGTGACTAGGTGTATCTCCCCCTCAATGGGAGGAGTTACGCAAGGCTGTGAAAGCAGGATGCTGGGCTCACTGGAGGCCACCCTAGAGGTGGCCCTCATGCTCTGAGTTCTGAGCAGAAAAGATAAGTGGGAGCCAGCTAAGCCCAGGGGAACCCAGACCTGCACATGACGTAGAGACCTAAGTACGTGAACAAGGAGTGATTGCTGTCATAAGTCAATGAGATTTGGCAACTGGTCATCAGCGCAGAGAGGTGGACTGAAGCACTCACTCAAATGGGAACCATCTCACTCCTGCTCAGAATTTCTCCCCTCTTTCTATTTTTTCCCACAGAACCTATACTATATTGTGTATACAATATAGTATACTAAACATATTAAATATATTTTTCTAATTTTGGGTGTGTTTTTGTTTGACTTCACCTTCCAGAATGTAAGTTCTATGAAGGCTGGGCTTTTTGCCTGTTTAGTTTGCTGCTATGTCCGCAGCGGTTACAGTAGTTAGAACGATGTCTGGAATACAATGTTTCTTTGATAAATATTTGTTGAATGGATAAATGAACAAATGCTGATGCAAGAGACATATCTCAAGAATTAATGATGTCAAAGAATGTCTATTCTCAGAATGATGACTGCATAGACAGTTGGGATTAATGAGGTAGGCACCTTGGGGACAATTCTGGACAGTTTTGTCCTCACTGGGGTGGGCTGCTCTGTTCCTCCAGAGGCTTCTGTTTCTTCATGCCAAACTCAGGGTGGGTGACAAGTTTACATCAATCAATCCAACAGCATGGTAGAAGTTTGCATCCAGGAGGAACAACTTAACACATAGTTTAAATAGTCACAAAATCTAGGAAGACAGACATGCATAGAGGCCCCTCCAGACAAGCTGGTTGCAAGGTCAACAGTAAAGTCCCTGTATGTTACTGCTGTGCTGTGTGGTGTGGAAGCTGAAAAGCACACCGATCCTGCGTAGTCTCCTACAGCTGCATAGCAAAGTACAACAACTGGGTGGCTTAAAACAGTAGAAATTTATTATTATTATTTGAGATGAAGTTTTGCTCTTGTTGCCAGGCTAGAGTGCCATGGTGTGATCTCAGCTCACCGCCACCTCTGCCTCCCGGGTTCAAGCGATTCTCCTGCCTCAGCCTCCTGAGTAGCTGGGATTACAGGCATGCGCAACCACACCCAGCTAATTTTGTATTTTTAGTAGAGGTGGGGTTTCACCCTGTTGGTCAGGCTGGTCTTGAACTCCCAAACTCAGGTCATCCTCCTGCCTCGGCCACCCAATGTGCTGCGATTACAGGTGTGAGCCACCGCGCCCAGCCACAAATTTATTATCTTATAGTTCTGGAGGCTAGAAGTTCAAAACCTAGGTGTCAGCAAGTTGGTTTCTTCCGGAGGGCTCTGCAGGAAAGGGTTCCAATCCTCTCTTCTGGCTCCTGGTGGGTGCTGGCAATACTTGGCATTCCTTGGCTTGTAACTGCATCACTCTGGTCTCTGCCTCTGTCACCACATGACATTCTCCCTGTTTCTGTATCTCTTTTCTTCTGTCTATAAGGATATGAGTCATGTTGGATTAAGATCCATCCCAACGACTTCATTTTTACCTGATTATATCTTCAGAAACCCTAATTCCAAGTCAAGTCACATTCACAACACTGGGGGTTAGCACTTCAATATGTCTTCTGGGGGGACAGAATTCTATCCATGATGGACTAAGACTTTCTGGAGCCTAAGTGTCATTGTGGAGACAGAAGGAAAAGGCAATTGTGTAGACATGTGGTGGACTTCATGTCAGCTCTTCAGAGAGGGTGTTTTGGAAGGCAGAGAGGAAGATCACCCAGCCACAGAGTAGGGAGGGAGGAATTGGGATCAGAAGGGATTCTGAAAGCAGAAGATACCCAAACTGAGTCTGAGAAGATGAGAAATAATTAGGCAGAGGTTGAAGATGGGTGTGGCAGAGAGGTCTCACAGGAGCCAGGCACTGCTTGGCTGCTGGGCATACTGAGAAGAGCAAAGTCACAGTCTCGTGAGGAAGGTGGCACTGTGGCGAGTGTCAGCTGGAGTTGCTTACAAGATGCCACGGGAACCTAGAGAAAAGAGAGAGATCTGGCTGAGGGCTGGGGCAAGGCTTCCTGAGACAGAGGTTTTCTGCTGACTTGGGAAAGGTCTAGGAGCAAGCTGGATATTGAAGGGAGGAAAGGATATTCCCAGCAGAGGAAAGGTCAAGAACTAAAGCCTGTGAGCTAAAACCTTGGTGTAAAGGAAAGTAAAACTATCAGGACCCCCAAACTTCTTATGTGAAAGGGAAGGTTAAGTCCAGAGACTGAGTCACTGCCACACTTTCTTTCAAAGGGAGCTATTATAACATCATTCACCAGCTGGATCCCCTTGGAAAGGTAAGAGGCCTTGCAGATCATTCCTAAGTAAATTCTTTTCAGGTCTCCCATACATAAGGACATGCCAATTGTAGCTTTAGGTTTACAATCTACACTAGTTCCTAAAACTCAAGTCTACTGGATTCCACCCTGATAATATCCATTACAAGCTTATCTTCCCAGGTTACAGACCAAAGACAAGACTTCTTCTTCCACCTACTCAGAGACGTCTGCATAATGGACTCTTACTTTATTCCCTTTCTCTTTTTAAACAGTGTCCTTATCTTCACCTTATCTTATATAAAATGTAGATTTACTGGGCACTAACTGAAGTCTCAGAGGATTGTTACCATTTGCCTAACTGCCTACCAGCTCTTCTTCCTAAATGTCTTCTCTCCCTTAAAGGAAATGTATAAATACCAAACCTCCTGAAAAACTCTTCAGAAAAACAGCCACAGATGTGTCTGTGGCTGATATTTTTGTGAGATGCATCCTAGAGCTGGCGGAGGCCTCAGTCACTCATTTCAGTTGTCACTGGCTTACAGGTGAACTGCAAACATCTTGGTTTTAATAGAGCTGAAGAATTGGCAAGTCCGTTTTCACACTGCTATAAAGAACTGCCTGAGACTGGGTAATTTATAAAGGAAAGAGGTTTAATTGCCTCATAGTTCAGCATGGCTGGGCAGGCCTCAGGAAACTTACAATCGTGGTGGAAATGAAGGAGAAGCAAGGCACCTTCTTCACAAGGCAGCAGGAAGAAGTGCTGAGTGAAGGGGGAAGAGCAGCTTGTAAAACCATCAGATCCCATGAGAACTCACTCACTCTCATGAAAACAGCATGGGGGAAACTGCTCCCATGATTCAATTACCTCCACCTGGTCTCTCCCTTGAAACACAGGGATTATAGGGATTATAATTCAAGATGAGATTTGACTGAAGACACAAAGCCTAGCTATATCCGTAAGGGACCCTGCAAAGAAAGGCAGGTGACAGCTTTGAGGTCCAAGCTTCAGAGCTTTGACTTTATGGCACAGGAGAGAGTGAGCTACTGATGCCTTTTGAAATTGTGGGGTGATAGGTGATCTGATATGATCTGCATTTTCTTTCTTCTTTTCTTTTCTTTTCTTTTTTTTTTTTTTTTTGAGACGGAGTCTTGCTGTGTTGCCCAGGCTGGAATGCAGTGGAGCGATCTTGGCTCACTGCAAGCTCTGCCTCCCAGGTTCATGCCATTCTCCTGCCTCAGCCTTCCCAGCAGCTGGGACTACAGGCGCATGCCACCACGCCCAGCTAATTTTTTTGTATTTTTAGTTGAGACGGGGTTTCACCATGTTAGCCAGGATGGTCTGGATCTCCTGACCTCGTGATCTGCCCACCTCGGCCTCCCAAAGTGCTGGGATTACAGGCATGATCCACCATGCCCGGCTGATCTGCATTTTCAATAGACCAAGCCAGCTGCCCTGTGGAAGCTGGAGTTGAAGCTCCTGCCCAGGGCAGACAGAGAGAAGACGGGAGTCTGTAATTGAGACAAGAGGAGGTGAGGCCCTAGCCCAGAACAATAGTGGTAGAAATGAAGAGGGAAGGCTGCACACAGGAAATGCTGAAGCAGGCCGAACAGCCAGTAAGAAGAAGGAAGGATCGGGGGGCGATGAGGCCAGTGGTTCAGAAAGAGGAAAAGTGTCAGGAAGAGGATGTTAGGGTCCAGACCAGGTGCAGGAGGACGTATGGAAGCTCCATGTGGAGATGAATAGGGAGTGGCCAATTATAGCTTCTTCATTTCAGAGCTGCAAGTGCAGACTGGAAGAACATCATTTTTGATCAGTGGTGCTGAAGTTTGCCCCTTAGAGGACGTTTGATAATGTCTGGAGACATTTGGGGTTGTCACAACTGTTGGGGGCTAGTACACGACTGGCATCTAGAATGTAGAGGCCAGGAATGTGGCTAAACATCCTACAATGCACAAGGCACTGCCTCCACAAGAAAGACTTATTCAGCCCCAAGTGTCAGTAGTGCTGGAGTTAAGAAGCACTGGCTGAGAGGTACTCTTGAAACTATAGATAGGCACCATGATTAAGCCCTGGAGAGTGCGAGGATGAGAAAAAATGCTGACAAAGAACAAAAGCAAGGTAATCACCAGCATTTACCAGGCAGACCAAGTACAGAAGACCAGAACATGGAGTAGGGGATGAGAAGAGAGGGAGGGAATTTCCTTTGAGGATCTGAAGCACTTTCAAATGGAAATGATTATCAGTTGGGAGAGAGCTGTTGAATCATGCTGAACGCTTTTAAAGCAAAAGCTACATGTTGCAGTAATAGGGTAATATATATAAGATGTATCATATTATGTCTAATCCATAATGTATCATATTATATACTAATAATATACATTATTAGTATATTATAATTGAACACTCGATTTCTTGCAAACCAACCTTAGTCCCAGGTTCAATTTTGAGAGAGTAAATTCACCATGTTCTTAAAACAGCCTTTTTCCAAACGTAAGTCCTGGGTTTGCCCTTTAGGTCAACCTTCAGGAAATGAGGGGAGGGGAAGTCGAGGAGCAGAGAGATCCTCCTGAATCCAGCTTGACTCCAGAGACACCAGGGCTTAATTACTGGAAAACGTAATGTGGGCATGAGGTAGGCAAGGCTTCAGGGATGGACTGAAATCAATATGGTGTCTGTGCGGAGACCATTTCCCATCTGCATAGTGCTAGAAAACTGCAATTAGACAAGAAAGCTGAGTTGCTCTATGGACAAACTTTAGTTAACATTCCAGGCAGGGTTTCTATCAAGCTCACTTGCAAGAGCACAAATGACCACTTGAAAGACGGAACTGTCTTACAGTGAAAGAACATCTTGTCAAGGGACAGGAAATAGAATGACTGAGAAGACCTGCCGTGTGCCACTCCAGGGAGAAAGTGTATCGTAAATTACAACTATAATAGGATATGACTGGTCTTCAAATTTCTGCTCCAAAACCCCGATGCATTGTGTCCTTCAAAATATTGCCCTTTGGACAAAACCCTCACTCCTATGAAACAGCCCTGGCAGGGACAGCTTTGGAAGCTCTTCTCCAGTCAAAGGGTCTCATATGCGGAACTCCTCTTGGTCCCACCTCCCCGAGAAGCTTTTCTGACTCCAGTACCTACTCTCCTTTTCTTTCTCTGAAATGTTAAGAAATATAAAGTCTACAATTCAGAACTTATTTCTGAGGAGATATTTAATTTGTAAATTAGTCCCTCATTTTATTATAAGCCACCAGGATTCAGTGGCAGGGAAGAGTGAGTTTTTTCACGGCTACTACCACTGCTGCTACCTGACACCTCTCAGAGATTTAATAACTGCTGGGCCCTGTTCTAATCACTTGTACTAACCCAAGCTATCACCTCAAACACCCTCTGGAGCAGGCAGAGGAGGTTACATAACATGGAGGTGGTTACATAACTTGTTCAAAGTCATCAAGCTAGTAAGAGACAGTCAGGATTTAAACATGAGCCAAATGACTGCAGTGCCCACAGTGTGAACTCCTCTGCCACACTGGGCTTGGGACCTGACACTGTCTGCCATGACAGCATGACTGGAGCTGGCTCCTTCAGGCCTTTGAGCTGCAGGTTTGTATCAGGCCTGCCTATCCCCATCTGCCTGTAGTGCTCAACTTCTTTACAAAAACTTTC
The DNA here is from genome assembly GCF_000001405.40 of Homo sapiens. Classification (NCBI taxonomy): domain Eukaryota; kingdom Metazoa; phylum Chordata; class Mammalia; order Primates; family Hominidae; genus Homo; species Homo sapiens. The sequence continues at coordinate 139,393,912 of NC_000008.11, read as the reverse complement.
TTTGTGTAAATGTATGAGGCACAAGTGTGATTTTGTTATATGGATATATTGTGTGGTGGTAAAGTCAGGACTTTTAGTGTAACCATCAACCAAATAATATACATTGTACACATTAAGTGATTTCTCATCATCCACCTTCTCCTTCTTCACCTTTCCAAGTCTCCACTGTCTATCATTCCACACTCTACGTCCATGTCCACACACTACTTAGCTCCACCTCGTGAGAATGTGTGGCCTTTGTCTTTCTGTGTCTGTGTTGTTTTACTTAAGATGACAGCCTCTAGGCCAGGTGCGGTGGCTCACGCCCTGTAATCTCAGCACTTTGGAAGGCCAAGGCAGATGGATCACTTGAGGTCAGGAGTTCGAGACCAGCCTGGCCAACATGGTGAAACCCCATCTCTACTAAAACTATGAAAATTAGCCGGGCAGGGTGGCAGACGCCTGTAATCCCAGCTACTAGGGAGGCTGAAGCATGAGAATTCCTTGAACCTGGGAGGGGGAGGTTGCAGTGAGCCAAGATCATGCCACTGCACTCCAGCCTCATCCAGCCTCGGTGACAGAAGGAGATTGTCTCAAAAAAAAAAGAAAGAAAGAAAAAAACAAAGATAATGGCCTTCAGTTCCATCCACGCTGCTGCAAAAGGCATGACTTCATTCTTTTTTATGGCTGAATAGTATTCCAGTGTGTCTATACACCACATTTTCTTTATCCAATTCTCCATTGCTTTAGGATAGTTGTCTCTGCCCACAACCCTGAGTATGGAGTGGCACTGAGCCATTTGTTAGGCAGCGGTGTCTGATGAACGGCCAATAACTTGGAAGGCTGTGTCAAACCAAGAAGATCAGAGCTCCTTCATTGTGAATTTGTATTAGCAAAGACATCTGATTTTGGCAGTTGAATTTCAGTGGTAGGGCTATTTATCCTGGTTGCCACACACCTCTGTCTGAGAGGTACTGACCAGCTGGAGAGGGTGCATGGAGCTTGGACCCTCTGGACAGGTGAGCCAGGTCAACCATGTGTGAAGCCACTCCTGGAGAGGAAGGGGGCTGTGGTGGAAAAGAGCGGGGTGAGACAGAGTGCAGGGCCCAGAGACCCACTCTCCCTGCTTTCTGATAGGCAGCCGAGGAACCTGAAAATTCTAAATTCAAATGGAGCTTGGTAGGTGGCTATGACTGCATATTTGTCAGTGTAGGAGAATAGAAAACATCTTACTAACAACTTGGGCAAGTAACTTGTAACTTGACTTGTAATTTGTAAATACTTAGACACAGGGGTCCTCCTTTGCAGCCTTGCTCTGGGTCTAGTGCCTGTTGGGGGCTGACCTGGGTAAGAGCTGTGAGGAAAAGTACACCAGGACTGGTAGAGAGTAATGGTGCAAATGACTTATTTTAGACAAGTTGGTCAGGGAGGATCTCTTTCTAAGTAGAGACCTGGAGGCAGGGAGGGAATCATCATCGAGTGATTTGCAAAAGACAGACGCCTGGCGGAGCAAGCACCAGGACTCTGAGATGAAGGGAGGCTTGGCAGGTCTGAAAAGGAACAAACAAAACAACTGTGGTGAGTGCGGCCAGAGAAAGGGAGACAAGGGGCAGGTGGTAAAGTACATGGTAAGCAGTGCATTTGGAAGTGAGCTATTACACACGGCATTGAGGAGTTTGGTTCTGCATTTTATTCTGAGTGGGGTGGAAAGCCAATGGAATGTCTCTTGTTGTTGATTTTTTACCATTTAGCTTTCTAAGTCATAAGTCAACAAAGGAGAAGTGAGCAAAGTAAAAACATAACCCAGCACAACAAGAAAGTAATTATAGACTCACAAAGGACTTTTGAAATGATGACTTTGGCAGGCCAATGTTTCAGTGGTTGGAATAGAAATGATTCCAACACACATTATGAGTTTAATTTCTCACTATCAAATTTGATAAATTAGGGGCAGGATATTTGGGGCAAGATGACTTTTGGAATTTAGGACACTGTTTTATGTAGATTCAGAACTCTTAGTGTTGACAATTATCTTGGCCAATCAACAGGGAGGGAACTTGAGCAATGAGTCCACATAGGGGACCTGACTTGTGAACATGGTCTCTGAGCCTCATATTGCTTTACTTGTGAAATATTTTAAAGGTGCAGGAAAGAACAGAAAGCAACATTAAGAAACAGATGTATACTCACCAGCGAGTTCTCTTAAACTGGAACATCTTGCCATATTAGCTACAAAGGAGTTTAAAGAAATGAAACGTTGTAGATAGAGTTGAAGCCTGCATTGTAACAACAGTAACAACAGATAACCATGAATCCCTTGAGATGTGCTGGACACTTCACAAATATTGATCAGCTCATTCAATCCCTGCAACTGTTTGAGGTAAGTGATAGAATCCTTATTGGGTAGAGGGAGAAGATGAGGTACACAGAAATTACATAATCACCAACGTCTCACTTGTTGGCGGGGAAGCTGATATCTGAAATTGATCCTGAGTTCTTAACTACTATGCTCCACTGACTGTAAATATGTGGTAGATTTTTACATCTTTGCAAACTCTATAAAATTGATATTATACTATAATTTTCTTAATGCAAACTGTTCATTCTATGTGAGATTCAACCATGTCCATGCTTTAAGGCATATTTCATGCATTTTAAAACATTGTATAGCATTCCAATGTTGAATGTTTTGTTGGTAGATATTTACATCATTTTCATTTTTTTCTCTTACAGTTGGTACAAAGAATATTCTTGTCTCCTTATAAACATTTGTAAGTGTTTCCACCATGCAGTGTTTCTCAACAGTAGCTGTACACTAAGGAAGAATTTAAAAATGAACATACCTGCAGGCACCACACCTGGACAATCTAATTTCATTAATCTGTTTTTTGTTTGGTTTGGTCTGGTTTAATTTCTAGCTTGCCTGGCAATTCTAACGTGCATTCAGGTTTCAGAACCATTACCTCAAGCAATGTAATTCCACATGGAATTACAGGATCTTCACATTTCATCTATATGACAAAATTGCCCTTTAATGGACCAGTTCATACCACTATCAATGGTATGTGAGGACCTGTACTTATTGCCTCCCTTTTGGTTCTTGATGTTGTAATTCATGCTCATGCTCTTACTTTCTCTGATTGGAACTGCTAGAAAATTGCTCATTTTATTAATATTTCCAAAGAATAACTTTTGGCTTTGATTTTCCACTGTTGTACAATTTTTCCTTTTTCATTGATTTTGGTTCTTTATTTTTTCATTTCCTCTTCTATGCTTCCTTTTTTTTTTTTTTGAGATGGAGTCTCACTCTGCCTCCCAGGCTGGAGTGCTGTTATGCGATTTTAGCTCACTGCAACCTCTGCCTTCTGGGTTCAAGTGATTCTCCTGCCTCAGCCTCCTGAGTAGCTGGGACTGCACACTTGTGAACATGGTCTCTGAGCCTCATATTGCTTTACTTGTGAGATATATATATATATATATATATTTTTTTTTTTTTTTTTTTTTTTAGTAGAGACAGGGTTTCACCATATTGGCCAGGCTGGTCTTGAACTCCTGACCTCAAGTCATCCGCCCATCTCAGCCTCCCAAAGTGCTGGGATTACAGGCATTAGTTACCATGCCTGGCCTATGCTTCCTTTTGTTTTCCATTTTTCTAGCTTTTCTTTTTTTTTTTTTTTGAGAAGAATTAGATAAATTTTTTTTAAGTTTTCTCCCTTTCTAATGTATGCATTTGAAGCAATATATTACTCTCTAGGGACTGCTTTAGTTGCACTGCAAAAATTTTGTTATGCAAAACCTCTTATCTTTAATGTTCAGTTCAAAAAGTTTCTATTTGCTGTGATGGTTTTTTCTGTGACTCATAGATTATTTAAAAGTGTATTGCTTAATTCACAAGTAGTTGGTGATTTTAAAATTCTCTAAGTAAGTATTTCTATCTTAATTTTACTGTGATCTGAGAATACAATGTGAATAGTTATAATTCCTTGAACTTTACTGAGGTTGACTTTGCAACCCATTATATGGTCAATTTGGAGACATGTTCATGTACACTTGGCCAATAATATGGTCCATGCTGGGCGCAGTGTTCAATGTGTCAATTAATTTAAGTTTGTCATTTTGTTTTGGTTTTCTTTATGTATATTTTTCCCGTTTGATCTATCTGCTGCTGTGAGAAGTGCGAAATGTTCCTATCATTGTGAATTTCTTTATTTCTTCTTTTGGCTCTGTCAGTTTTGCTGTGTCTGTCTTGAAGCTATATACAGATTCAGAATTCTTATTTCTTCCTGATAATTTGACCCCTTTTTCATTATGTAAATGTTCCTTTTCTTTAGCAGTGTTATTTTGCCTTAAACTCCACCTGATAAGTAGTACATGTAGCTAAACCAGTTTTCTTTTGGTTAATATGGACATGGTACGCATGTTCTATCCTTGTATTTTGTATATTTCTGTATCTTTATAATAATTATATGACTCTTGTAAGCATAAAATGTTGTTCAAATTGCTTTTATATCTAATCTGATGATCTCAGGGTTTTAATTGAAATATTTAATACATTTGCAATTAAACTAAGCATGAATATACTTGAAGTTCAATCAATCTTCTTAGTATTTGCTTTCTATTTGATTCATCTATTTATTGTATATTCCTATTTCTCTTCTTCTCTTGGCCTTTCTTTAGGTTAACTATCCTTTAGATTATTCCCTTTATCCCTCTATTAAGTTGTTATATATTTGTTACTATTCTTTAGTGGTTACCCAGTGATTAGAATGTGGATCCTTGATCTATTGTAGTCTAAAATGACAGAAAATCATGAATGTAATAATCACAATTTGAGTATCCCAAGGTCCTAGCTCTATGAGGGAACTGGGAAAAGGAATAGTTTGTACTAGATTTGTAGTAAGTCAAGGATGTGTGCAGTAACCATTAAAATGCTAAAAGGAAACACATACTGTCCTATAATTCCAAGTCCAGCAAAAGTAACTTCAAAGATGAAAGCAAAATAAAAATACCTCAGGTAAAATCAAGAGCTAACTTAATATCGGTATACCTGCACTAAACACCAAAGGGTGCTCTTTGGGCAGAAGAAAATGATCCAAGATTACAATATGGAAATGCAGGATAGAATGAACAGCCAAAGTTTCATATAAATGTAGAACTGAAATTCCTAAACACAATACTGCAAAACACGGGGTGGGGGGGTGGCGGGTGGGCACACCCCCACCACTTAAAACAGAGAATTTTAAGTTTCTCTGTTTATGGGGAAGTAGAATGCAAATAATTTAGCATTTTAGCTCTCCAGGTCATACAGCTTCAGAATTCAGCAAATGTCTTGAGCAGAGCAGTGCTTTCAGGAAAGGGTCAGATAGTAAACACTCGAGGCTTTGCAGGCCATGTGGTCTCTGCTGAAGTCCGCTGTTGCAGCATGGAAGCAGACACGGACAATCTGTAAATGCATTGACATGGCTGTGTTCCAGCATCACTGACTTGAAATGCCATGTTTGGTAGATCTGGTTTGGTGTATATATAGTGCTTATATCTGAGTGTGTCTATTTCTGGAATGCAAAACTGTGTCTTTGGACTATTTGTTTATATCTCAGTTATTATGGCTTAAAATTAATCTTTATATCTGTTAGATAAAATCCTCCGACTTGTTCCTCAAAATTGTCTGAGCTATTCTTAACTTTTTGCTCTACCGTGTGTATTTTAAGACCAGTTTTGCCAAGTTCCTAAAAAGCCCTGCAGGGCTTTTCAGGGGTAATGGAAGTCTTGGTTGGGGTGATGGTTACACCTGATCTAGATGTTTGTCAAAACTCATCATACTGCACACTTGAAAATGGGTACATTTGATTTAATGTAAGTTAAATCTTAATAAAATTGATTTTAGAAGAACAACCAACCTAACTAAACTTGTGGGGATTACTATTGGAAAGGCAATGACTGTATGTTTAATGTGTGGGAGGAACTGACATATTTTCCAATGGATTCAATCTAAGATATAGGGAGCACCTACTATATATGTTAGACAATTTTGCAGGTCCTGATGATAAATCTTCCTATTCTTGATCATGTATATATGTGTGTGAATATATATATGAGTGTGTGTGTATATATATATCTCTCTCTTTTTGTGTCTGTATATATATGTGTGTGTATGTATATATATGTGTGTGTATATATATATATACACACACACACACATATATATATAGAGAGAGAGAGAGACAGAGACAGAGACAGAGATGGAGTCTTGCTCTGTCACCCAGGCTGGAGTGCAGTGGTGCGATCTCGGCACACTGCAACCTCCACCTCCCGGGTTCAAGCAATTCTCCTGCCTCAGCCTCCCGAGTAGCTGGGATTACAGGTGCACGGCACCACACCCAGCTAATTTTTCTATTTTTAGTAGAGATGGGGTTTCACCACATTGGCTAGGCTGGTCTTGAACTCCTGACCTTGTGATCTGCCCACCTCAGCCTCCCAAAGTGCTGGTATTTTATAATTTAAATAGTTTTCTTATTTTCTTTGTGATGAACTTGCATGTATTTGGTTAGATTTACTCTTAGCCTAGGTTTTGTTGCTATTAATGACTGAAGCCTTCTTAGAATGTAAATGTCTAATTAGTTACTATTGGTGCTTAGAAATGCTATTGATTGTTGAGTGAATTTCCTTTTGAAGTATCTATTTCTCAGGGCTTCGTTTCCTGCCGTGGTAAAATATGCGAGTTGGATTGTTTGAACTGTAAGGTCCCTTTCAGCGACACGATCCTATTTTTTTCTTATCTTGGGGCCCACTAAAACCTTCAAGAATGTCAAGGACACTTTTAAAATGACATCATCAAAGGCCTTTCTATTTATGTTTAAAGCACGCCCAGTTCCAGTCTGGGTCACATTAGGGCAATTTCCTTTGCAATTTATTCCTATTGTCTGAGAAGGCATCATCTGCAGAGATTTTGCTTTTAAAAAGGAAAACAAAACACACTTTATTTTCTTCTCAGAAAATGCAAAATGTACTGATGTAAAATATCTGTAAGATACAGAAATGTATCACAGGAAAATTAAAATCCTCCTGCAATCCAATCTCATGGAGATAGCCACGCGAATCAACTCAGTATCCACTTCTCCCCACGTTTTTATTGCTTACCCTGTTTATGCATATTTCAACAGTCAATATGCATTTGTTGATTTATTATCTTGAAAGGCAAATTTTGGTCTCATTTCACAACATAGAGTGAATCTGTGAGTTTAAATATGTCCCTGTACTTCAGTCCTGTATGGTGATCTGCAAAGATCCTAAGTAAATATCCAGCCAATATTATCAACTTATCAAGGCCTTTCTCAAATTATTATTTTCCAAGGATGAGAGGTTTGGTGAGATTATTTCTAAGGTACCTTTAGATGTGGAGAATCTGTTCTGAGATGCTGGGCCTTGGGTGGACCCCAGGTCTTCCTAGACATAGCGCAACCTCTATGCTGAACTGCTTCCAGCAGAGAATGGGATAGGGGAGGCTGGAGAGTCAGCAGCTCTGATTGCATGATGGCAATCTCAGGTCTGCTTGGCTCTACATCGTTTTTCAGACAGCGCCCCATGCATTGTAGATGTTTTCATATGATGGCTTTCATTATTATTTTCTTCCATCAGATAGGGCTTCCACCTCATTGTGACCCTTGCTTGAAGCCTCAAGTGGCTTCCCATTGGCTTAGGATGAAGCAGACATCTTTCCAGGGTCCAGCACTTGACTCTCCAGCCTCCTCCATCCCTGGCTCTTGCTTAGCCTCACTGGCCTTCCTTCAGTCCCTTGCATGTACCATGGCCTACACAATGCAGGGCTTCTGAGCTTGTAGTTTCTCTCCCTTAAAGACTTTCCTCTTGTACTTCTTTCCATCTTTAACTCATGTCAAGCCTTCAGACTTCAGCTCAAGTGTCATTTCCCCAGCTTGCAGTTTGGTATCTATCTTACTGAACAGATGTACCCTTTGATTTCCGAACTCTGCTAGATTCAGCCATCCCTCCCATCCCATCCACCATCGGCCTCAGTCCGGGTCCTCATTTCTGTTGTTACCTGCTGACGCATGCCCTGATGCCTTCCTAAATGTTACCCCCTTCTAGAATCCTCATGAATTCTTTGGCCTTTTCTGGACTGGAATGCTCTGTCTCTGGTACAATCATGTGCCTGTCACTGGGTGCCTTAGTGATACGTTAAGGCTGGGGAGACGCTTGGTGGCAATCTCAGGTCTGCTTGACACTACATCGTTTTTCAGGCAGCGCCTCATGCATCATACATGTTTTCATATGATGACTTTAACTTTTTTTTTCATCAGATAGGGCTGCCACCTCTTATAGGCAGGGTTAGGGGTCAGCCCTGGACTCTTCAGTTAATTCTTTATAGCCTCCCACAATATGACACATCATCTAAAAGCCAGGTGATCCCTGACATTGGCATTTGGGATTTGCCACTGGTTCCTGCTGTTGAGAGAGAGGCCCAAGGTAAGGCAGAATAGCCAACCTGGGTTTGCCCAGAAGTTGGCAGATCATGGAATCATTTTTATATTTTCTATTGACTTTGGAGAAAGCCTATAGTCTACACACACTTCTGGAGTTTAAAATACAAATCTAATTGATTTCAGGGCCAGAGCAAGAGATTATATGTTATACATTGCCAAGCCTTTGCGGTATTTTTAGATCCATGTCTGTCTTGCAATGGCAAGAGCTGAGGTCCAGGAGACAGGGAGTTGAGGGCAGGGAGCTTCTACTGGGAGGCAGCTCAGCATAGGGGGCTGAGCTGTGTCTAGGAAGGCCTGGGGTCCACCCCAGGTCTTCCATCTCAGAACAGATTCTCCAAATCTAAAGCTTCCTTAGAAACCATCTTGCCAATCCTCTCATCCTTTCCAAACAATAATTTGAGAAGCGGCTTGATAACGTTGGCTGGATATTTACTTAGGATCTTTGCAGATCACCATGCTGAACTGGAAGTCTAGGGAAGTATTTAAACACACAGATTGGAAGGTAAAAATGCTACATTAAATCTTGCCCCTGCCCCCTGACTGTGTGACCTTAAGCATGTAACATACCTTTTCTAAGTTTGTTTCCTGATTTGAAAAATGACAGGAATAATAGTGGCTTCCTCATAGGGTGTTGTGAGGATAAAATAAGCCAAGTGAATATGAAGCATTTTTTACAGGGCCTCCTGCATAGTGAGAGCAAGCTGAATGTTAGTACTTCTATTTTTCAAAATTTAAGAAACTCGCCTCAATGCCCAATTGTCCTGCTCAGTGGTTTTCAGGTGTCCTGCCTAGAGGAGCTGCAGAGGTCCACCAGTGAAGGCAGAGGAACCTGCAGTGTTTCCTGCAGGAAGTGAGAGCAAATGGTGTCACAATAACCAGAGGACACCCACACCCAGGGTCAGTCTCACTCCAGAGGCAGGTAGTGTGATCCTCTGAGCCCTGGAGGAGCCCCTTGTGGAATTCTCAAGTAAAGTCTGAATGGATAATTTAAATGTTGGATTTTGCATATATCGGGTCAACAGGGAAACAACTCTGTACACTTAGAAGGGCAGATGTTTGCAGGGCATCAGATGTTTGCAGGGCATTCGAGCTGGAAAGACTCTTGAGCAACATCTAGTTCAATCCATTGATGCTACTGAGCACAGAGAGGGAAAGTAATTTCCCTAAGAGTGCACAGTAAGATACAGAAGAGCCAAGAGCAAAGTATACATCTCTTGACTCCAAATCTGGTTTCCCTAGCATGATTCTTCATAGCTTTGGTTTTCTTGCTCAGATAATTCATGCCACGATTCTTTGGCAAATTGAATAATCCTAAAGACAATGTAAGGTTTTAAATGAGAATATCTAGGTCCTAGTATTGGATCTATTGTCAGGAGCTGTGTGGCTTTGGATGGGGGTGTTAGCAAAGTATATTGGAGGGAGCACTGGATAAGAAGTCAGAGGACCTGGCTTCTAATCTTCATTGTGCCCTACACACTGGGTGACTTCTGGCAAGCTGCCTTGCCTCTCTGATCTTGAGTATTTTTATGAAATGAGGGAACTTAGTTAGCTCTGACTATTCAAAGATCTCTCCAACTTTCTTAGCATTTAAAAAGCTCTATCGATATAGCATGTGCCTGGAGTGGAATAATCAATTTTAAGTGTGCAATTCTATGAGTTTTGATAAAGGTACATACCCATGAAACAAGTGAAGACACAGAAAATATTTATCACACCAGAAAATTCCCTTATTTTGCCATCTAGCGAATGCCCATCTCCTGTAGGCAAATGGTGTTATGATTTCTATCATCACAGACTTATGTTGCTGATTTTGAACTTCATATGAATGGAATAGTACCACAGACACTCTTCTTGTGTGTCTGGCTTCTCATTGAGCACATTACCTGTGGCATTGATTCATATTGTTTTATATATATATGTAATATATATATGTTATATGTTATATATATGACATATATGTCATATATATGTCAATCAGTAGGTGATTACATTTTGTTGCTGAATAGTTTTCCATTGTAGGAATATATTACAATATGTTTCTCTTTATTGAATATTCTGGTTGTCTCTAATTATTGGCTTTAATGAATTAAGCTTCTATAACTACTCTTATACAGTTACTTTTTGTGAACATACTATTTCATTTCTTTAGGTTCTAGAAGTAGAACTGCTGAATCATATGGTAGCTATGCATAATTTTATAAGAAACTGACAGTTTTCCACAGTAGGTAAACCATTTATATTTTAACCAGCAATATATGTGCCACATACTCACTTATATTTGGTGATATCAGTTATTAAATTGTAACCATTCTAGTGAGTAGGAAAACATATCACTCGTGATTTTAATTCACATTTTAATGATAACTAATGATGTTGGACATTTTCATGTGCTTGCCTGCCTCTTTTACCTCTTCTTTTTTGAGGTGTCTCTTTCAGTTGTTTGCCCATTTTTAAATGTGGTTTTTTGTTTTATTGATTTGAAAGAGTTCTTTATATATTTTGGATACAAGTCCTATGCGCATTTTGAATACTTTTTAAAAATCTGTTATTGATTTTCATTATATTAGCACTGTATTTGATGAGGTAAAACTTTTAATTCTAATGAAATCCAAATTAAATCTAATCCAATTGATTTTTTAAAATTTTTGATTTCATATATCATATTCAAAATATTTTCTTATCTCAAGTTTATAAGATTTCTTCTATATATTCTTCTAGAACCTTTATAATTTTAGCTTATGTTTATGTCTACAATCCGTCTTAAAATAATGTATCCGTATAGCAGGAGGAAAGGAGTTGATACTTTTTTCTTATATTTATCCCATTCTTCCTGCCCTATACGTTGAAAAAGTATTTATTTCCTCATTGGAGTATCAAATAACATGTTATATGTGACTTGACTTATTCCATTGTTCCTTCATTCATCCATGTATCTATTTTTTTCTTTTTTCTTTTTTTTTTTTTTTTGAGACGGAGTCTCATTCTGTTGCCCAGGCTGGAGTGCAGTGGTACAATCCCGCCTCACTGCAACCTCCCCACCCCAGGCTCAAGCAATTCTCCTGCCTCAGCCTCCCGAGTAGCTGGAACTACAGACGTGCACCACCATGCCTGGCTTATTTTTGTATCTTTAGTAGAGATGGGGTTTCACCATGTTGGCCAGGCTGATCTCGAACTCCTTACCTCAGGTGATCCGCCCACCTTGGCCTCGCAAAGTGCTGGGATTGCAGGCATAAGCCACCATACCTGGCCCATGTGTCTATTGTTATATCAATTCCACACTTTCTTGAATACTGTAGCTTTATATTTAATTTTGTTATTAGATAGTTTGAGTACTCCAGCTTTTTCTTAAGATTTTTTTCCCTATTTTGAGTCTTTTGCAGTCACATATAATTTTAGAAACAATTTAGCTCATCTTAACAACAATCTTAAAATTAGTAGCCCTAAATATTAATAACAAGTATTCAATTGAAATGTTACTATGTGCTGGGCAGTACACTCAACACTTCAGATACATTATCACATTTAATCTTTAATATGATCCTTTGAAATAGGTAATATTATTGGTAGGATTTTACAGGTGAGAAAATTGAAAGTTAAAATAACTTTCAAATTTTAAAACCATTTATCTTTCTCCAAATCCAATGTTCTTAACTCCTATTCACAAACTCATCTAAAACCTTCAACCTTTTCCATTATTTACTATTTTAACAAGGACTTGATTTTATTAATCTCATGTAAATGGAGTATCACAGCCATCAGGGACAGAGGAAAAGTCAATGAAATTAAACACCTCTGAGGATCTTGAAAAAGGTGACAATAAACAAATAGGTATCAGCAGTAGTAATTAGCACACTCATTGCTGAAGAAAAGTCAATGATGATAGTTTGTGAATCTCACTGTGAAGATAAAACATGTTCTTTTTCTCTCATAATTTGCACAGCAAGCCTGTTTCCACATTGCTTTCATTTTTATAAACTTCGAGCCTACATTTAGAATTAATCTTAATTCTAAATCATGGAGAAAGCTTTGGTGATAGTTTTATGTAAGTTAGTGAAGGGCTTATAGAATAAATAGTGGCAGAAAAATAGAGTTCTTAAACATGATTTTAAATTCAACTGATATGTAAAAATCTGGGATCTTTTTGACACTAAACTTTTAGCTTTGCCTAGGCCTCTGTTCTTTCCAGAGTGAAATATGATTAAAGATTTTGTAGAACCAAGTATTAGCACCATAGCGTATTTTCTAATGAGTTATTTTGTAGGGTAGATTTCATTTTCCATTAGCTCTGTGGGGTATTTAGAGGACACACACTGTTTTGAAACAGCTCATATACTTGCAAGCCATGGAAATACCTCATTACAGACTGCAATAAGGAAGGGAAACCTATTTCCAAATGCATACCTGCTAGACACAGAGTTTGGAAATATGCTGTTGAAAACCAAGATCTCTCCTCTAAAATACATCTGAGAAGCCAAGAGGCAGATACTTGAATCTCACCACATTGGTCTGAACTTCTACTTTGGGTGAGCTCTCATTGTGAAAAGATTCTCTCGTCCATTCATCATACAATATGATATTTCTTATTCTGCCCCTTTGGATGAAAATGATAAAGACGACTACCCTTCTACGTGGGTGGCCTTCTCCTTCACCAAAGAGCATGATCAGGCTTCCCAAGATGTTCGTGTAGCCCCTTGCTATACACCATGGCCTTTTTCACTGGGCATTTCATTTCCTACTCACAAAAACCCTGTGGGGTGCATAGGTGGTGTCACAATCCTCCCCATTGTACTGATGGAAGAGGGTGTTTTGGGTTGCAGAAACATGTTTGAGAAAAATTCTGGGCTAAAATATAAATTTGCAAGTAAGTAGGGCGTAGATGTTACTAGAGTGCGGGGAACCACTGGTGTCTACAGACCAAGGGTTTAGAACTCCCTGTGATGGTGATCTGCAGTTTCATATGTGCATTTATGGCCTTTCTTGGTGAGGGGATCAATAATTTCCATCAGATCCTCAACGGAGGACCCATGAACCAGAAATAGGAGAGAAGAGTGCAAAACTTGGAAGTTGAGGGGCACAGCATTGAAGGGTCAGGCGGAGCAAGGATAGCTTATGAGGGAAGCTGAAGTTTGACCCAAGAGGTATTTATTAAAATGATTTTTTTTTGTAAATATGAGCAAGGAAATGGGCAAGCATTCCTGCTCCTCCCAGCTCCAACATCCTCTTTGTCTAATCCTAGATTTCCTGACATCAGGCTCCTCTCTCTTGACCCTTATTATTTCCTCTTCCCTCCCCTAAACAGCTCAGGTGTTGGTGGTACTAAAAGCCCAGACTTCGTCACTACTTAATATATCCATGTAACAAAACTGCACTTGTACTCCTTAAATGTAAACACACTTAAAAAAAGAAAAGGCAAATATAAGCATACTTTCCTTTTCTTTAAAAAAAAAAAAAGTTGCCTCTAATAAATAACCCCAAAGGGAACACATCTCACCACCCTTGGTGGGAACTTTCCAACCATGCCCGTACTGTGCTGGCCGCTGATCTCTGCCACCAGCCTCTTCTTCATCAGCTGAGTGGGAGACTGGAGTCAACTCCATTATCTTTCATCTTCACCTTGCATGGCCTGGCAGACATGTGTTCAAGGAAAGGGAACAGGATTCTGAAGCAGCACTTCATTCAGACTCCAGCTTCAATATTGGCAGGTGCACCTGAGGGGGAACCTGAACCCGTGAGGTTGCATCTTCACCTGTCTAATGTTGGCACTGTCTGCAGCAGCTGGGTGAGTTGTTTAGAATTTAGAGCCCAGAGGCTTCAGGAATCAGAAGTCAGATGCTTTCCCCTCTTTCCTTTTCTGTAAGGTCAGAAATTGGACTAGATGTTTTCTAAGATTGCTTCTCGCTCTTAGATGCTATCTATTTTAGCCAAGCCATCTTTGAGATTAAAAAAACAGAGAGGATGAACAATTTTTCCAAGATCACACAGCAAGTTAGTAGAAAAGTCTGTATGGGAACTCAGATATATTAATGGTAAGAACTGACTTTTGCAGAGAGAGACACTAAGCAATTAGCTTGGAAAGTTGAGTTTTCAAACCAGCTGAAGCACTTCCATGCATGTCCTCACCTCCTCAGAGTGCAGTTACCTTTACTATGAGAGAAAAAAAGGCAATTACCATAGCAGATGATCCCCCTATCTCAGCAACTTACTGAAAAGCTTCTGGTCCACAAATTATCTTTTTCAACAAGATGAGACCCTCAGTGAACTTTCATGATTGGAGGGTCCCTTATTCAGATGCGACTGTCTTTAAGGTAGTTTCTTCCTGCCCACCTGCCACACCACTCTAATTCATTTAGTAAAGGGAACTTACATCTGCCAGGGACGATGTATGAACCATCCAGAGCTAATAATTTATCTTTTTTTAAATTTTGAGATGGAGTCTCACTCTGTCACCTAGCCTCCCATGTTCAAGCGATTATCCTGCCTCAGCCTCCACAGTAGCTGAGGCTACAGGTGTGTACCACCACACCTGGCTAATTTTTGTATTTTTTTTAAGTAGAGACAGGGTTTCACCATAGTGGCCTTGCTGGTCTCGAACTCCTGACCTCAAATGATCTACCCTTCTCAGCCTACCAAAGTGCTGGGATTACAGGCATGAGCCACTGCACCCAGGCCAGAGCTAATCATTTATCTTAAAGGAAGGCACAGATGTTGACTGAGTGGGTTAACTGTGGGATTCCCCTCTCATTGCCTCATTTTGTCTTCACAGAAGCCCCCAGGGATGCTATTTAAAATGCAATAACTACCTGTATGAAACACACAAACCAATCAGAATGGATGCCAGCCTTAAACAATCATTGGACTTTACCAAAGGGAAGAAGACAAATATCAGGCCTCCTTATGCCCATCTGAAAGACGAGGAAATGGGGTCAGAGAGTTTTCTTGGCAAGGGGATCAACAATTTCAACAGATTTTCAAAGGGGAGATCCATGACTCCAAAAATAGGAGAGAAGAGAGCAAAGGTTGCCAACACACCATGGGGAGGCAGAGGGCAAACTGAAACTCAGGTCTACCTGAACTGAGCCTGCGTTCTCAGCATGACCACACCTGCCTCTCTGAGAGCAGAGAAGGTTGCATGTTTTTTTTTGCCAGGCCAATACTTTCTGAAGGGTTTGGGGCTGGGAAATTTGCTAATGAGCTTACTTTTTAGCTGCTGTTCAATTTCTCAGCTAGATACTATCTCATCTCAGGTGCCTGAGGACATTTCCCCAAGTGCCAGCTTCAGAGTAAAGGAGATAGGGAAGCAGCAGACCCCGCTGCTAAGCTATTTTCCAAGCTGGCTTCTAAGAGCCTTTGCCATTGCTCCTTCACCTTTAGGGGAGAGAGAGCCCTTCTGCAGGTCTCCTCTGAGGCTGACATGGCCTTAAAGTGAGCGGCTGGGCTGAGGGTCCACCAGGGAGCTCCCATGTTCTGAGTAGATAGGATTCCAGATTGCATGTCCCTACATATCACTCTCCCTGGAATAGTGACCAGGAGTGAGATGAGCAGGGCCTCCTGTGCATACTGATGTAATAAGTATACCATACCCTCTACCCTATACAGAGACAGCACTTTACAGCATGCAGAGCACTTCACAAGCTCCTCATAATGCTGTGACTCCCATGGTGACACCAGGGCATCATTATGGGCTCAGTTCCCACATGGGTGAAACCAAAGCCCAGGGAGACCGATGGACTTATCCAGTTTCACAAAGGAAGTAAGACCACACTTGGAACTTTACAGCTCCAGATAGCATTATTTACAAAAGAATAGGGACGGCCTGGAGTTTGACTGGAGGAAGGAAACTAGGGTTATGGTGGATGGGTGAGCATATTCAGTTGATTCATTTGTTCATTACCCACCAAAGCCCTTCTCCTGGGGTTCGATACCAGTGTGTTGGGGTGAGAGGAGGACCACGCATACATAGACATATACATAGTTAGATGTCAGGCAGAAATAAGTTCTGTGATGGAGAATTGGCTGTGTGGAGAGTAGGGGAGGGAGAGTACAGCCTCTGCGAGGTGGTCAGGCAGCCCCTCTGAGGAGGTGACATTTGAGCAGGGGTCTGAGTGTGGACAGCATGGCAGGGAGGACAGAAGCCATGTGGGCCCTGAATGCTGGCTGTGCAGATTCCTGGAGCAACGGGAGCCCAGAGAGGCTGGATGAGAGTGAGGAGGGAGCAGTGGAGGGGATGGTGTCAGAGTCCGCTGGAGCAGGTCACTTGCAGACTGGTAGGCCAAGGCAGGGACTTTGGAATCTGTTCTGGGCCACTGAGAAAACTTGGTTGGTTTTAAGCAAACATGGATAATTTGGAGGCACCGGAGTTGAGGAGCTGGACATAATGGAGTGTCTCAGCTCAGTGATTGCTGCTGCATATACCTGATGCTCATTTACCAGACAGGGACGGGGCATTCTTTTAGGCCCAAGCAGCAGATAGAGGAGAAAGGCAGGAAAGCCACAGGGAAGCAGAATGTTCCTCTCTCTGTTGAACCCAAATCTAATAGTCAGACTTGTCAAAGTTCAAATGGGTGACTTCAGGAATCACTCACAAGCTGCTGCCCATCGGGGATGTTCCGGCGGAGACCAGATGGCCCCTGCTAACCACCTAACAGAAGTAGTAGGGCGTTTCTGAATTGAATGGGCAGTCAGGTAGAACAGTATTACATTTCTGGCCCTATCCATGGATATTTCAATAGAGTTCTCCATTCAAAATCCCTAAACCACATTCTTGGGATGCATGGGTTGAGTATTTTCCTTTGTCTTGTATTTCCAAACACATGGCTGACAGTCCTAACTGCCTGCTGCTAAAACAAAAGGTAACTTATTAATCAGACAAAGCAGGAAAAATCCACATTACATGCACTCTAAAAATTGCAAATCAACTGTCTTGACCTCTACTGGCATTTCCTATCTGCCACTGTTTAGAAATCACTCATTAACCGTAGCCATCTGCCAATCAAAGCATAGATGGATGAGGTCAGCCTCTTGGTGGCACACTGATTTCATTGTGCCTTTCCAAGGGATAAAGGCCACCATCTGTCCTGAGTGGGGTTGTTATTAATTCTGAGCGTGTGTTTGCCTTTTGCCCTCAGGGCCTCAGCCAGCATCACTGCCCTAGAACTCCCATGGCATCCGGAGTCATGATATAGAACCCTGCAGCACTGCTTCAGGCCAAGGGTCCACTGTGCAGTAAGGAGACAGAGCAGTGGGTAAATGGCTCATAGAATTTACTGGCCCTGTTAAGTGCCATGCCATCTAGAAATGGCCTACCTCATAGAGCCCTCCAGTGACCTTAAGATATATTGGAGGCACCAGCTTAGAAATGGGCACCTTTAACCCAACCCAACAGCCATGATATGATACTGCACCTCCAATACGTAGAATCCATGGGTCAGGGAACCTAGGGGTGGAGGTAGGAGTGGTTCTGCTCACTATCACTCCTCATGACCCATCTGGTAAAAATGTCTTACTGTTCCTGAAAATTTAGGCTCTATGGGTCTAGAGGTCCTGGTTCCCAGAAAGCAAAATCTTCCACCAGGGGATGCAATAAGAGTCCCACTCAGAGCTGTGGCTTCTGCTTGGTCACATCAGAGTCCCGTGCCATTGATTAGTTAGAGGACAGGTATGATTGATGCTGACATTATGAGATGCGATTGATGCTGTCACCACATAGTTAAGGCAAGGAGGAATATGTTAAGAACTCTGGTAATCGATTGGAGAATCTCTTGGTATTCTCATGCCCAATTTTAACTCTGCAGTTGAGGTAGGAGGCCAGCAGGACTGCTCTCCAGACCAGAAGGCTGGCCAAAACTGGGAAGAGGTGCCAAAAGCACCCCCATTGGTCTTGCTGCTGAAGACACTCCCGCCAGCATCATGACCATTTACCAACGCCATGGCAACACCCAGAAGTTACTAGCTTGTGCCACAGCAACATCTATACGGTACCACCTATTTTCCAGCTATTTCTTAATAACTCCTCCCTTAATTAGCATGTCATTAAAAGTGGGTATAAATATGACTGCAAATTGCCCATACACTGCTAGTCTCCACACACTGCCTATGGGGCAGCTCTGCTCTGCCAGGAGCAGTCACACAGCTATAACACTGCTGCTGCCTCAACAAATTGCCTTCCTCCACCACAGACTTGCTCTTGAATTCTTTCCTGAGCAAAGCCAAGAACCTGCCCTGCATCATGGTAACCATGGCTTTAAAAGGGCAGGCTAACTAGGAACTCAGTGTGTGCAGGGTGAGGCTCTGGATCACTCCACCAGGGCAGCCATGTAGACCAGAACAAGCACTAACAGGGGGAGAGAAGAATCTAGAGAACATAGCAGAGGAGGGAGAGCATGAAAACTCTTTATGGCCTTGGGATCAACTCCATCCTTAAGGGCTTTGCTTGTCCCATTAAACTTCCTGGTTAAACTTTACCCAGAAATTGTAAGCCATCAGAACTCTGGAGAAGTTGTTACAACCTTGAGTGGGCCTGATGTAGGAAGAAAGTGGACATGAGTGGTGCTAGGAGTGGACTGGGGTAGATGCTTTGAAGCCTCCTCTCATCCCCTGCCCACACAGCCACCTCCATCTGCCACGACGGTTATCTGCTCACAGCTCAAGGGACACATTCTCTAGCAAATTTCTCTTGGTCTGTGGGCTTTTTTTTGCCCAGATATACCATGCCAGATACACCTTCCCCTGAGGATGTCCATAAGCCAGTGACTGGCTGCTGCAGGGGTGAATTCACGATGCTCTTGCCTCAAGGTGGGACAGGCCACCAGTGCTACCTGCAGTGTCTGGTTGAGGCTGGACTGCCATTGAATTGTTGAATTCATGTCTTTGCTTTCCTGCCCTGTGCTGCTTCCCTCGCTTCCTTACAGTTTCTTACATGAACCGTTGCTGCAGCTCTGTCTGTCATCCTGTTGTGCTGACTAAATCGCCCCAGCTTTCCCTCGAGACTGGTAACCAGGGCCCAGGGGGTGAGGAGAGGAGAGAGACTGAGGCTGCAAAGCCCTCTCTTACCACTTCAGGGTGCTGCCATATTTGCACACAGATTATCAGAGTGGATGATACTGGTAGTTGGTACTGGTCCATGGCCTATTAGGAACCGGGCTGCGCAGCAGGAGGTGAGCAGCTGCTGGGCAAGCGAAGCTTCATCTGTATTTACAGTCGCTCGCCATCACTCATGTTACCACCTGAGCTCTGCCTCCTGTCAGATTAGTGCTGGCGCTAGATTCTTATAGGAGCGCAAACTCTATTGTGAACTGGGCACGCGAAGGATCTACACTAGGAAGCTCTATTTCTTTTAGACAAGGGAAATTGTGCAACCCGAATTTATTGCCCTTTATATTCAGCTGACAGAAAACATATAACCAAAGACCACATGGCCATCTCTTACTACAGCTGTCCCCAACCTTTTTGGCACCAGGGACTGGTTTTGTGGAAGACAATTTTTCCGTGGATGGGAGGCAGGGGATATAGTTTCACGATGATTCAAGTGCATTACATTTATCATGTACTTTATGTCTGTTATGATTACATTGTAATATATAATGAAAGAATTATACAACTCACCATAATGTAGAATCAGTGGGAGCCCTGAGCTTGTTTTCCTGCAACTAGGTGGTCCCATCTGGGGGTGATGGGAGAGAGTGACAGATCACCAGGCATTAGATTCTGATAAGGAGTGCATAACTAGAGTACCTATAGAAGGCTGGAAATTCCATGGTTATAATTACTAAGGTCTTCTCCTATTTAAGTGTTTAACCAATTGAGAAGAGAAATAAGAGGGTAATGACAATTGGAGTGGAGAATTGGTGTCGTTGCTGGCTTGGCAGGAGCAATAACACCCAACTATGGTGTTCCTTGTTTTTGGTGTTGGACGGCACAGCTAAAGCTGGAGGCTAAAAGTGAGTCTTGTTACTTACCCCAAAGCTAGACCTTAGGCCCTTTCCCTGGGGAGAGCTGACACCACTCCCACTCCCTGCTGTCTACGTGGCACTTTCCAGAATACCCAGCAGAAACACAAGAGAGAAGGCCAGAGTCAAGCGTCTGTGCCTCAGAACGCTGCGGCCACATCCCTGGCTAATGTGTCTTAATGTCAAGGTCCATCTAGTTTACTGATGATGTGAGTTACTCCTCCTCCTATGGGGAGGGGTGGGAAGAGAAACTAAAGTTATTCCCTGCAATGGTGTCTCTCCCAGGGAAATGCCATTTCCTTATGGAAGTGAGCCAAGTCGTTGGATGATGGCTTCCCCTACCATGGCACCCGACTCAAGTGAGTTGCTCTGGAGCAGTCACGATGAGACTAAGTGACTAGGATTATGAATAATGTCTTCAATTTTGTTTCTATTAAGAAATACTACTGAAAAGTGTAATTTCATCTTGACCCTCTATAAGAACTGAAAGTGATACAGCAGCGAACTATAACATCCTTAAGTTACTTCTGCAGGACTCTCAGATGACATGAGGCAGAGAATGGCTTCTGTGGATCTGACCTAATGTAGTCCCTGACTTTTCTTGGAGGTCATGATGACCCTGCTGCAGGCCACTTGTCCCTGTGATTGAAGCTCCTCCCAAACCATTCTCCTTTGGCTCTTTGACTCAGCGCAGAGGAAAGTTCATAACCTTTTCCTCCCTTCTCCTCCGTGACTTTGCATATGCTGTTTGTCCCACCTGGGATGACTCTCCTCCAATTTTCCCAAAGTGAATGTCCTCTCATATTCCAGGACTCAACCCAATAACCCAATCATCCCTTCTTTCCTGAAGGCTTCCAAGAGTTGGAAGCTGTCGTAGGCTGAATAATGGCCTCCAAAGATCCAGATTCCAAGCCCTGGAACTGGTGAGTGTTACCTTACATGGCAAAGAGACTACAGATGTGGTGAAAGATTTTGAGATGGGGAGATTAGGCGAGCCCTAAATACAATGAAAACTGTCTTTATAAAAGGCAGGCAAAGGGAGATTTGACATAGATGGAAGTAGAGATGTGGCCACTGAAGCAACACGCTATGCTGCTGGATTTGCAGATGGGGGAAGGAGCCTGGAGTCAAGGATGCAGTTCTAGGAGCTGCAAAAGGCAAGTTAACGGATTCTATCCTACAGCATCCAAAGGGTGTGGCCCATCCTCAAACCTTGGCTCTAGCCCATAAGACTGAGTTCACACTGCTGACCTGCAGAATTCTAAGAGAGTGAATGTGTGTTGTTTGAAGCCACCAAGTTCGTGGTGATTTTTCACGGCAGCCACAGGAAACCAATACAGAAGCATTCTTCTCTGAACTTTCAAAAGATGTGTTTTTTTTTCTATTTCTTGCTTACCATAGTTTGAATCAAAAGCACTGTCAGTATCATGTATTGAGTCCATGCTACATGCCAGGCAAAGAGCAGAACACTGTAATCTTATGGTGTTGTCTTATTGCATCTTCACACCAATCCTGAGAGGGAGATAGTGTCAATTTCATTTGCAGGCGAGACAGTCAACTATCATAGCTGCTGCCGAGGGTGCCACAGTCAGTCCATGACAGAATACAGCTTCTCAGCTGATGTGCTTAGCCCCAGAGACCTGCTGCTGGCCCACATACCCTACTGTTCATCTGGCGCCCCTGCATCATGCTCCCCACAGCCTGGGATCTCCTCGAAGGCAGGAAACATATCTTTTCCAGCTGGGCATCCCCAGATCCAATCCACACTGGGAAGAATAAATCAACAATCTTTATTGGTTCAGGCTGAGCTGAAGGAACCCGAGGCTCCAATTAGGAACGCCTCATGGAGGGCCTTATTGTTTTGCGCCTTCTGAGGCCGCACGTCAACAGCTCACCGCACTCGAGGGTGGAATTTGTCTCCGAGGGGTACAGCATCTGGGGAGAGGCTCAGATAAAATTGTCAGGAAGGTAATTTGGCAAAGCCATCCAGTGATGACACAGAGTGCCCTAGGGCAAGCCCCACCCTATGTACGTCTCTGCCTGTGTCAGAGCGAGCAGCACTTTCCCAAGCCGCCTCCTGGCACACTGTGTGAACGCCATTGCAATGCTTAGGGAACCATGCCAGTCCAAATAATTTCTTTATGGTTTTCCCAATACTCTTGGAGCCCTGAATTCATTCATTCTCTCATCCATCCGTCCATCCATCCATCCATTCATCACATTAACTGAGCACAAATTTTATGTCAGGCACTGGTCTAAGCACTGAGGCGACACCAGTGAACAGAAAAGACAATTCTTGTGCACATGTAGCTAATATTAGGAGGTGGGGGGAGATAGCCAATAGAAACATAAAACATATGTAGTATTTTGACTATGCAATAATAAGCAATGATTGGAATGAAAATGATAAGTGCAAAAGAAGAAGTAATGTGGGATATGGGCTCCTGGGAATGCAGGGAAGAGGCACACCATTTTCAAGTGTGCTCAGGGGCCGGGCGCAGTGGCTCGTGCCTGGAATCCCAGCACTTTGGGAGGCCAAGGCAGGCAGGGAAACGAGGTCAGGAGATCAAGACCATCCTGGTCAACATAGTGAAACCCTGTCTCTACTAAAAATACAGAAAAATTAGCCGGGCGTGGTGGCGGGTGCCCGTAGTCCCAGCTACTTTGGAAACTGAGGCAGGAGAATGGTGTGAACCCGGGAGGCAGAGCTTGCAGTGAGCCGAGATCGCGCCATTGCACTCCAGCCTGAGTGACAGAGTGAGATTCTGTCTCAAATAAATAAATAAATAAATTATAAATAAATAAATAAAGTGTGCCC
Source organism: Homo sapiens (assembly GCF_000001405.40). Taxonomy (NCBI): domain Eukaryota; kingdom Metazoa; phylum Chordata; class Mammalia; order Primates; family Hominidae; genus Homo; species Homo sapiens. Next base: position 139,370,672 of record NC_000008.11, on the reverse strand, counting down.
AGGGTAGGTCTTTTGAGACAGTAACCCATAGCGAATATGTGACTGAGAAGAGAGTTGCCCCTGCAGACATCTGGAGGTGAACCTTCCAGGCACAGGGGCCAGTGAGTGCATAGCCCTGCTATGGGACAGTGTGTGAGGTGTTTTAGGCCAAATATGTCACAGGGAAGTGGCCACGGGAATGAGAAAAGGGGCAGCAGTAGGAGATGAATCAGAGAGAAAGCACAGCGTGTTCCAGAGATGAATCAGAGAGCACAGGGCTTTCCAGACCCTTACATGGACAAGGGATTTGAATCCAAGAGAAAGCTTGAATTAAAGGAAGCTTGAAAGATTTTAATCCAACAGAAAGATTTTTTTTTTTTTTGAGACAGATTCTTGTTCCATCACCCAGGCTGGAGTACAATGGCATGATCTTGGCTCACTGCAACCTCCGCCTCCCACGTTCAAGTGATTCTCTTGCCTCAGTCTCCCCAGTAGCTGGATTACAGGCGTGCACCACGATGCCTGGCTCATTTTTTTGTATTTTTAGTAGAGACGGGTTTTCGCCATGTTGGCCAGGCTGGTCTTGAACTCCTGACCTCAAGTAATCCACCTGCCTAGGCCTCCCAAAGTGCTGAGATTACTGGCATGAGCCACCACATCCAGCTAAGAAAGAGATTTTAATCCAAGAGAAAGCTTAGCAGTCAGCGTTCTTAACAGAGAAGTGACCTGTTTTTAGAGGCAATCATGTGACTCGGGAACTAGCAGGAATTCAGCTTCAGGAGTGCCCTGGCAGAAAGTCTCCATGAATGCATGTAAGGTCTAATGTCCCTCCTTGGGCCCCCATTCCCCTGGGTCAGTGTACCACATGGCCACTCCATGCTGTACCTCTGCCTTTGCCTGTCACCCTGCAAGCCTGACAGGTGGCCCTTTGAAGGGGGCCTTATGCACCTCCATGCCCCAGGATGGCCATGATGCTCAGAATACAGTAGGTCCTTGGCACACGGCAGGTCCTCAGGAAAGTGGCAGTCAGTGAAAGCAGAGTGAAGAACTATTAGCAGTGACCTTGGACTCCAGGACAGAGGAAGCATTCTCATGAAAGATGAAGAAGAAACGGAGAAAGAAGGGGCCTTTCTAAGAGGAGAAATCCTCATCTTCATGCAAGGGCTGTGGCTTCATCTCACCCCCTTCCCTCCCAGCTGGACTGGAAACGAGATTGGGTAAGTGGGAGAGAGTCAGGCAGTTGTGTTTCCCCAGCTCAGAGCTCCATAATTAAAATGTCACCTGTGTGTGCAGTAAGAGAGTGAGCATAGGAGGAAAATGCAGTTGTGAATTCTGCTCTGTAATCTTTTTCCACATCACCATTATGGTTCCAAGAGTCACTTGATTACAAGCAACTGTGTTGATTTCATTTCCTCCTTTTAAGTTATTATTATTTTTTAAAAACAACAGGAGACTATATGACATCTCAGCTTTTCTTCTGTGATTTTGGGGGAAAACCTCAGGAATAATAATTAAGAAAAACACAACAAACAAAAAAACCAAAGCATAAACTGAGCTGCTGTAGCATTTCAGGGAAGTTGGTGAGCTGTTTTCCAGAATAACTATCAACCCACCCTGCCGTCTTGTTTTCCTTTACCCCAGCACAGACACTGAGCTCAAGGAGTGTTTCCCCAGCACTGTAGTTCAGAGGAAAGGGACTCCTGGGGGTGCCGCACTCAGGACTCAGTGTGGAGAGTCAGTCTGTGGCTGCCAACATTCAGCCCAGTGCTTCTCTGAGTCACCCAGGAAGAGGGTGCCTTGTGGGAGGGTCCACACCCCTCCCCAGGTGCAGCTCACAGCCCATGACTCGTCCACCCAGGGGGGTAAAGGGCAGATCCCCTGGCCTCAAGTGAAACAGTCCTGAGAGCCACCATCCTAGTTCCAGACCTCACTGTGGATACAGGGACTCCATGGAGCCCACACTGCACTTCAGTTTCTCTCTCTGCCTAATCCTGTTCTCTCCCCTTCTCACTTGGGGTCAGATCCTGAGAGCCTGTCCTGATAAACTTCCTGTTTGAAAATCCCCATCTCAGAGTCTATTGCTTAGGAAACTGGCCTGAGACAAAAACCTCAGTTAAATCCTGGAATTGCTACTTTCTAGCTGTGGGATCTCCTTCCACCAGATGTATTCCAAAGGATTGTTCAGTCCACAATTCTTGGGTGCTTGCTACTGTATGTGCTAGGCATGGTTCTTGGTACTGGAGAGATGGCAGTGGAGTAAACAAACCCAACTCATTTTTTTTTAAACATTGTATTCTTTTTTTTTAAATTTTATTATTATTATACTTTAAGTTTTAGGGTACATGTGAACAATGTGCAGGTTTGTTACTTATATATACATGTGCCATGTTGGTATGCTGCACCCATTAACTCGTCATTTAGCATTAGGTATATCTCCTAATGCTATCCCTCCCCTCTTCCCCCACCCCACAACAGTCCCCAGAGTGTGATGTTCCCCTTCCTGTGTCCATGTGTTCTCATTGTTCAATTCCCACCTATGAGTGAGAACATGCAGTGTTTGTTTTTTTGTCCTTGCAATAGTTTGCTGAGAATGATGGTTTCCATTTTCATCCATGTCCCTACAAAGGACATGAACTCATCAGTTTTTATGGCTGCATAGTATTCCATGGTGTATATGTGCCACATTTTCTTGTTCCAGTCTATCGTTGTTGGACATTTGACAAACCCAACTCTTTGCCTTCATGAAGATTATGCTATCATCTAATTCCATGATGTTGGGTCCAGATGACCGGACAGAAATAGATGCACCAGGTGGTGCTGAAAGCCATGCCAAAAAACAAAGCCAAGGAGACCAAGAAGGGGCACAGTTTTAGGTGAGATGGTGAGGAGAGACCCCACTAAGCAGGGCACACCTGAGCAAAGATCCAAGGAAAGTGCCAGAGGAACGTCGATGGGGCCAAGCATGAGGACAAGGGAGATGGACATGCAGAGGCTCTGAGGGGATGCCTGCTGTGGGAGGAGCTCTTCTAGGGGTCTGGAGGGGCTGGCAGGCAGGGCAGTATGGTAGGGGAGAGGGACCAAGGCAGAAGGGTGGAGGCGTCGGGTGCCAGGACTGTGGCTTTTACTTGTCGGGAAGGGAAACCTCTGGGGGGCCGTGAACTGTGGATTTACATCATAACAGGATTGCTTTGGTTGCAGTGCTGAGAACAGCCTATTGGATGGGTGTGAAGTGGTGGTGGTGGGGAGGGCGGTTGGGAATCTATAAATGAACAAATTCACCCCAACATTTTAGTGGCTAATCAAGAGTGCACAGGTGCACTAGTGGCCCCTGTTATATCTGACATGGGGAGGCCATCCTCCTTTAACTTTTAGAGCCACCCTCTGGGACGCACAACCTGGAAGGGAAAGAGAAGCCCCCATGGACGGGAGAGAAGGGAGCGTAGCCCATATCTATTCTTCAAGGCCACCACCTGGAAGTGGCATGTCATTCCCATGCACAGCCCATCAGACGGAATTAGTCTCTGGTGCCACCTAACAGTAAGGGGCTGCGAGGCACAGCTTCTCCAGGGGACCACGAAGGAGCAGAGGACTGGTTCTGTGTGAGACCTAGCATTCTGCATCTGAAAAGGCATATCAGGGGCCTAGCACAATGCCTGACCCATGGCAGGAACTTACCAACGGCCGCCCCTTCCCTCCTTACTTCTGGTCTCTCCCTCTCAGCTTCCGGTTTAAAGCTGCTCTGGGTCCTGTTTCACCCTGCCCACCAGAATAGCCCACTCAGAACTGCTGAAAAAATATGTCATCACACACATTCAGGATAATACTAGCAACTCTTAAAATACACACAACGGTTTATACTTTACAAAGCATTTTCCCAAACACAATTGTATTTAATCCTTATAACAACCCCACCCCACTTTTTTTTTTTTTTTTTTTGAGATGGAGTCTCACTCTGTCACCTAGGCTAAAGTGCAGTGGCCCAATATTGGCTCACTGCAACCTCCACCTCACAGGTTCAAGCGATTCTCCTGCCTCAGCTACCCAAGTAGCTGGGGCTATAGGTGCATGCCAACACCCCCAGCTAATTTTTGTATTTTTAGTAGAGATGGGGTTTCACAGTGTTGGCCAGACTGGTCTCAAACTCCTGACCTCAAGTGATCTGCCCGCCTCGGCCTCCCAAAGTGCTGGGATTACAGGCGTGAACCACCGCACCCGGCCAATAACAACCCTTTAAAGAAGACAGGGATGGCATTACCAGCCTTCAGCTCACAGCGCTGGCCTCAGTGTCATATATATAGTATGTACTTCGTGAATTTGCTAAGTAGATATTTACAAAGAGAAATCAGAGGCTGAGAATAAGGTAGGGATTGACCCATGGACCTGTGATTTTGGATGAAATGTTGGGACTAAAAAACAAAAACAAAAACAAACCTGAACGTTTAAATGGAACTAACTCTGTGCCAGGTACTCTTCTACGTTTCACAAATGTTAATTGGTTATTCCTTGCAATAACCTAGTAAGGTGAGTTCGGCGATTCTCATTCCTGTTTAGAGATAAGGAAGCAGGCACAGAGAGGGCACAGATTGCTGAAGGTCACAGAGCAGGCAAGGGGCAGACCCAGCTTTGGCTAAGAATCCATGCTGTCCTCCCTCACGGTGCTGCTCCTTGATCGATCACACAGCTTCCATCAAAGTATTGGCAGATTCCTTTGTGCTGGCAAAGGGTTAATAGTTATCATAGCAGCTGCTTATCATTTGTGCCAAATTACCAGGCATGGACAACATTGATGGACTGTGTCACGGGCATATGCGCAAGTTGCATGATGCAGGTAGAGTGAGTGTGTGCTGGTCCTGGAAGGGGGTCTCCTGTGTGGCGCTGTTGTCCACTGTCTGCTGCAGAGCTGCTCATCAAATATGGTTTATTACTGGTTGGCAAGTTTACCTTCCTCCCCCCTCCCTCCAGGCCTCTTCTCCTAAAGTCTTGTGTTTGTGCCCTTTGTACACACCTGTGTCTACCAGCCTGGCTGCCAGCCCTTGTAGCCCAGTCCTAGTCCAAATGGCACCTCAATCTAGGATCCTACTGCTGATCTAATGTGGCAAATAGCTGTGTGGATGGCAGCAAACTGCACTGTGTGTGGATATCCATTTGGATAGACCAAACAGCACCTAGACCAACAGCATCTAAGATCCTTCTGTTGATATAATATGGTAAATAGCTATGTAGATAGAGGCAAACCACAGACAACCCCACAATGATGGTGTTATGGGCTGAATTTTGCCCTTAAACCCACAAATTCCATGTTGAAGTCCTAACCCCTGGTACTTGAGAATGTAACTGTATTTGGAGATAGGGTCTTTAAAGAGGTCATTACATTAAAATGAGGTCTTTATGGTGGGCCCTAGTTCAGTATGACTGGTGACCTTCTAAGAAGAGGAGACTGGGACCCAGACACACAGATACAGAGGGACGAGTATGTGAGGACACAGGGAGAAGACGGCCGTCTACAGGCCAAGGAACGAGGGACAAGCATGTGAGGACACAGAGAGAAGACGGCCATCTACACAGACACACAGATACAGAGGGATGAGCATGTGAGGACCCAGGGAGAAGACGGCAGTCTACAGGCCAAGGAATGAGGCCTGGAACAGATCCTTCCCTCACTGCCTTTGGAAGGAGCGCCCCTGCCAACACCTTGATCTCAAGCTTCTAGCCTCCAGAATTGTGAGAAGATAAATTTCTGTTGTTGAAGCCACCCAGTCTGTGATAATTTGTTAAGACAGCTCTAGCAAACGAATAGAGGTGACTAGACAAACACAGGCTTATTTTTACTTGGAGGTAGCCTGTCCAGAGCAAGGGTCACTAGCCATCAAGGGCCCAGAATATTTCTTTCCTTTTAGCTTTTATTCTTACAGTTGCAGGATGGCTGCTGCCATTCTGGTAGTTAGAAAGGGTCAGAGAGAAGGAGGAAGTGTTTCTTCTAGTGTGGCTTTATCCATTTTCTCAGAGAAGGTCGAGTCAGATTAGGGACTTCTCAACTTTAATTGGCCAGAACAAAGTCACATGGTCACTCTTGCTATAAGGAGTCTGTCCTCATTCCCTCCCCAAATATCATAGAACTTTCCTAAATAAATAGGGGCATGGTTATTGGGCAGACAAATGACAGGGTCTGCAGTGTGAGTTAAGGGTACCTGCTGAAACACTGAGCTTCTGCAGCAAGACTTCGCCATGGGGTTGGCGCTGCCTGTTAAGCTCACAGGACCACCTGCCTGTGAAGTAGGCTCAGGTGCTCTCGTGGCAGGTGGCAGGGCCAGGAGCTCACCCACAGAGGCCATGTGACTGCTAAGCTGGGCCGTCTCTTCCTATAGTGATTCTGGCTGCAGGCTCCTTTGTTCCCATAGGATAGTGAGCCACATTTATTTGCAAATGAGAAATCCAAGCCCAAGGGAGGCTCTCTCAGGCCTGGAAGACAGGAGGACTGGCATTAACTTTGCTCTAGTTCCTTTAGAGTTTTTGGCCCCTCATCAATGTCCAGTTTGGCCATTTATCCTGAAGCATATCCACTCACACTCAGGTGAGACAGGGCCCGCTACTCAGAAGGGAGGTTCTAGCTGAGGCATGGCTCTGTCTACCCTGTCCCCAAGGTGTCCTCAGGATTAGAAAAGCTCCCCTCTAAGTCCCAGAGTGCATTGGGACTGATGAAGGGAGACAGCCACTCATGAATAAATAGGACCATTAAGTGCAGTGCCCACTTAATGGTCCCACTTAATGGGTGTGGGGGCTGGGGAGCCTTCCAGGCTGGTGTGGAGTCAGAGAGGGGGATAAAGGTTGGGATCCTCACAAGCTTACCTGGAAGCCGCTGGAGTTCAGAGAATTTCCGCTCATGAATGCTGCTTTTGGGTCATTTTAGCACTCATCCATGTGACGTTTGCATCAAATAGAGGGCAGCAGCATTCTGCTGTCTTACTTCTTTTGAGAAGGGTGGAAAGAGCTTCTTTATTATCTATTTTGATTCTTTTTTTCTTTTCTTTCTGAGCCTTCATCTTGCCAACTAGATCATCTTTGGACGGTCTAGTTGTCATCCCACTTACATAGCTGGCCCTGTGTTAGGCTGCTCCATTTGGACTTGAATTTGCAACAAGCAAATTCTTTTTGGTGTGTCACTATTGCCTGCCATTGAAGTGAAGCGCAGGTCTTCCATAAATCTCTAGGCTGCATTACCTGCCCCCTCAGTGCTCCCATCAAAGCTGCCATCTCCCTCTGTCACCACGTCCCATGGTGTTCTCACTCTTGGCTCTGTATGTTATCTTGTTTTCTGGGCTGGAATTCACCATGGCAACCTGGGAGGCAGCAGCCAAATCCTGTCACCTTGCTGGATGTCACCTACGAAGTGGAGACAGTAACAACACTGTTCTTCCTCCTTTCCTTGTAGGTTTCTTGTGAGGATTAAACGGAAGAATGTTTATGAAGTAAGTGGAAAATAAAGTTAAAAGAAGAGAAAAGATTGATTTGCAACCTCTGGGCTTTACTTCCGTCATCTGAAGTTGGGATCTACTCAGGTTTCCCATCCTGAAGTCCACATTTCACTGGGAAATAGGGTCGTGTTCTCAGCAGCGCTTGACACTAACAGAACAAATACCCAGTGTGGATTTATACGTGAGCGTCAATTTTATGTGTGGATTTTGGTGAAAAAAAAATTAAGTGATTTAAAAATATTACCTGGATATGCCAAATGAAGGTTGATATATTTTGAGTGAAATATCAAATATGTATGTGTTTTTCAAATAACAGCATACTCTGCTTAAAAATAATTTACTTTTCTGGGTGGTCCTCTTAGGTCCCCCAACCCAGATGCAGGGGAGGGTGTGACCTCCCCCTGCACTTCTCTCTCAGGGCTTTGGAGGAGGCTGTGGGAAGCAGCGGAGGGAGCGGACATGGATTCCAGCTTCTATGTTCCGGGATTCTTCCAGCAGGTCTTTCCCATCTGTCTCTGATTGCTCCCAACCCAGCCTTGTGTCTGTTGCCACAGCAAGAGGCAGCATCCTATGAACATGACAGAGTGAGAAGAGATAAAAATAACGGCAGGGAAAGGGAGTTGAGATGCTGGAATTTTGCACCATTTTAAGGTTACCATAAAGACCTGACTTGGGAGGAAAATAGTGCTCCTCACATTCTTGGCACAGGAGTGGCATCTTGCATCCCCACAGTCCTTACTGTACAAAGAGAACCAAAGGAAGCCCTTGAGAACTCAAGATGCCTGAAAGCTGTCCAGGATCACTGGGCTCTGGTGGAAGGGACAGGGGCAAATGCTGGTTGAGCACCAATGGTGTTCAATGCTGGGCATGTGTATGATTCATTATATCATTTAATCATCACACACTCCCTGAGTAAGCACCGTTGCCTCCCCTGGGCAGATGAGGAGCAAGAGGCTTATAAGGAATTCATTAGGTTGCCGGAAACTCACACTTCTGTGGTGGTGGAGCTGGGATTAGAACACATATGGGTCTGACCCTTGCCTACCTCATCCCTTCCCCATGGCTGTCTCCAGTGTTCATGTCCTTTCTTTCCTCTTCAAAGAGGAGGAAAAAAGTCTTGCAAGTGCCTGGCACATAGCAAGCACTCAATGCATGGGACTTTCAAGATCTGTTGGAAAGAACATGGATGTAGCTGCCAACATTCCTGCATTTTCTTTATTCTGTGCTTTTGTTCACATTTTCCTCTAGACTTGAAATATCCTCTCTACTGTCTACTTGTCCAGTCCTTCCTTCTTTCAAAGTTTTGGTCAACTGCTTTCTTTACCAGGAAGCTTTCCCAGTTCCTTCAGGTCAAATGCACCTCTCCTTTGCTTATTCTTTATTTCATTTTTTTTTCTAGCACACATTTTCTTCCTCCTCCTAGTATCCAGTCATTCATCACATGTTTTGGGGTGCTCTTTCTTGTTGCTGGGCATTGTGCTTGTCACTGGGAAAAGTAATGAGTGAGGTTGTGTCTTGTCTCTGGAGGGTGGCAGGTCCCCGAGAGAGAGAGGAAGGGATAAGTAAATTCAGGGGCCCTGCTGCTCAGGGTGGAGTTCAATCAAAAGCAGTGACTGGCAATAGCTCTCAAAAATGATCTCATCAGCATTTTTACACACTTCAAAGGCCCCTATCCTGGACTTGGACAATGCCATAGGCTTGCATTTTATGATGTCCATACTGGAGAGGAGGAAAGCAAACTTCCATAAAAAGTTTGAGATCTTTGTCTGGAAGGTGTGCAATGGTTCAAAATCCAAATCTCTCTTGTTAGCTTTAGCTAATGTGTTAAAAGAACCAACAAATAGTTTAAAAAGCACTTTTACATTTTATCTCTCACTTGAGCATCACAAAACCTTGCACATCACACAATCGTATCTCTATTCCATCTAGGACAACACTGGAGGCCAGATGTTCACTTGTGGCAATAGACAAGGTCCATGGTAGAGCAGGGACGATGTTAGAGGGATTACCGATTTGCTTTCTGAGCCGCTTTCCTGTTCCACACTCCCGCAAACCCATTCACCTCAATTCAATGCTTTATCGTAACGATAAAAGCAAAAATTATAGTCCAACTTTTTAAAAAGTTTTCAGCCTTTATCTTCCAGCATCTCTTACTGCCTTTGAAATGGCCATTCACTCAGGCCTTTGAAATTCTCTTCTACCCTAGCTTCCTTCATTCCACATTCCTCTGATGATTCTCATAATTTTGAGCATTTCTTCTCAGTTTCTTGGATGGGTTCATCATCCCCTTTGTTCCTTTAAACATCGGGGTTCTCCAGGGCTCTATCTTGAGCCCACTGCACTCAGTCATTCTCTGCAGCTGTCCTGAGGATCTCACTTGTCCTCAGGGCTTCAGTCCTCCATGGGAGCTGGATTCTACCTCCAGCTGTCTTACCATTTCTAGTTCTACCTATGGAGCACCTGCACCTGGGTGTGCAAGATGTGGAACTAACCAATTAGTATCCTTTCCCTAGACATGCTCTCTGTGTCTTACCTTTCCTTGAGTGTGCAGGAGTGGGTGGGGGTCTGCTTCATGACTTGGGACACCTTTTTTTCTGGTCTTTGTTTTTCTACCTGGAATGAGTTCTTTAAATCCCATGATTTCTCATTTTCCTCTTCAAGCTAAAGGTCTTTGTTGATGCAGCATAGCAAAATCAAAAGTGAGATCTCTCCCTATTTTTTTAGAGGGACATGATGATCATATTCCTGAATTCACAGAATACCATCATCATCTCCATCACTGGCTTCTACAAGAACTCTTCCCTGATTTTCCTGCATGGATGTATGCATGTGTAGATTGTTCATTCATCCATCCCCATTTATTCATAATTCACATCCCATTCCCTTCCTCACTGCACTAAAAAACTTCTTGAGTTTCATATGTATCCTTGAGGAGGCCATTGCTATGGTGAACTTGGTCTTTTTTAAAAAAAACTCCTAATGAGAAAGTGGGCTCATGGCAGTCTGCATTCATGTAGGACAGATAGCAGTATGCATTTACATTCTCACCCAAAGCCATGTGAATCTTACATCTCCTTCCAACATACAGTCTGAAGGGATCTAGATCATTTGGAAATCCCACAGAATATGACCTTCTTGACTACATATTGATGACATCAGACCAATCAGATTGGTTGAGCAAGAAGCAGTAAGTAAGTGTGTTTCAGACATCAGTAAGATAAATGCACTCCATATGGTGAAGGTTCGGTCAATGAAGATGGAAGAGCCTGCCATGATAGTCAAGTTTCAAGTGCAGTATATACCCTCAATGGAGGTTTGTTACTCTTGGGACTATTCACATTTAGGGCCAGATAATTACTTGTCATGAGGAGCTGCTCTGTCCATTGTAGAATGTTTAACAGCATCCCTGGCCTCCACACACTTTATATAAGTAGTAGCACCACATCCCCTAGATATCCGTTTATGGTTGAAAACTATTGCCTGAAATCAAGTATCATTATATGGTTCTCTGACCCAATGGGGAGGCTGAGGGTCTGGAAACCAATGGGGGAAGATGTCTAGTTCTGCTTTCCATCACTCCCATTCCCATCACCCTGGGCTCTGTGCATTTAGAGGATTTGGCTCCTAAAAGGGAAATGCTTCCACCAGTGGTCATAGAAAGGGCTGCATGTTTAAGCCATAATTGCTGCTTGCACGGCCAGCTTCATAGCATATAATCTGCTCATTTGCAAAGGACCCCATGCCTAAAAGGACCTGCACTGGATTAAGGTTCTGCCATTGCCAGTTTGAAATTCTTTAAAGAATTTTAACAATTTCACCCTGGACCACCCAACCCCCCCACCGACCACCCCCACTATGTAGCCAGTCCTGCTATCCAGTCACTCATGACAAAAATCTCTCTCTCTTCTTTCTCTCAATATGTCTTTGATTTGGTTTTAAGGGTGTGGGAAGAGATCTCACTTTTGAATTTGCTACGTGGCATCACACAAAGACCTTTGGCCTGAAGAGGAGAATGAGAAGTGATGGGATTTAAAGAACTCGTATTCCAGTAGCAACACAAGGAACAGAAAGAGGAAGTGAGGTGTCCCAAGTCATGAAGCAAAGCCAAGATAAGGTCACATTTTTCAGGCCTTCCTGTTGAGGGGCATTTCCATTCATTCATTCGAACCAGAATGTAGACATTTTAAACATAGGACTAGGAGAGATCTGTTATGTGCCATCCAGCAAGATAGATGTGGCCAATAGGCAAGTAAATGAGACATTATTTCAAGAAACTCAGTCACCTGGGGAGACAAACACACACTTAGCTAACGACAAACACAGCATGAGGTGCCCCAGCATAACATACAGGACAGGTGAGGTTCAGATTCTGCAGCTGTCAGTCAGTAGCTGGACAGACCTTGGCAGGTTGATTCAACGTCCATGAGCCTCAGTTCTTATGCTCGTGTAAGGAGATGATGGGACATAAACTCACGAGAGGGTTTTGTAAACCTTAAGGTGCTTCCCAGGATTGGGACTTTCCTTGAGGCTTCACTTTTGAGAATTAGGGATGCAAAGCAGGCAGAAGTGTGCCCACCTGGCCAGGAATGCCCAGTTTAGAGTCAAGTTCATGGTGTATGGAAATGAAGAGTTGAACATACCTCTGATAGTCAAGCTCATGGCGCATGGAAATAAAGATTTGAACATACCTCTGATCCGAGGTCAAGTGCTTCAAGTCTTTTATAAATAACCATATTTTTAAAAATTTCAGTTTAAGTTCTGGGATACATGTGGAGAACGTGCAGGTTTGTTATATAGGTATATGTGTGCCATGGTGGTTTGCTACACCTATCAACCCATCGTCTAGGTTTTAAGCCCCACATGCCCTAGGTATTTGTCCTAATGCTCTCCCTCTCTTTGCCCCCCACCCCCGACAGGTCCCGGTGTGTGGTATTCCCCTCCCTGTGTCCACGTGTTCTCATTGTTCAACTCCCACTTATGCGTGAGAACAAACACGTGTTTGATTTTCTGTTCCTGTGTTAGTTTGCTGAGAATGATGGTTTCCAGCTTCATCCATGTTCCTGCAAGGGACATGAACTCATTCTTTTTTATGGCTGCATTGTATTCCATGGTGTAAATAAGCACTTTTAAACAAATTATGCATTTAAAAAAATCTGCTTAGAAGAAATTTTCTCCTTGGAAAATCATCAATATTTTTAAAGGCACCTTCAATCAAACTTTTCAATAATTTTGATGGGTCTCCTCCCTCCTATGGCCCATAGTGATTTATTCCAAAGTGTTGATATATTTCATCTTGTGCTTTGGTTCTGGGCCCTGCAGGATTAGTGGAAGAGGAAGATAAAATGAAAATTGGCATCCCAGCTTTGGGCCCTGGCTGCTCCAAGATCAGGACTTGGACATCTGTTCACAGCAATCATTTCTTATGTGATAGGAACTCAGGAAGAGAGGTTTTTCTCAGCTTCTTGGGAAACTTTGTTTATTCTATTCTCCACCATAAAGAGGTCAGAGGTCTGGCAGTGGAAACAGACACCTTCCTAGGCCATTTGGCTGTTGTGGCCTCATTTAATTAACCAACTGTCTATGCAGGCTTGACATAGGAGGCACAGAGATCAGAGGCTACTTGTGAAACTTGGGAGAGGCAAAGCAATCAGTGATTCAGCTTTGTGGGTATTTGCCCTCCTTTGCTCAGAGAATTACAATGCAGCCAGTTCCTTCACACTGCGTCCAGGCAGGGACTCCCCCTCTTTCTTCTTCTCACCTTATTTTGGGAGGTCTCATGCTATAGAAGAAATCCAGGGTCAGGGTGTAGGTGGCCCTGCCTCTAATGAGACATTTGACCTTTGGCAAGTCTCCTTGCCTGTTAACTTCAGTTTCCTTAGATGCACTGGGAAGGAGCTGGTCTCTGTGATCTATAAAGGTTCTTTCACCTCTTACCTCAGGAGCCAGGCCCTGGGGTGGAAGCTGGAGATTTTGCTGCAGTGGAATTTACCTTCTTAATGTGAGGACGGAAAACACAAGAGTAGTTATGCTAAGGTAAACAGCATGATTTCAGGGTGTGGCGTGTGCTCCGAATGAAATAAAGGAAAGAAAAGGGAGTCCAGCAAATAGACACCTGACTTCACTCTCCTTCCACCCTCTTACCTCCTTTCAACTAGCAGCCAGGGGATCACAGAGCCAGTTGACATAGTTCTCATCTCTCAGTTTCCTGGGCAGAGAACAGGGTGAAGGAAGGATGGCGCATAGACCTGAAGGGGCAGACAGCTGATAACCGTCACATCCCCAGAAGAAACTGAAATTAAGTCAAGTTCTAAATAACTCATGGTTTAAAGAAGAAATGGCAATAGTAAATTGTCAATATTTTATAAATTGCTAATAATGAAAGTTTTACATATGAAAGATGATATTTGATGTTGGGAAAAAGGAAAGCTTTACTGTTGGTGAGTTAAAGCATCAAGAAGTCTAAAAAAATGATAAGAAAGTAACTCTTCCCCTGCCCAATACATAAGAAAAATATAAATATAAGACTGAAAAATAATGATGTAGGAAATAAATAGAAGACAATATTTGTTTCTTTGAGATACGAATAATTTGGACATCTGATACGACTGATCAACAAACAAATGCTAAGATATTAGTAATAGTATAATAAGAATGCAGTATGTTAATAAATAAAAAATAGACACGACAAAACATTTCCTAGAAATATAGGACTCAAACGTCTCCACAGCCGGAATCTACCTAACACCAAGGAATATATAATTCCAATTTTATACAAGTGCTTCCATAGATTGGCACTTATTCCCCCAGTACGTTTGTGAGATGTCTGTCATCTTGATACCTAAACCAGATAAGGACACCATAGGAAGGAAAAATTCAGATCAAATTCCTCATGAATATAGATGCAAAAATACTAAATAAGATATTAGTAAACTAAATCTAGATGAGGAAGTAAGGAAGTGAGAAAAGTTTAGTAATTTGTCCAAGAGCTCATGGATTACAGGTGATCAAACCAGGGCAGGACTCCAAAGTCAGGGCCTTAACTCTACCCCTTCCTGCCTCTCATGTTCTGCTTGATGGGGGTAGAGAGATCTACACTTGTGTAAATCAAGAAAAATGAGTTGTATTCTCACACAGAGACAAGAGTTCGAACAGATTCTTGGTTTCTGTTACTGGTTCTCTCCTAGCCCACTTGATGATGGGATATGGGACCAACTTGTCCCAGTTTGCCTGATATTGCTCCTGTGTCAGTACAGAAAGTCTCACAGCCAGAGATGGGCTCTGTCCTGGGCAAACTGGGCTATTGGGGGCCCCATGTGGGGCAATCTAGAATGATTTTCCTGATAAGTTTCTCCAGCCAAAAGGGTAGAGTCTTAGGAAAACTCAGTTTGGTTACTGATAGCTGGAGAAAAAGACTGAGAGACTTACCATTAGAGCATTTACAGAAAAGATATCCAATAATGCCAAGTCTACTACACGCTTTCTGGGCCAGAACTTGGGGCAGGCCACCATGTACCTTGGCAAGGATCATCACAAGGACCCATCGAGATAGGCACTGTCACCTTCATGGTGTAAAGAAAAAGGAAAAGTTAAATGGACACAAAAGTAAAAGGGTGGAAAGTGTGAATGAATTAATCAGTGAATAAAGTATTAACTTCACTACTTCCATTAAAGTGACAGCCCTGACTAATATGGTGGCACATGGTCTTGCCTGTGCTCACAGAGATCACCAGAGCCTGAACACTGAGCTGCAGCTCCCTGTGGATGAAGTATGATTTCCTTCCCTGGGCCCGGCTGTCACCTGAGGCCCTCCCTAGAATTTCCCCTCTGTTCTTTCCTGAAAGTAAGCAGGTGGCCTGTCCTGTTGCTGGCTGCAAATCAGCAGAAAATGTTTCCTTCTCCTTAAACAGGAAGAGGTGGCCAGGCAGCTCTGGCAAAACTCCAAGGGTTCCTGGGACACCTGGCATGAAACCCTTCTGCACTGTGGATTAGTGCTAACATCCTGAGGACTCACAGGTACTTTTTCTATGAGGCCAGGGCTTGGAATTTTTCAGAATCATCTGAATCCCTTGGAAATTCAGGCCTCTACCCATTTTACTGAGAAGAAAACAGAGCTAGCAGCACATGGAAGCCTCTGATGCCATCGTTAACTCAATGACTCTACCTGTCTGTGAGTTTTTTTTTAATGGCAGCCATAGCAAACAGTTAATATTCAGCAACCAATTCAATGAGACATCTATGAAGGTTTGGAGGATTTTTTTTCTCTATGTAGCTCCATCTTTTCCACACTCTGTCCCCCAGATACCAGCTGCTTCAGTCCTCTCCAGTTTGGATCTCTGTCTCCTTGACTCAGAGGCCACTGTGTTCTGCTTGAGATCTACCTCCTCGAACTCGTGCCTTTAGGCAGAAAGTCTGGGTGATCACAGGGCCCACCTCATTTGTTTCCCCTAAGCGATCACTGTTGTCCAAAGTCTGAAAACTGACTTTACCTATTATGTGTAGTTTTCTATTTTCAAAATGTTGATAGCAGAAGCTTCTTCTCACTAATTTGTGCCTATTTTATGCCAGTTACTGAGAGAGTGGTGTTAACATCTCATACTATGATTGCACATTTATCTTTTCCTCTCTTTGGTTCTGTCGAATTTTGCTTCCTATATTTTGTAGCTCTGGTGCTATGTGAATATACATTTAAGATGATAACAGCCTCTTGAGAAATTGGCCATTAATCATCATTAATTGACCCTTTTTACCTTTGGTAATACTACTTGTTTAAAGACAATTTTATCTAATTTTCGTATAGCGATACCAGTTTTCTTATGCTTACTGTTTGCCTGCTTTATCTATCCTTTTAATTTCATCGTATTTGAATAGTTATTTTTAAGTATGTCTCTTGTAAACAGCATGTAGTGGGTCATGCTTTTCTATCCAAACTGAAAACGCCTTCCTTTTAATTAGAGTGCCTAATATGTTTGCATTTAATGTTATTAATTGTATGTTTGGACTTATTAATATCTCTACAATTATTTTAAATATTTTCTGTTTGTTTCTGTTCTATTTCTTTCATTTTCCCCTGCGTTTTTGGGGGTCAATTGATTATTTTAAACATCTCTTTCTCTCTTCTTTCTTTCACTTTAAGCTATGTCTCTTCGCACTTAAAAAAAAAGCTTGCTCTATGGATTACAATATGCATGATTATATAATAATTCACCTGGAATTCCTATGATACAACTTCAGGTATAATGTGAGATTCTCACAAAAGTATAAATCTATTTCTATTCTCTTATACCTGGTGCTACCATGGTCAGATATTTTACTTACACATACATACCCTCCATCCCTTGTTATAATTTTTACTTTAAGTGATCAATCCTGTTTTTAAAAATTAACAAATTTTTAAAATATTTATTGTATTCTTAATATTTCCAGTGTCTTCTAGTTTTTAGACCCAGATTTCCCTTTGGTCTTGTTTTCCTTCACCTTAAAAACTTTTTAAACCATTTCTTATGGTTGGATCTGTTGCCCGTAAATTTATTTATTTTATATGAGAATGTCTTCATTACTTCTTCATTTATTTTTAAATAGTATTGCTGGATATAAATTCTAAATTAATAAATTTTTATTTAGCTCTTTATAGATTGTGTCCATTATCTTCTGACCTTCATCATTTCTGATAATAAGTTAACTGCCTAGTTTATAGTTTCCCTGTATATTACATCTCTTTCTTTTTTACACATGTACTTCAAAAAATTTTTCTTTTATCTTTGATTTTTAGGAGTTTTACTATGTTTTCTTTAGTTGTTATTGTCTTGTATACATACTGCTGGGGATTCACTGATCTTTCTGGACCAGTTGGATACTATTTGTTTTATCACATTTGGACAACACTCAGTCAATAGTTCTTCAAATATTTTTCTTGCCCTACTTTCCTCTCCTCTTCTGTAATTTCAGTTACCCCTAGATTAGTGTACTTTATGCTGTTTTACAAGTCATTAAGTCTCTTTAATTATTTTTTCAGTGAGTTTTTTTCTTCTTGAGCTTCAGTTTGGATGATTATTTTTTTTTGTTTTTGAGAAGAGGCCTCACTGTGTCACCCAGGCTGGAGTGCAGTGGTGCAATCATGACTCACTGCAATGTGCACCTCCTGGGTTCAAGCAATTCTCCTGTCTCTGCCTCCCAAGTAGCTGGGATTATTGACGTGTGCCACCACACCTAGCCAATTTTTGTGTTTTTAGTGGAGATGGGGTTTCGCCATGTTGGTCAGACTGGTCTCGAACTCCTGACCTCAGGTAATCCACCCCCTTCAGCTTCCCAAAGTGTTGGGATTACAGGCATGGGTCACTGCGCCTGGCCCAGTTTGGATGATTTTTATTCATCTCCCTTCAAGTTCACTGATCCTTTATTTTATTATTTCCAAAGTGCTGTTCATCTCATCATTACAACTTTGGGTTCAGATATATTTTTAGTTCTAGATTTTAAATTTTGTTCTTTTTTACAGTTAAGAAAATCTCTTGTGAAATTATCCATATTTTTGTACTATATAAATATATATGTATAAATATATGTATTGTGTTTTATGTATATATTTATGTAGATTTATTAACATATTAATTATACTTATTTTAGAATTATGTAAGCTAATTCCAACATGTTGATCATTTTTAGGTATGTTTCCATTGACTTGATTTTTCTCTTGGTAATTCTATGCTTGTTTTTTAATTTTGTAATTTTTTATTTTCTTACATTGTATTTAAAAGAACAATAATAATGGGCAGATTACATGGGGGAGAACTGATCATTTGATGTAAATGGAAGTTTAGCCATTTTAGGTCATGGTTTTGTCTTTATTTCCTCCAGAAAGGGTTTGAATTCAAGCACAAAAAATATAAGGAGTTTATTTGTTATTTTTTTACCCCAACCGATTCCTGTACCACCAGGGAACTGGTATTTTTTATTTCCTTAGAAGTTTAATTGGGTTGAATTTGATTGGTCTTTAATTAAATGTAGTTTACTTCTGGCTTAAAACAATTTTAAATTGAGTTCAGGCCTCTTTCTCTGGTAAGTCTTTGGAATCAAACATTGTAGGACTGAAAATCCTTGGAATTGGGAGGGCTCCTATTTGCTCCACCTCAAAACTGCTAGGCTGTGAGACTCCTCGATATTTAAATCTGGAAGATCCTGTGGAAAGGAGAATCCGAGACATTGAGATTACAAGATTTCAAAGCATGGGTCTTTGAGATTTTGAGACTATCGTTTGCCAGACTTATGAGATTTCAGGAATAGGATACCAGGACCATGGGATCATAAGACTAAAAGATCATAAGTCTAAGGCATCAAGATCAATAGACTTCGAATTGTGAGATTATGAGATGACAAGTTCAAGAGTCTCTGAGCTGGCAAGCTCTCTTTCTGCTTTTTAACACAATTCCTTATTCAGCAAAATGCCTATGTAAGATAATTATTTGAAGAATTATATTTGTGTTCAGGCATCTTTCAGATTCAAATCAGACATGCCAGTCCCCAAGTTTGTCAAAATTTGATTGTTTTCTTTCTTGAGCAAAAAAAAAAAAAGTCCTTCTCTGGTAGGTCTTATCTCTGCCCATACTACCCCAAATCTCAGAAGCTGACCCCAGATGTAAAACTGTCCTCTGTCTCTTGCTCGTGGGTTCATTCCTCTAGAGTTTAGAATTTGTAGATTTAATTTTGTCCACAGGTCTACAATGGCTTGGAAGTATGATTCTTATATCCTACTTAACACTCTCAATATCCAATCTCACATAGCTCCACTCAACCATCCCAATCCTCATTTCCGCTGCCACATTTTAAATTAATCCTGCAACTATTAATACTTCTGGATGTAAGCTATTTCCTCCTAGGGTAGAGGCTTTAATTCCCCATACAGCCCATCCTAAAATATAACTGCAGTTATTTTCCTGGAGGCAATGAGGAGATATGGGTGCAGGGCTTGATAGGGAAAAAAGTCTCTGAAAAAAGATATCTTGTAAGATACATGCCTCAGTTGATTTTCTTTTTTTTTTAGAGACAGGGTCTCACTCTGTTGCCCAGGCTGGAGTGGAGTGGCATGATCATAGCTCACCGCAGCTTCAATCTCTTGGGCTCAAGTGATCCTCCTGCCTCAGCCTCCCAAGTATCTCTGACTATAGACATGCATCACCGCACCTGGCTAATTTTTAAAATTTCTGTAAAGACGGGGTCTCTGTGTTGCCCAGGCTAGTCTTGAACTCTTGGACTCAAGCAATCCTCCCATCTCAGCCTCCCAAAGCACTTAGATTACAGGCATACGCCACTGCACCTGGCTCAATTGAGATCTTTTTTAGGGTCTGTGCTAGGGGGAGCTTCTCTCCTGTAGCAAGTGGAAAGAGCTTCTTCTACAGGCTTAGAAGATTCAGGAAAATCTGGGGTTCAAGTTTCATATGCACATCCTTGAACTGTCCCATTTGTTGCCTTAGTTTCTCTTCTTATATGAGTCCTAACTTTGACATGGGAGACATGTAGAGGCTGTGCATTCAGGGACCTTTATATCTACTGTTATTCTTACCACTGGACCCTGGGCTTGATTTTTAGTACACTATGGCTTGCATCTCCTGAAATAAGAATCATCTTAATTTGCAGCCTGGAGTCTTGAACTCATGTTTGGTTGACCCAAGTCTGTCATTTTCTTTACAAGGCTTCCAAAGCAGTTAACAAAGTGAGTCCACTCCGCAAACTTTATAGTCACTGCTGCCTTCCTGTCATTCAAATATCCTAGCTGTTACATGCTCTAATGCTATATTCCCTGTATCCACACCTCATCCCAATAACAGGAATACCTTTGCAACTGTCATTGTACTGTATGCTGGAGGGTTACCAGCCACCCACTTACCACCAGCAATGGGGTCCTGTTGCCATCTGGGTGGTGAGATGCCCAGGTCAAAAATCCTATCCTGAGAGTTTGTGTTTAAATCCACTCCTTTCTAGGAAAGCCTTAGCCTGATTTCCATAAAAAATATAATCAGAAACAAAAGATGATGAGCAAATGTTTTATTTGGGATTTTGATCATCTTGTGCATGAGTGAGGGATAGCAGGAAAGGAGAAAGAGTTGATAGAAGATCCCAGGAAGGTTGACTACATCCTCTACCTGTCAAGCATCCTGTGAGGGGCATCTCAGGTCCATCTGCCTGAGGAATGAGCCTCGGAAGCACTGATCCATTGGTTTCCATGCTCCACTTGTCACAGAGTCCCCCAGAGTTATGTCAGCTCCTCCAGAGTCCTGGATTCTGAAAGTATGAGTAGGAAGCATTGACTGTCCTCACCCATTCACTGAATCGATGAAGCCCTGGGGCCAGAAGCCAGAGGGGTGACATATAGCCCACATGGGGCCTGGGGTGCTGCCAGGCCAAGTGGCAATGAAGATGGTGGAAACCTGTGCCATAGCTTCATGTGGAACAACATGTGAGGCCAAGGGCTTTGAAATGGAACACAAGAGGTGTCCCATGCAGTAATACATATAAAGGGGGTGCTGCTTCAGGACAAGACCTCTGTGTCTTGGCTCTGTTTTCTCTGCATCGGTTCTATTTAGGCAGACTCTTCCCATATAATGGCAAGATGGCCAACAGGAAACTTCATCTTTCACATCCCATCCACTCAGCAACCTCCGGAGAATGACAGTGCCTTTCCAGGAGCAGTTCTAACGTCGTTACCAGCTGCACAGCTTCCTCCTAGTCTTCCAAAGAATGACTGGAGAACACCCTAGGGGACCACCGGGTCCAGCTTTCTAGTTCCTTTTGTTTATCGATAGTCCAGAATCTTTGAGTCTCCTATGCCTAGTCCTATACCTGAATTTAAATAGACACTTGATAAATGTGAGATGAAGTAACAAATAAAGGAATAAAACTTACTCTATTGTTCTTACGTGAATTTTCTTTTCATTAAGGAGCAAAAAGAAATCCCAATGATTTAGTCCGAATCAGTTTGGCAGAGTGGGTTAATTCTTTGAGAAACTTCTCAAACTGCATTTATTCTTCCAAGCTTTGGGGACACTACTGTATATAATTTGTCAAATTATTGTTCGTTTTGTAAATTACTATCTATTTTGTAAGTTCTTTGCCATCCCAATAGCCTTCTCAGATATCAAATGGAAGCTTGGATTGGGGTTGATTCATCGCATTGGGGCTGATTATTTTTAAAACGACATTTAAGGCAACATCTGGAGAAATGCTCAAAATCACCAACAGTTATATTTAGAGTGCTAATGAACAATTACTCTAGATAAATGGGGCACCTGTGCTAGGTCAAATATAGTGAACCAGGCCTAGTGACCAGCATCAGGTCAAAGGGCAATTTGGATGCAAAGGAGGCAAACGCAAAGTGTCAAGGACAAGAATCCAGCTTGTCATACCAGGTAGGAAGAACAGCCTCAACCAACCGGCCGGGTCATTGCTTTAAGGATTTCCTACACGAGAAAGAAACGGAAAGTCTGGAGGGACTTCTGGAAAGGCCAATGAGGGAAGAGTCAAAGCCTTCCATCTTTATTCCAAATTCCTTATTTCCTGATGAGAAGAACTACACACTTGTTCATGGCCACTCCACGCTTTTTCCAAGCCTTATTCTTTGCATAAGAATTGACAGTAATTTTTCAATTGTCCAGAAGTCCAAAAGAATAAATTGATTTTCAGACGTTTTTCAGCAAAGTAACCCGTTCCACCTGCCCGATTTGCTCCACACCACTGGAATCTTACTACTCTTTAAGAAAATTAACTCAGGTAGGAACTCTAGAAGAATGTGTCATTCATTTCTTTATCTGTTCACCCAGGATTTATTAAAGGACTGTTAAGCCAGGTACTATACCAGGCACAGTGATTCAAGGATTCGGGGATATCAAAGAAGGAAGCAAACACAGTGGTCAAGTTCCATGGATCTCGAAACAAGTTTTAAGGTTCCTGGGTGGGAAAGTAGTTATCTGGGGACAGATGAAGGTACCCAGTTGGTGACACTTGTTGGAACTGGTCCTAAAAGGGCGTTTTCTCTCTGCTGGGGTTGTTGAGTGGATAGCATGTGTAAGCTGAGGCTTCGTATGCCATCTCACTGTGGTATGGGAAGAGCCTGCCTGGCTGACACCAGCATAGGAGATGGAGCTGAGAGATAGAGCTTGTCGGAGTGACGCTATTTTTGCTTGGACCCAGTTTGAGTGTTTCTTCCTGTCACTGTCTATGCTGTTGAACTTATCTTTCAGAACTTGTGCCCAATATGACCTCATCCCTGATGCCTTTCTATAACTCTGTCAGAGTTGATTTCCCCACTGAACTCACTAAATTCCCTATTAGATGGTTGTAGATGTTAAAGGAAACTGCTTGGCACCAGTACTGCATTAGAACATTGAGCCTTGCTAGTTCCTGTGGAAACCCTACATAGCGGGTGATGCTCATTATATAGAAAGGGAACAAGAGATGCTAAGTAACTTGCCCAAAGTGGCACAGAGAGGGAATGATTGTGCTCAGAACACCACCCAGCACATAACAGGCATTTAACAAGATTCAGGACTGTCTGGACCCAAAGCCTGTGCTTTTGTGACAAGCTGGTCATTCATGTCTTTCTCCTACCCGGTGGTGAGCCTTCTAAGAGTAGGGACTAGGATATTTGCATCTCTGTGTTTTCTGAGTCAAGCACAGCATCTCATGCCCAGGGATGCTCAGTAAGTGCTTACTTTCTTTTCTGTCCCTTTTCCCTTCCCCACCTAGTGTTTCTGGGTATGTGGGCCTGGAAAGCAGCCTCCACATAGTGAGGGTGAGGCATGAACTTGACCTATCTGTGCAGGTGCAGACCCTACCATGCTACTGGCAGGGCCTGTGGAGACTGGGGAGCACAGACTTTGGAATGTGGATTCAGTTTTTAGGGATTTGCTCATAGACCTCAGAGCAATTGCTGACGACCTCATTTTTCTTATCTGTGATGTGGAAGCTACCTACTCAGTTTTTAGAATTTAAAATATTGTATTGAACAAAAGTTATATTAAATATTCCACAAATGATTTCCAGTTTTGAATAGGTTTAAACTTAAATGACTTTTTAAAATGACATAATTTCTCAGTGCTTCTCATAGTCTACTGGATGTTATAAGCATCCAAGAGGAGACTATAGTGAGTCACACATGCCCTGTGGACCTGGGCATTACAAGCATTTACCAAGGAGTATCTTGAAGGACTAGTTTTCTTGGAGCACACTTTAAAAATACAAAACCCTTGATAGGCACTAAAAGCAATAACTTCCCTTAGTATTATTGTCATAGTTAACACTGTGATTTTATTGTTATTTATCAGTTGAAATAATACAGGGTACCTGGAACTAAACCACCCCAAGATCATATTTCAAAATTTACAATTTTCTAAGCAGATGTTCATGCTGGATTCAGCCAGGCCCATTTCCTATGAATTTCTCTGTAGCTTTAGAACATACAAATTGAAAGCAGCCAAATCCCTTCTCTCCTTGCTAATTAGGATGACAGATTATGGAGGTGGGATCATGCCATGTTGTGGCAGAGAGAATGCCATTACTTTTAATTAACTGTGCAGGGATTTGAGGGGTACAAAAAAGTGGAGGTGACCCTCCAGATGCACACTGCATACTCACATCCCAGACACACCAAGTCTTTGAGGACTGTTGACAAAAGAAAACAAGGCATTTCTACTCATCTCTCTTTCCAGGAGATGAGACAAACAAAGACAGAGAGAAAATGGGAGCCTCACAGCCCTCAACAGTGCTGGCCTTTCTCTAATGCCTCCTGGGGGTGGGGGGTGGTCTCTACTCCTCACACAATTTCAATCACTAATAGTCACTTAACTGATATGTGATTTTCCATTATCTACATGCACATTCTTGTGCCTAGTCAGTGCTGCTGGCCTTTAAGTCCATGTCCAACATCTCCAGGTCTCCAGCAAGCATGGAATTCTAGAAGCAAGCCCTGGGCTGGGAGTCCATTTCTGGGTTCTCAGCGAGAGTCAGCTATTAACTTGCGGTGCGATTTGGAAATGTCCCTTCACCATTCATCTCCCCTTTCCTGGGGTTTGGGATTGATTCTGCTGTGAGCGTGCTTGGGCTGTGGCTGATGTGTAAGCCCTGACTAGTTTATCTCAATCCAATAAATATTTGATTATCTCCTCCTAGGTTCTGGGCCCTGGGATATGTGGAGAAGCCTCTGAGTCTCCTGACCTCAAGGAGCTCACAATCTTGCTGTCTAGGTAAACGTGGACTCGTGGATGTCATGTGTGTGCTAAGTAACTCCAGAGGGGTTCAGTTGTCAGAGAAGGTGTCAAAGAAGAGGTTAACACCTGAACAGGGTTCAGAGAATTTATAGGTATTTGTCAGGTGGGGTTGGTGTTTTGCCACATCCTCTTTCTGCCCATCCACCAACTTGAATACTTCCTGAAAGGGACAGGCCCCTGTCTTAGTCCTCTCTCTATCCCTCTGCAGCTACTCAATTCAGGTTTGGGGAGTGAATGTTTCCTCCATGCCTCATTCAAGGACAAATCAGGAGAAATAATAACATTTTGTTATTATTCGGATAGGTGGAGGTTAAGGCTTTCTGGATAGCAGGGAAAGAAACTGCAAAGGAACAGAAAAATGAAAAAGTATGGTTTATGTGGAGAAGTGAAATCAGTCATGTATTTCTGGGACATCATGTGTGCCTGTGTGTGTGTGTACACACATGTGCGTGTGTGTGGTGTGCACGTGTGTAGGGGAGTGGGTGTGTGGGCATCGTAGGGACAGATAGTTGCAGAAGACAAGATGCACCCGCAAGCAGAGGCAAGATTTTAGAGGTCCTTAAAGGTCATAGGTTTAAAGGTCCTTAAAGGTCCTGAGGCCGAGTGTAGAAGCCAGAGAATGGATGATAGGTGGATTGAATTAGAGCCAAGGGTGGAGACAGTGAGCAGACAGGGATTTGGGCTACTTTTCTACTAGAGTAGAAGCCATTTACTGGGCTGGGGATATTGGTGGGGGAGCAGGCTTAACAGAGTTTTAGAACCAAGAGCCGCTTGGATTTGTTAAGTCAAAGTCCACGGCTAATTGCTTTGTTTCTGAGCTCTCTAAGCCAGCGCAGAGGCCCTGCAGAGATTCATTTTCAGCAAAAACCTTGCACACATCCAAGCCCACCAGTTCTGTAAGGGTAGACAGCACCACTTTGGATTCTTGCCTTCAGTCTTGCCTCCTCTTTGTTTGCTGATATTGAAGCAAATGAATCAAACTTCCCACATTCAGTTGAAAAAGCAGCCAGCAGGAAGGAAAGATATCTGGGGAGGTGGGGACTTAGCTGTACTTTCAGCTGTGGAGAAGGCAGGAACGTAGATCAGGGAAGCTGACCTTGTTTCAGCAGGCACCAGGAGCCTTGCGCTTCATGTACAAGTGAGCGCCTTCTGTTTACCCGCCACTATCTCCAGTGCTGGAAAGTGAGGTTTCAAAAATGGACGTGGTGGCTCACACCTGTAATCCCAGCACTTTGGGAGGCCGAGGCAGGCGGTTCACAAGGTCAGGAGATCGAGACCAGCCTGGCTAACACATGGTGAAACCCCGTCTCTACTAAAGATACAAACAAAAAAAAAAATTAGCAGGGTGTGGTGGCGGGCGCCTGTAGGCCCAGCTACTCAGGAGGCTGAGGCAGGAGAATGGCATGAACCTGGGAGGCGGAGCTTGCAGTGAGCCAAGATCGCAGCACTGCACTCCAGCCTGGGCGACAGAGCGAGACTCTGTCTCAAAAAAAAAAAAAAAAATGCAGTTCTGGCCTGTGAATCGTTTCTCAGGCTTCTCCTTGTTTTAACCAGTGTAAAGTCCAGACTTCTATGATGACGTGCCCTGATCTGCCCCGACCCCTCGCCAGCCTCATCCCCTCTCACTGCTGACCTCATTCCCCCAATGCAGGGGTACTGTCCACTTACACCTTTGCTTTTTGTTCCTTCCACCAAGTACGTTTTCCCCTTGACCTCCACTCACCCAGCCACTAAATGACTGCCCAAGTTGAAACTCGGACGTGTCCGGTCTAGGGCCCTTTCCCAGGCTCCTCGTCCAGGTTAGCTATGAGTGAGGTGGTCATAAAGGGTTGTTGGCCTTCCTCTCCTTCAACAGCATCCCCTGCAAGGGTCACCCATTCTTAGGATCATGTATTTCTATATTTTATTTATCCATTTTCTCTCCCATTATCTTGCTAGAGGAGAGCTCACCCCGAAGGCCCCACCTGCTAGAGATCTTCTGGAGGAACCTCTTAAATACATTCAAGATGACGATGGATGAGAACTTCAGTTTCTGAATTAGGAGGTGGGAGAGTGAAAGCAAGACCAGGAGATAATAAGGAATATGGCGTATTTTTATGTGATCTCTGTCTCACCAAGGAATGGTAATGTCCCTGCACCCCATGCCCTCTGAACCCCCACCCCAACCCTCCTCCCTGTGAAGTTAGAACCCAATTATGATTCTCCTGATAAACTGACTCTACCTATTTCAGTTTCTTCTGTCCCTTGCAGGGGTCTGGCACTCAGGAAATATCAAATATCCTCTGAACGCATGAAAGATGAGCCAGTCTTAAAAGAACAGCCATAGGTGAAAACTCTCCTGTTTTAACTCACGGTTATTTATGTTTTTCTTTCTCCAGGGAGGTCTTTCTACACCATCTCTCGCAGCGAACCCATGAATCTTTCGGGGCCAACTCAGATATCCCCTCCTCCACACCCTCCCTGCTACCCAGAGGCAAAGGTTCCACTCTTTCCTCCCTCTCCCCAACCCTGCTGCAGAGATGAGTGGGCACAGCCCTGGCCTTCCTACAATGAGAGCAGGAACATGATTGCTCTCTTTTGCCTTCTTCACTGTGTTCATCAGCTCTGGCTGCCATAACAAAATGTCACAGACAGTGGCTTCAACAACAGACATTTATTCCTCGCAGCTCTGGAGGCTGGAAGTCTGAGACCAGGGTGCCAGCATGGTTGGGTTCTGGTGTGAGTTCTCTTCTTGGCTTGCAAATGGCTGCCTTCTTTTCCCTATATGGTGGAGAGAGACAGGCAGATCTCTTGTCCCTCTCTCTTCCTGCTCTTATAAGGCCAAAGTCCTATGGAATTAGAGTGCCACCCTTATCACCTCCTTTAACTGTGATTACCTTAATGTTAATATATCAGAGCTTCAACATATGAATTTTGGGGGGAGGGGTGGAGCACAATTCAGTTGACAGCACCCATAGAGGTTTTGTGGCAGCACTTGTACCCCAGCAATTAGCTGGAGCAACTTGAGTGCCACTTGTTTTAATCCTTATGTGATTACTAATGCCATCTATTTAGTGCCTTCTATTTTCAAGACACCTTGCTGAATGCTACAGTAAGAGCATCTACTCAGAGAGCATGTCTAGGGACACTTAACATCAGTTCAAGCTGCCTAGGATCAGTGCTGATCCTATGATTCAGGACTCATAACCCTGTCTTGTTTCTTCTGGAATAATGCTTCCACCTCGTCCGTAGATTCCCAGCTTCCACCCACTAGGGTTCAATCTTTGCTACCAACAGCCTATTCCTCTAAGGGACTGGGGTCTTGGTGCTAACCACTGAACTTTCCTGGCTTCTGAAAGAGCAACCTAGAGCTGCCCATTACCCTCCCTTCTTTCCTGCCCTCCTTCCCTTGCCCCCATGCCCCTGACTTTGCAAGAGTCAGGTCTCTATGACCCCACATTTTCAGCTATCAGAGATGAAAGAGCATCGGCTAGGGAGGAAAGAAGAAAGCCCTGGCCTACACTGTCCCAGGGGCTCTACGTACCTTAGTTAACATACTCCTCCCACTGACACTGAAGGTTATGACCGATTGAAGCTCAAAGAAGTTAAACATTTTCCTGTAGTCACTCAGCTAATAAGTGGCAGAGACTGAATTTGCACACGGATGCCTGACTCTGCTATGGATAGTATTGATGCTCAGCTCAGATCCCTATCAGCTGTGACTTTTGTCAGCAGAGGGCTCCTGATGTCCTCTCCTCCCGAGAGGTATCCTTGCCAGAGAGAGAATGCCCCCTCCCCAGGGAACAGCCTGCAGCCAAGTACAGGCTGGCAATGGAGCTCACGGGGCCAGCCCTCTTGCCTAAAGGGAAAGTGGAGCAGATCTGCCGAGGCCTCCCCTAACCCGAGGATCTGGCTCAGCCCTCCCTTCCATCCTGCATCCCCCGCTCCCTTTGCTGAACATCATGAGAAGAAGCCACGTCATTGCACATCCCTGCAGTTAACGAACTCGACCTGAGACAGCTGCAAACCTGGACCTTTTCCTCATGCTGTGTTCTGGAGACTCCATGCTCAGACCTCCTGTGTCCTGCCCTGTGTCCTGGGTGGGGAGGGGTCTGACTGGCCTCAGGGAAATATGTCACCAACTGTCTACTGCCTCCTGGCTTCCAGGTGGGCTGGAGGCTAGAGGGTAGAGGAGACAGAGGTTGGGGTGTGTGTTCCTCTGCTCCTGCCCTGCATTGGTTGCCCAGTTGGGACCATGCCTGTGTCTGTCTTATCAGGTGGCCCTCTTCATGGCTCCAGCTTTAAACCCAATCTTCAGGCTGATGCTCCACCCCCTTCTTCTCTAGGGGTAGATTCCCCCAACCCCGGTGCTGCTAGTCTCTGGTGACTGGGCAGTCTGTGTTGGTTCTCCTGACCCTGATCACAGGGTTAGGAGCCCTTGTGTAAAGAGCACCTTCATTCAAAGCCTTTTCAAACATTCCAACTGGGTGAGACATCTGTTTCCCACCAGGCATCTTGACTCCTTCAGCTTTCATCTGACACATCAACTCAGATTGATTGCTCATGGCTGCCTACAGTGGTGTGTTCTGAAAGAGTGCTGTGATCTATTAGTGATGCCTGTCAGTGTGCAGCAGAGGAGGAGTGGTATGAGTGCCAAGTGTTGGCTGTTCCTGACCTAGATGATCTCATTGCTGCCATTCCTTCCAGCTCTTACTTCTAGAATCCATTTATGAAGGGATGAGCTTTTCTAACCAGAGAAGCCTAAAGAAAATGATGGAGTTAATAGCTCTGGCCAGCAGGCTGACAGTTTATTGTCAGAAAAGCCTGTGTACTGTGGGAAACCATCTGTTCTGTGTGGCTTATTGATCTTGACTTTGTAGCTTATGTAGTGTTGGTGCTGCTGATAGTAGAGGACCGCCAGGGGGCGGCCTTTCACAGGCTGTTGGATGCCACATGGTGGGGGAAAAACACCAGGGGGCAGGTCACATGCAAAGCCTTCCTGTGGTGGGCAGATTTAGACCAGAGATAGTGGGGTGACTTACTCAATGCCACATAAAGGCAGTGCAGTGTTGTCACAAGGGCACATGGTTGGAGCCAGAAACATATTTTTAGGTTTTAACCATACCTCAATTCCTTGTAACCTTTCTTTTCTTCTTCTTCCTTTTATTTTTTGAGACAAGAGTCTCACTCTGTTGCCTAGGGTGGAGTGCAGTGGCACAATCTCGGCTCACTGCAACCTCTGCCTCCTGGGTGGAGACAACAGGTGTGCACCACTACACCAGGCTAATTTTTGTATTTTTAGAAGAGATGGGGTTTCTCCATGTTGGCCAGACTGGTCTCCTGACCTCAAGTGATCCACCTGCCTCGGCCTCCCAAAGTGCTGGAAGTACAGGTGTGAGCCACTGCACCTGGCCTCTTTGTAACTTTTGTAAATACATGTTTTTATTTAAAATATTTTTTGATCAGTTAGTGTGGGCCAAACTTTGTGCTATGTTCTCTGAGGGTCAGAGACCTTAAAAAAAGATCACACAAATAGATGTCTAATATCTGAATTTGATTTAAATTATAAAGCCAAAAGCACTTTAGACTGAGTGATGTTTCAGCTGTGGAAGATCTGACCTCTGTGTAGGAGTAAGCTGGCTGGTAGATTATCGATTGGTCCAGGCAGTGGGAACAGTAGACAGAGACACCCTGAAGCAGGAAGATAAAGGACTTGGAAAACAGGTCGGAGTGTTCGTGCTACAATAGGAATGAAGCAAATCAATCAGGAAGTGGGGGGCAGCGGGGACGGGCAGGGCAGATCATGCAGGAGTTGAAGCTGGGAGCACACACAGCAGAGGGTGACCTTGGGTATCCAGCAAGTGCCTCCTGAAGTTGGGAGCCCTGGTGGACACGTGGGAGGAAGCTGGGTGCAGAGATTCCGGAAGGTGGGTTCAGACAAATCAAAGGCACAATCTTTGTGTTTTTATCTGTACAATGCAGGTATCTAGTGGTTATGCCTGAGGGGTGTTGAGAAGCTCAAATGGGGTTCAGAGTGGAAATGTGTTCTATAAACTTTAAGGTACAGTGGTGTTAAAATAATTAATTGGAAGGCCATTAGGCTGAGACCTCTGCCGTGCCTTGCATTCCTACATAAGCAAACAAACCCAGCTCAATGTAAACAGCAAAATAAAACTAAAGCTTCGCCAATCTCAAACCGCCAGCTAGCCTCTAACCAACGTCTTTACACCTTAACCAATTGCATATTTTCTTTTTTTTTTTTCTTTTTTTTTTTTTATTATACTTTAAGTTTTAGGGTACATGTGCACATTGTGCAGGTTAGTTACATATGTATACATGTGCCATGCTGGTGCACTGCACCCACTAACTCGTCATCTAGCATTAGGTTTATCTCCCAATGCTATCCCTCCCCCCTCCCCCCACCCCACCACAGTCCCCAGAGTGTGATATTCCCCTTCCTGTGTCCATGTGATCTCATTGTTCAATTTCCACCTATGAGTGAGAATACAAAAAACCAAACACCGCATATTTTCTTTGATGTGCTTCTGCGAATACCTTGTAAAAACCGGCCCTTTTTCCCTCTGGAGGAGCCCTGAACTGCTTGTGGTCTGGCGCTGCCTGGTTCATGAATCACTGAGTGCTGAAATAAACTCGTTGAAATGTTAATGTGCCTAAGTTTGTCTTTTAATGGTTTGCTTGGCCATTTTATATTCCAGTTGCTAGTAAATAAGCACTAGGGTCATAAATCTCCTTAGAGGCAGAAGTGCACTATTGGTGATGCCCACCGAACCTCTCTAGGGGCCAGACTTCAGCAATCCGGAGAGGAGGTAACGT